>NC_000018.10:53935241-54235907 GCF_000001405.40 Homo sapiens | reverse complement strand
GCCTATGGAAATAAGAGCAACACCAAAGTATCCATGAGTAAAAGGAATGTTAAAATTTGACATCCTGATTATTTCTTTTATTTCTACAATCCAATTATCTGAGCAAGGGACATGCAAAAAGTGCCATCTGCACAACCCAATCCCCCTCCAATTCAGCTGTATCTTGGAAGAGTAAATAACACATATTCTAAAGTCATAGTT
Organism: Homo sapiens; assembly: GCF_000001405.40. Taxonomy (NCBI): domain Eukaryota; kingdom Metazoa; phylum Chordata; class Mammalia; order Primates; family Hominidae; genus Homo; species Homo sapiens. The sequence goes on along the minus strand of NC_000018.10, from coordinate 54,235,706 downwards.
CTTTGGCAAAGAAAATATATATATTCTCACAATGGTCACAAAAGGCTCATTTAAAAGAAGTATGTTCAGAGATTATCTCCTTATCTTAACTGTTTCATGATAAAACAAGGTTAGGCAAAAACTAGACCTGAATAAAATTATATTTCTTTTAAATCACATTACTGACTTTTTCTTGTGCTACCCCTACCTTTACAATATATGTCCCAGTGAAATCTATAAACTTGCTTTACTTTACTGAAATATTATGGCAATATCTTGTCCTTCTATCTTTTTGGACCATTTAGATTTTATAATCTGGTATTCTAAATTTAGTATTAATTCATCTGAATATTTTCCAAACTTCTCAGAAAAAATACCAACACTTTAACTTAAAATTTTTTAAAATTTCTTTTAAAATTTTCCTGGGTAGGTAGTAGATATATATTTATGGGGTAACATGATTTTGAAACAACACTTAAGGAAACAGTTTTTAGCACTCACAAATGATATTACTATTAAAGGGGAATGTCACCTTTCTTCTCCTGTTTTTCAACAGTGTTTTGTTGTTGTTGTTGTTGTTTTCCTTCTTCTTCTCTTCACACTTGTGGTCTTTTTCCCCAATCCCCTGAAGAGATAGAGTGAATGGTGAATTTGGAAAGAACAGGATCTTGGTAGCTCAGCTCCTTCCTCTCTTTTCTTCTTTGTTTGGCATTTTCCTGCCTGCTTAGCACATTTGTTCTTGGTTATTCTTGGTCATGTTACAAAATGTAAGAGTAAAGGCCAGACCTCAAGAAGTGGATGGAGAGAGACTGTCGACAGCCTCGTTACAGCAAGGTAGGTTTGGCCATTAAATTTTGGAATTCAGTGACAAGCCCATTCAGCTTTCACACATCCTCTAAGCGATACTTTCTCATGATGGAGTTATTCTGGATGTCATTTTTCTCATTCCTTTTCTTGTTTCTTAATTAGTTTCACTACTCAGGAGGGACAGGGGTACTAGTTTTAGGACCTCCTCAAGACCTCAGAAGTAGCCAATGAGTATGATCTTTCATCTGGAAAACTGCTATAGGGTTATCTACAGCATATATAGGATGATCTTGCCAATGTCGCACAAGCCATGTTGTCATTGGAGGGCAAGGGTGAGTTCCTGTAGCTAAAGCTTGTAAGTAGGTGACATTGACAAGGCGGAGCAGGTAGAACGAGCAGAAAAGGCATGTAAAGATGGAACCTGGGAGAACAGAGCATTTGAGGAACTATCCAAGAAAAAAGGTATACCAAACAGAACTGGAAAGTAATAGAAGGACAATCAGAAGGGTATAATATCTCATAAGCCAAGGAGAGAAAGAATTTCAAGATGGGTCATGAGAGACACTTACACTTATTAATTTCTCAGAAATCTCATCACATAGGAAGAAAGAATTTGATGGTGAGACTGAAAATTAGAGAACTGTTTCTCAAAATTGAAAAAGGATATATATTTCTTTTTCAAGGAAAAAGTTACTGAGGACTCTGTTCCACAGTGTTGAGTTAAATAATAATAAGAATTACTATTATTTTGAGACAGGGTCTCACTCTGTTGCTCAGGCTGGAGTTCAGTGGCACCATCTTAGGTCACTGCAGCCTTGACCTCCTGGGCTCAAGCAAGTCTCCAGCCTCAGCCTCCTGAGTAGCTGGGATAACAGGCAGGCACCACCATGCCTGGCTAATTTTTTTGTTTTATTTTTAGTAGTGACTATGTCACACTATTTTGCCCATGCTGGTCTTGAGTCTTGAATTCCCGAACTGAAGCAATCCTCCCGCCTCGGCCTCCCAAAGTACTGTAATTACAGGCATGAACCACCACACCCAACCTGTGTTATATTCTTGTTCTGATGTTACATAAATATGTGAAAACATAAAACTCATTTTAACCTCATTTAACTCATTTTAACCTTACGGCTCTTACGTAATTATAAACATTGAATAAATTTATAAGTTAAATACAAGTCAAATTATTAAACAGTAGTCAAGTCAAATTGCTATTATAGATTATTATTTTCCTAGAAACCAAATTATTGATCCCAAAGTGATGATGCAAATTGACACTAGTCAGATAGTTTGGGTTTTGGCCTATAGATGCCACTGTGTTCTTCAGGTGACTAAGTTTTCCCACCACTTTTCTCTGATGGAATGATTACAAAACTTTCATTCAATGTGCCCTGAAGTCTTCATATGCACAAACTCGTTATTTGCGTATTATGTTGGCATCTGTTCCTTTATCATTAGTCAATGTCATTCAAAGTAGCACTCCTTATTACCAACTAGATCAAGCTGGGGCAGTGAAATAAGGAAACATGACTCAGATACCAGATGGTTATGCAGACAGTCCATTGTATGCTTATGTTGGGGCTTAAAAGAAAATAAAAACATTATTATGGAAATGAAAATTTTATGCCAAAATTTTGTGGTAGGGAATTGGCAAACTGAGTCCATCTGTGGATCTCAGTTGGAGAAACGCTGATCAAGGGTCTCCTTCCCCATACCTGTTACTGTATTCAGAAAAGAGGACAGTTGCTATGAAATGATCAAGTTCAAAGATAATTTACTGGGCCATACCTTCTGGAGCTGGAGCTTCCATTGTGCCTAGCAAGGGAATTAGAGCCCAAGTAGAGGTGGCCCCTTGGAATGCCTTTCTTTCCACCAGAGTGTGAAAGGGAGACCTCTCCTGGACTGCTGCTACTAGGGGAAAGCCTACTAACCACTTTCCCCTGCTCTCTCTCTCTTTATATTTCTCTCTGGCTTCTTCCTTTACTCTTTGCAATCTCTTATACCGAGGTCTCAAGTTTAGGAGCTGCCTGAATTTTAGCAAGATTTAAACAATCCATTAAAGGAAGAAATTTTATTTGAGCAAAAAATGCTTTCTGCTGCACGTATCCAAAAACTAAACAGTGGTTTAATCAAACATGGTCTTTCTCATGTAACAAAAAGTCTGGAGATAAACAGTTGCAAGACAGTTCAGCCGCTCAATAATGTCATTCAGTTCTCCATTTTCTGGCTCTGCTATTCTTAGGATGCTGGCCTTTTATCTTAGTGTTCTTTGCTTCATAGTTGCCAGACGGCTGTCACAGCTTCAGAAATCACGCCCAAGTTCCAGCAGGAGCAAGGGCAAAAGGGGGGTGCCGATCATATCTTTTTATTTCTTTTCTTTCTTTCTTTCTTTATTTTTTGAGATGGAGTTTCGCTCTTGTTGCCTAGGCTGGAGTGCAATGGCATGATCTCGGCTCACTGCGACCTCCACCTCCCAAGTTCAAGCAATTCTCCTGCTTCAGCCTCTTGAGTAGCTGGGACTATAGGCGCCCTTCACCATGCTTGGCTAATTTTTTGTATTTTTAGTAGATACAGGGTTTCACCATGTGGGCCAGGCTGGTCTTGAACTCCTGACCTCAGGTGATCCACCCGCTTCGGCCTCCCAAAATGCTGGGATTACAGGCCTGAGCCACTATGCCCAGTCTCTTTTTTTTTTTTTTTTTAGATAAAGAAGTAAACAGTTTCCCACAGTCACTGTTGCTTCTCTCCTATTCTTGCCTAAGTGAGATTGGGAGAGTGAGTATTTATACTTTCTAGTTTCTATAGAGAAGGTGGGCAAGGGAAACTCAAATTGCTAATGGGTGTTTGATTTTGCCAACCAGTGTGTCTGCCACAGATGGTGACAGAGAAAGTTGCTGGGTCACCATTGCTCTAATCCCCCACCCCAGAGGACAGACTTCCAAGATATGTAGAAGGATACGTGGCAATAATAACAGCTGCCTGGAGAGAAGCAATTGTGTACAATGGTATATAACTGTGATTAACTTGTTGGGGAGTCTTGAGGTAGGTAACGATTTGGGATACAAAGTCTGAAAGTGTTTCAGAACAAGGTCACTGGGCCAAATCATGGGCCCTCTATTAGGTTTTTAAACTATGCTCAAAAGTACTACAGATTAGGGGCCCGTTAGAAATGAGCAAAGCCATAAAGAAAATACCCTGACAACTTTGTAGATGGTTCCAAAATAAAAAGACATGAGACACATGTGAGTATATATAACTTGGAGTATTAGGAGGAGTCAAATTATTTGAAGTCAAATGAGCAGAAACATGAATGCAGATAAATATTTCAATTCAGAAATAGTTTTTCAGAAGTAGTCATTTTGTGATTATCTTTTATGATATATAGTCTACAATATTTTTGAGGAGCTAATGAAAAGTTCAAGTTAAAGTTGATGTAGAAGAGACTAAATAAAACATTATAACTGTTATAAACAAGCATATTTGTAAAATGAATTTAAGCCTCATTTTTAATTAAAATAAAGTTAAATTCTGCTTATCAACCTAAAGTTAAAGAAATTATTCGAAATCATTATATCCAAAATATATCCATACTCATATGTTTATTGCAGCACTATTCACGATAGCAAAGATATGGAATCAATGTAAGTGTTCATCAACAGATAATTGGATGAAGAAAATGTGGCATATATATATACAATGGAATACTATTCAGCCATAAATAAGAATGAAATCATGTCTTTTGCAGCAATGCGGATGGAACTGGAGGTCATTACCTTAAGTGAAACAAGCCAGACACACAAAGTCAAATATCACTGTTCTCACTTATAAGTGGGAGCTAACTATTGTGTATATATGGACATAGAGTGTGGAATAATAGACAGTGCGGATTTGGAAGAGTGATGGGTGGGGGAGGGTGGTTGCTGAGAAATTACTTAATGGGTACAATGTATATTATATGGTTGATGGATACCTTAAAAGCCCTGATTATCACTACACAATAGATGCATGTAACAAAATTGCGCTTGTACCCCACATTTATACAAAAAAAGTCAAATTTATTGTTAAATATCTCTTAGGCATGGAAACCTTTTCAAATTTTCAAAGATTGGATGAGCTGTGAATTTCTTTTTTTTTTTTTTTTGAGACGGAGTCTCGCTCTGTCGCCCAGGCTGGAGTGCAGTGGCGCGATCTCGGCTCACTGCAAGCTCCGCCTCCCGGGCTCACGCCATTCTCCTGCCTCAGCCTCCCGAGTAGCTGGGACTACAGGCGCCCGCTACCACGCCCGGCTAATTTTTTGTATTTTTAGTAGAGACGGGGTTTCACCGTGTTAGCCAGGATGGTCTCAATCTCCTGACCTCGTGATCCGCCCGCCTCGGCCTCCCAAAGTGCTGGGATTACAGGCGTGAGCCACCGCGCCCGGCCGAATTTCTTTTTTATATAATCCATGTGATTATACTTTCATTGAGAAGCAAACATGCTGCTCATTATTTTAAGACTATACAATTTTTACAAAAGGGTCATCTAAGGTCAGGAATTTGAGACCAGCCTGGCCAACATAGTGAAACCCTGTCTGTATGAAAAATACAAAAATTAGCTGAGCATGATGGCAGGTGCCTGTAATCCCAGCTCCTCAGGAGCCTGAGGCAGGAGAATCTCTTGAACCCAGGAGGTGGAGGTTGCTGTGAGCTGAGATCGTGCCACTGCACTCCAGCCTGGGTGACAAGAGCGAAACTCCGTCTCAAAAAAAAAAAAAAAGTATTAATTCAATGTATTCATCAGGTATCTAATGAACCCTTCCCATGTGCCCGGCAAATCCAGTAATAGGCATGGAGAATGCAGTTGAATATGAAAAGTGCCTTGTGGGCTGGTGGGGGACAAAAGACAATTAAAAAACTAATTCAATAAAGTACAATAAATGGATGAGGAAGTACCAAATGATACTAGTGTGGCGTAGAGTATACAACCTGGGGGGCACTGAATCAGCAGTGGGGTTTCTGGGGAGGTTAGAAAAGGCAACTTGGATGAAGTGATGTCTAAGGTGAAACCTAAGAGATAAGTAGAAAATAGCCAAACGGAAGGTTGGGGTGAGAGTGTGGGTGGAAACAGACAATGTTTTTCCAATTTGAAGTAGCAGCAAGCGTGAGAGTGAAGAGGCCATTGAAGGTGGGACAGGCAGTGAAAGCAGATAAAGCTCTAAACTTCGAGTCAGGAAACTGGAGTTCTAGTCTTTGCCTTGCCTCTTGTGAGGTATGCGTGAGGCCTTGGGAAAGCCATTTTAGGTACAAAGTCTCTTGGTGAGATGTATTTTCTGATTTACTCAGTGACTACTCCTCCCTCACTTGTGAACCGCAATCATAGCATAGTCAGCCCTCATTTCTAATGGATCACATGTCCTAGCATTCTGGTGTTTTGCAGCCAGAATTAAAGTAAAAAACCACTGTTCAGCATATTAATTGGTATCCGAGGGCTCTAAAACCTAAAGATCATTTTCTTTCTACTGGTTGCACTGTTTTTTTTTTTTTTTTTTTTTATTTTGGGGGAGTTAAATAAAATAAGCATGTCTCCATCCTTTATTCCTAAACATTTACTTATGACAAATGTAACAACTGACAGAAATTTGAAAAATACCAGACACTTCTTAAATGATTTCCCTTGGTTCAAAATTTACCCCTTCTTGTTTTCTCTTGCTTTTCAGGTAATTAACTCTTCTCTTTTTAGTTTGAACTATGCAGTGCAAGATTCCTCTGTAGTCTTTCCAAGTGGAAGGGTATAAAAAAAAAACACTTTATATTATGCCAGGTGAGGTGTCAGAACCCTGGCATCGGAAAGTGGTTGGCTCACGGGTCATAGGGTAGTAAGAAGAATTTACAGAAGACAGTATAGGTTCGAAAAAGAAAGTTTTATTAGAAAGAAAGAACAGTGCAGAAGAGTACAGCAGGGTGCCTCAGCAAGAGAGGACTGAGTGGATTTTCCTTAGGGATATTTATGAACCTTAAAGCAGGAGCTTAAAGGGAATTTGGGCCATATTAACCACTTAGGTCATGATAAATGATTACATTTTTGGACATTTTGGTGTCTTAATGTCAGCAAGGGTTGCACGATAAGTTTTGACATGCATGCATGGGAGACATGTAGAAATTCTAGTTACTTACAAGTTTTTGGGGAAGAAGCCTGGACCCAGATGCCAGCTTTAAATAACAGGGGAGTCTAATTACTTCTAAATTCCTCACATAAGGAGTTTTGCCTCTGGATGGCCTGCTTGATGGTCACTAGGTGATCTCTGCCCCCTTCATACTACAAGCACTTGCACTGGAAAGTGTCATTTGGCCTCCTGACATGCTGTGCCTGGGAATTAGGTGAGAACAGTAGTTGGGCCAACCTAGTGAATCATAAAACCTGTTAATTAGTGCTGGAAAATGTCCTCCCCCCACCACCCCTGGCTGTGCCCTTACTCCTATGTAATGTCTTGATAAATTCTGACCTTACTGTTTGGAGTCTAAGAGAAAAAAAGCCTAATGTCCCTGTTACCCCTTGATGCAAAAATGCTCATTGAAAAAAGTAAGGTTTTCCAATATTTGAAACGTTTTTCTGGCTGGGTGCGGTGGCTCACTCCCGTAATCCTAGGGCTTCGGGAAGTGGGGCGGGAAGATTGCTTGAGCCCAGGAGTTTGAGACCGGCCTGGGCAATACGGGGAGACTCCCATCTCTACAAAAAAAAAAAAAAATTGTCTTAATTAGCTGAGTGTGATGGCACGTACCTGTGGTACCAGTTACACAGGAGGCCAAAACAACAACAAACCAATAAACCAATCAACCAACCAAACAAAAAACCAAAAAACAAAAACCAAACCAAACCAAACAAACAAACAAACCAAAAAAAACACCTGCTTTTATTGGGTATTTTATCACACTCAAAGATTTAAACGCAGGTTATATATTTGACAAAATATATAGTTCTCAAAATCAGTCTCACCTCCTAATATTCTTTGAAGTTTCATTACCTGAATTTGTTCTAATTTTCAAAATAAAAATCCAAATTAACAGCTTTCTTTAAAACAACTTTTTCTTTTCTTTTCTTTTCTTTTTTGAGACTGTTGCTCAGGCTGGAGTGCAGTGGCGTGATCTCAGCTCACTGCAAGCACCGCCTCCTGGGTTCACGCCATTCTCCTGCCTCAGCCTCCCGAGAAGCTGGGACTACAGGCGCCCGCCACCTCGCCTGGCTGATTTCTTATATTTTTAGTAGAGACAGGGTTTCACCGTGTTAGCCATGATGATCTCGATCTCCTGACCTTGTGATCTGCCTGCCTTGGCCTCCCAAAGTGCTGGGATTACAGGCGTGAGCCACCGCGCCCGGCCACAACTTTTTCTTTAATGGCTTAACTTCATTCAGCTTTACCTGCTAAACAATAAAGGGAAAAATCAAAGAAAGAATAGTCTTCTAGGGGTGACAGTTGGTGTTTTAGCACCTGCCTTTATACCTGGGAGGCAGAGATCACAGGTGGTTACATCTCTGTTGTTCATTTAGTGGACCAGATTTCATACATAATCCTATCTTGCTTTTGTCTTTCACTTTCTCCAAGAGATAAGCTAGCAAACCTTCTCCATTGTAAGAGAGACCAAATTGAAAATTTGGTCACAACTTTACTACCCGAGAAAAATAACGTTGCTATGCTTCCTGGAGGAGTGATAGAAAATGCAGTTTCCGAGAATTATAAAAGGTTTATTATTTGTCCAGTATTTTAAGAGAAACAAAGGGGTCTGTCTCTCAGGTATTTAGCATCTATTCTTAACCCTTTTAGATCTCAATCTAGTCCCCTTTGGAATTTATTGTTGCCTTAATTGGAGTATTTTTTTTTCTTTTAGTGGGAGAATAAATAAGAGCATTTATTTTTATTTTATATATATATATATATATATATATATTTTTACTTTGCTCTATGGTATCACAGCAGAAAAGTTCAAGTGTAACCAAAAAGCTTTTGACATGTCTAAATGAGATTTTTCTTAACAGAGGGAACATTAAGCTACATCTTCTGGGATTTAGCAAATGGAATCTGGTAGTAGAAGTTAAAATAATGACCCGAAAATCCTGTGATTTATTTCTTTAAGCATGCTTTTATATCCAATATATCATTTGATCTACAGCCTTATTAGCACAGCATGAAAAGGTAGAATTTTCCAAAAGCATACCTGTTCCCATCTGTTGTCTCAACTACCTGTCTCAATTACCGTTTCTACTGAGATTTTTGCTCATGTTTACCCTTTACTTTCAATTATGTGTGAAAATCAGAGTACTCTCTTATGTCATACAAACTTTAATATCATTTTTTTCCTTTATTCCTTCAGTGGAACCTTAAGTATTGGCATTCCTCAAGATTCAGTTCTTGATCCTCTTTCCTTTTATTATTAACCACGCAAGCCCTTCCTTGGAGAGCTTACTTACTTCCAGGGCCTCCTTCAACTGTCACTTTCACAAATGACTTTTTTTTTTTGAGACGGAGTCTCGCTCGGTTGCCAGGCTGGAGTGCAGTAGCGGGATCTCGACTCACTGCAATCTCCGCCTCCCGTGTTCAAGCGATTCTCTTGCCTCAGCCTCCCGAGTAGCTGGGATTACAGGCGCACGCCAGCACGCCCAGCTAATTTTTGTATTTTAATAGAGATGGGGTTTGACCATGTTGGCCAGAATGGTCTCTATCTCTAGACCTCGTGATCCGCCGGCCTCGGCCTCCCAAAGTGCTGGGATTACAGAAGTAAGCCACCGCGCCCGGCCACAAATGACTTCTTTTTTTTTTTTTGAGACAGAGTCTCGCTCTGTCTGCCAGGCTGGAGTGCAGTGGCGTGATCCAGTTCACTGCAAGCTCCGCCTCCCGGGTTCACGCCATTCTCCTGCCTCAGCCTCCGGAGCAGCTGGGACTACGGGCGCCCGCCACCACGCCCAGCCAATTTTCTGCATTTTTAGTAGAGACGGAGTTTCATCGTGTTAGCCAGGCTGGTCTTGAACTCCTGACCTCAGGTGATCTGCCCGCCTCTGCCTCCCAAAGTGTTGGGATTACAGGCGTGAGCCACCGCGCCCGGCCCACAGATGACTTCTAAATGAATGTCTCCAGTACTGATCTCCTCAGAACTCATTTCTTGATGATTTTTTACATTCACATTTCTAAATTTCTTGTAGGAAACCACAAATTAGTGTCTTTCAACTAAAGGACATTAAAAGAAGACTAAGGTCAGGTTTAGAGACAGACAAGTTTGTGTGTATGAGTTAATGTTTGCATATACTGCAAAGATAAACCAAATTAATTTTAGATTTTTGTTGCTTTATATTAATCAACTTTTTCTATACGTTAAACTTGGTCCTCAGTTTTTAGGGCATATGAGTATAGAAACCCAAGATAGCTTATCATCAGGCTGATAACATGTGCTTTACATTTTTCAATCTTCCAAATATTTCATAATATATTATCTTGAATATCAATAGCACACTTCTATAAGTGTTCGACAACTTATAGAAAATATGCATTTCTAAAATTCAAGTTGGCAGACCGAAAAGAATACCACACAGTTTCCTAAAGGCTTGTGACAGTAAGTTAGGCTGGACTTTCAACATAATGGAATATTTACCAAATAAAAGGCCACTGATTTTTGTATTAGACAAAGACATCTGGAAATTTCTAGATGGATTTAGGGATTCTGGTCATTCTAAGGAGAATCTAGAGGTAAGCCCCATCTGACTCATGGGCATATTCCAAGTTATCATTTCCTTTCCTACATCCTTACAAGGTTCCAGGAGAATCTGTCAATGGCTCTGAAGCCAGGCTCAGGAGGGAACTGGTATTCAGCGAATGGGACACTTTGCTTCATTCCTTCATTATAAGCTCCCCTGCAAGCTTTGTGCAGAGGGGCGGGAAAAGGGGCTATCACCCCCTTAAATGAATAGCCGAGTTGGTATGTAATATAAGATCTATTTTGCTTGTTATTCATTAATTGGGAAGCAAACATAGGTAAAATCACATAATGGTGGAGGTTACCCCGTTTGAAACAAACTAACCACAGTCACTATGACACCCCCAGCTGGTGGCTAGCCCGACCAACCTTCCCAGCTCCGCGCGCCCAGTGGGGGCCGGAAAAGCGCGGGAGGGGGCGTGGCCCCGAGAAGGCGGAGACAAGATGGCCGCCCATAGCGCTTGGAGGACCTAAGAGGCGGTGGCCGGGGCCACGCCCCGGGCAGGAGGGCCGCTCTGTGCGCGCCCGCTCTATGATGCTTGCGCGCGTCCCCCGCGCGCCGCGCTGCGGGCGGGGCGGGTCTCCGGGATTCCAAGGGCTCGGTTACGGAAGAAGCGCAGCGCCGGCTGGGGAGGGGGCTGGATGCGCGCGCACCCGGGGGGAGGCCGCTGCTGCCCGGAGCAGGAGGAGGGGGAGAGTGCGGCGGGCGGCAGCGGCGCTGGCGGCGACTCCGCCATAGAGCAGGGGGGCCAGGGCAGCGCGCTCGCCCCGTCCCCGGTGAGCGGCGTGCGCAGGGAAGGCGCTCGGGGCGGCGGCCGTGGCCGGGGGCGGTGGAAGCAGGCGGGCCGGGGCGGCGGCGTCTGTGGCCGTGGCCGGGGCCGGGGCCGTGGCCGGGGACGGGGACGGGGCCGGGGCCGGGGCCGCGGCCGTCCCCCGAGTGGCGGCAGCGGCCTTGGCGGCGACGGCGGCGGCTGCGGCGGCGGCGGCAGCGGTGGCGGCGGCGCCCCCCGGCGGGAGCCGGTCCCTTTCCCGTCGGGGAGCGCGGGGCCGGGGCCCAGGGGACCCCGGGCCACGGAGAGCGGGAAGAGGATGGATTGCCCGGCCCTCCCCCCCGGATGGAAGAAGGAGGAAGTGATCCGAAAATCTGGGCTAAGTGCTGGCAAGAGCGATGTCTACTACTTCAGGTACCTCCCTGGGGGCGGGGAGGGGGTGGCGGGGTCAGGCCGGGGTCAGGGGTCAAGAGCGGGCCTGGGCAGAGGATGAGCGCTGGGGCCCGGGGGGCATGTGGCAGGGACAGGCTGGTTTGGTGGTGGAAGGTGGCGGAACCCTTGGGTGAGAGTTGACCCCAGTGCGGTGGGAGGCAGTGTCAAAAGGTGAGGGCCCGCAGGAGGGCATCTTATGTGGAAGGCGTCGGGGAAGATGGTTTGCGAAGAAAGGGTTAGCCTGGCAGGGATGGTTAGTCCACTGAAGGGTTAAAAGGAGGTGTAATTCATCGAAACTATAAAACCCAGTCACTGTTGGCTCCTGTCCCAGCCTGTCCCAGATTCATCATCACAAGTGTTAAGCATGCACATGTGGAAGAATGAGCTATCTACAGTAACAAGGTTTCATTTACTTCATCCAAGAAAGTTTTGTATAAAGCAGCTATTTGGAATGCCTGAAGTTTTTTTGGAACTTCTTGGTATTGCAGAATATACTCTTTTGAAACTGACACACTGTACTAAGTTTTTAGACTCCTAGACCAAAATTTGCTCCCCAGGGAACATTTGTCAATGTCTGGAGACATTTTCGGTTCTCACACCTGGGGAGGGTGTGATACTGGCATCTAGTGGGTAGAGGCCAGAGATGCTGCTACATATTCGATAATACAAAGGAAAGCTGCCACAACAAAGAATGATCTGGCCCAAATTGTCACCTGTGCTGAGGTTGAGACATCCTGTTTTAAATGATTCAAGGTTTTTCACCTTAGTGTAATCTTGCAATCCCGTGGTCATGCTGCTGATGTCTTCAGTTTGTGTGACCCAGTAAGCTCAAGAAAGTGCCTATGGCAATTGACATCCGTGGACTTAATACACATTTACTAAATTTTGTAATAAGCCATGCTATTGATAGAAGATAATATAAACTTGTATTCAGTAGTTTGGAGGTACGTGTTTGTGGACTGACTGAAGCATTTTTCAGGGAATGTATATGGGTATTGGAGACAATTGTCATTTAGCTATTGTAATAATGTTATAAAGGATTTCCTGTCCTCTTCAAGTAGCTCTGGGAAAATGTGTCTGTACACATACCATGCTTATGAACTAAAAATACTTTTAACTAGATTGAAAAGGTTAAAGAAATGTACATACACATATATACATACATATGCACACACAAGAATGTGATCACTGCTGGTGCAGCATGTAAATACGAACACATTCCTGATGGTTGCTATATATGGATGAGTAGTTGTAGTAAGTTCACTTCACCTCAACTAAAAAATAAAAGTGATGTTTCATAGAACTTAGTCTTCCACTTGATCTGGACCCTCATCTTGAAACCTCATATGATAAAATGGAGAACTTCTTTTAAACATAAGAAGGTAGTAATCACCTGTGGTCCCAGTTACGGGGCTGGGGCGAGAGAATCTCTTGAGTCCAGGAGTTCGAGGCTGCAATGACCTATGATTGTGCCTGGGCAATAGAGTGAAACCCCATCTCTTTAAAGAAAAAAAAGAAAAAGTGTGATAGTCTTGGTTTGTATTTCCTCATCATTAAATATTTGATTTAATGGTAAGAAAGTTATTGTGAGCACTTTCACAGGTCCTCCCTCAGGCTGTGGGGCCAGGATTTGGTAGCTGGTGCTGAGAGAAAACCTTTGTTGGCATCCTTGCCCTGGGACTGTGCCAGTGGCAGCTGTCATTCAATGGGACAATTTCTTCTGATTAAAAAAAAAGGTTATTGTGGTTAAAAAAAGATTAGTTTTCTCAAGTTCATTAGTTTCATTTAGTGCCGTTCACAATTGTTCGTTTTCTAGTATTCTTTCATTAACAGAGCATTCTGTTTTCTTTCTAAGCAGGCTGTCTGCATAACCTTCTGTGAACTATGTGCTGATGTCTTGTAGGCAATTATATTTGACAAGATTATTCTGTATCTGTGATTGAACTCCTTGAGGAATAGATGACTAGGCTATTCTCAGTAGAACATCTTAAACTTTGAATTTTACTCTGTGGCAGTTCTCCTGGGATATGGTTTGTTTGGTTTTGGGATGATGTTTTTGTTCAGACTGACTTTGGGTATTGCAGAGCTTTTTGTTTGTTGGTTTTCCTTGTAGTTGGAAAAGTTATTTCAAGAAGTCAGATTGTTGTAGTGCTCATTTGGATTTGTGGCCACTTAACATTTTCTTGGATGTTGTGTAAATTTTCTGATGTTAAATTTATTTTATTTTTTTTGAGATGGAGTCTAGCTCTGTCGCCCAGGCTGGAGTGCAGTGGTGCGATCTCGGCTCAGTGCATCCTCCGCCTCTCGGGTTCAAGTGATTCTTCAGCCTCCCAAGTAGCTGGGACTACAGGTGCCTGCCACCATGCCCGGCTAATTTTTGTATTTTTAGTAGAGATGGGGTTTCACCATATTGGCCAGGCTGGTGTCGAACTCCTGACCTTGTGATCCACCTGCCTCGGCCAGTGCTGGGATTACAGGTGTGAGCCACCAGGCCTGGCCATTAAATTTTTAAATACAAACTTAATAATTTTTTTTTTTTTTTGAGACGGAGTCTTGCTCTGTTGCCCAGGCTGGAGTGCAGTGGTGTGATCTTGGCTCACTACAAGCCCTGCCTCCTGGGTTCACGCCATTCTCCTGCCTCAGCCTCCCGAGTAGCTGGGACTACAGGTGCCCACCACCACGCCCAGCTAATTTTTTGTATCTTTTAGTAGAGACAGGGTTTTACCGTGTTAGCCAGGATGGTCTCGATCTCCTGACCTCGTGATCCACCCGCCTTGGCCTCCCAAAGTGCTGGGATTACAGGTGTGAGCCATCGCGCCCGGCCCCGATATGATCAATTTAAAACAAACTTTCTAAACAAATTCATCTTAAGGCAAGTCGTAAGCCACTATAGTGGTAATTGCTCTCTAAAATGAAAGTCTTTTTCTGGGACATTGCAGCATGATTTGCCTTTTACTTGTTTATGTAAAATGGGAAGGACACATTGAACAGATTTGTGCCAAACCTGTTTCATTCAGGGCCAAAAGGAGCATTGTCTGCTGTTTATTAACTGTCTACAGAGGTTCCGTTACTTTGCAGGATTGTTAACAACCAGTCTTGTTTTTCTTCTGAAACGTTACATTCTGAGTCAGTAAGGTGTATGTAGCGTAATATGATAATTGTGATACAGTAGTTAATTTGACTTGTGACTGTAGCTTTCTGTGATGAATGATGGCAGTCACTTATTGTAAAGGAAGACAAATTATTTTTCAGCTTACAGTGTCACTGCTTTACATATTAGTGTCCCCATATTTAAAAATTCCATTAGTTCACCAAACACCCACTATCTGCTAAAAGTGGGTTAAGAGTTAATTCTCCTGTTGGTAATGTGAACACCTGCACCCAATTGTTCACACAGATTCTAATAATACTAACCCTTGAATTAGCCTGCCCCTGGGGAGATTAATTTAAACAAATCTGTGCCTGTTAATGTAGGGTGTGGCAGGCACTTATTAATTGGACTGAAATTAAGCTCATCGAGAAAGCCTCAAATTTTGGTAGTATGTTTTTTGGGTGCTGTTTTGAAACTGCCAAGTTCTAATAGGAAGGCGTGCCCCTAGTTGCCAGTTAACGCAATATAATTATGCCTTCTGTCAGGATTACTGATAGTGTTGTGGTGGTTCATATATTATCATCTAGTGTGTTTGTTTAAAAGGGTGTGGTTTGATTGGATCCATTGGTATATTTTCTGAAAAAGTTTGTTGCCATCATTTGAACAATAACTTTCTAACTTGTCTACTTGACTCCTGTCATTTCTAGTTGCTTGCATAACACTTGCTGATTGATATTTTTGAGATATTTTCTTCCTCACATAGTCTTTTAGTAGCCCCCTCTTGCCTTTTTTAAAAAAATCAAGTCTAGGTCGGTCGCTGTGGCTCACGCCTGTAATCCCAGCACTTTGGGAGGCTGAGGCGGGTGGATCACGAGGTCAGGAGATCGAGACCATTCTGGCTAACATGATGAAACCCTGTTTCTACTAAAAATACAAAAAAATTAGCCAGGCATGGTGGCAGATGCCTGTAGTCCCAGCTACTCGGGAGGCTGAGGCAGGAGAATGGCGTGAACCCAGGAGGCGGAGCTTGCAGTGAGCTGAGATCACGCCACTGCACTCCAGCCTGGGCGACAGAGCGAGACACAGTCTCAAATATACATATGTGTGTGTGTGTGTGCCATTTGTTGCTAAAGACTAGTATGATGCTTCAAGAGCATGAATTCTGAATCACTGAGGTTCAACCATGCTCCTCCCCTCACCTTGGTTTGCCTTTAAAAACAAACAAACAAAAAATAAATGGACCCTCCATGTAGTATCTAGAAAACTGACTGAGTGGACCCAGGTAAGCAATGTGACTATTGTCATAGTTCTTACATATTTGTGTTAAAGTCTTCTTGGATTCCAATAAAAAGCCTTTTCTGATATTGTCTTCTTTCTCATAATTCCTATGTAGTTAAACTTGGTGTCCCTTGTATAACTCTCATATTCATTTACTTAGAACTTGTGGCTTTCTCACATAGCTGTCTTTCCCCTCGACACAATGCCAAACACTCAGATGCTAAATAAGGGTTTACCAATTGATATTCCACCTAACGTTTTGTAAAACAAGCCTTAAAATGACTTTGTAGTTTTTGCTTTATTTCTGTTCTTGTGGTGGTGTGTTGGGATAAAATTGGTTGAGGTATTTTATTAATAAGGCTATGCATTTTGTAGTTTCTAATTTTCATCATCAGTGTGAAGGTACTGTGGAAAGCCTTTTTCTGGAATTTTGAATATTAGAGATACAGTGAAAATGGTAAATAGGTTGCTCATAGTGCACAGACACAAGTGAGAAATCGGCATTTGAATTTCATCGACTGTGTAACATCGGGTATAGTAGTGTAGGGTCTTCTGTGCCTTAATTCTATGTGTATTTGTGTTACAGCTCTCAGAATTTTGGCACCTATTAGTAGTATTTTGCTAAATGCTTTACATGAGCTATCATACTGGATTTTTTTTTTTTTTTTTGAGACGGAGTCTTACTTTGTCACCTAGGCTGGAGTGCAGTGGTGCAATCTCAGCTCACTGCAACCTCCGCCTCCTGGGTTCAAGTGATTGTCCTACCTCAGACTCCTGAGTAGCTGGGATTACAGGTGCACACCACCACGCCTGGCTAATTTTGGTATTTTTAGTTAGAGACGGAGTTTCACCATGTTGGTCAGGCTGGTCTTGAACTCCTGACCTTGAGATCCACCTGCCTCAGCCTCCCAAAATGCTAGGATTACAGGCGTGAGCCACCGCGCCCAGCCTATCATACTGGATTCTTATAACCCTATGAAACAGGTACAGTTATCTCCATTTTACAGATTGGGAGTTAGCAAAGGGAAGTAGTGTGCTTGGGGTTGTACAGCTAGTAAGTGCAAAGATACAACCTGAAGCTGGTGGTTTAACCTCAGAACTCCTAACCACCATGCTCTGTTGCATGGCATAGAGATCCCTACTTGTATTCTCAAATATTGCAACACCCCATGTCTAATCTACTTTATTGGGCTTAGTGTGCCATTGAGATAATGTGATTATTTACTATTACACTTGTATCCTGAAGATGTCAAAGGGTAAATTTTAAATCCTATTTGGTAGTGAAGCTATTGTACCAAAGGATAACCCTCCAGCTTTAAATAATCCTGGAGGGGAAAAAAATGTAATAAATCCACATAATTAAAGCAGTATTGTTCTGAGTAATAAAAGTGATCAATTTGTTCAGAAATATTCTCTCTTTGATAAATGTTCAACCTAGGATTAACCCTGTTATTTCTCAGATATTGAGGTTTGAGATACAGTTGAAATATACCGTACAGATCAATTTTTTAAAAATCTCTAGTTAGAGAAAGGAAAGAAATCCAATATTTATTAAGAGCTTAATTGCATAATAGAAAGTTTGGCTTGCTTTAAGTCTTTTCTCTTGATGTTGTGTGATTGAAGCCTGCACCCAGAAATGAAAGACATAGGTGTGGTGGAGATTGTGCTCTGATATATCTTCCTTAGCTGTACTATCACATCTTTTTGTGAGATACCAAAGGAATTTTTGTTAGGGTGCAGCATTGCTGTCTGTCCTACATCTGATTTTTAGAATCTGACATGCAAAGTCTCACCTGCCGCAACACCCACAATACTTGTATTAGAGGAAATACATAGCTCAAAGGAACTGATGCATATACATTCTAAAAATAATCTCCAACAGAAATTGGTAGATTTTTTCACATTGCTTTTAAAAATTTAGTTAATGAGATATCATCATTTTTTTCATAATTTAGTTTTAATGGAATGTTAAAGGAAGTGATGCTTTTTTTGATTTTGGTTTTTAGATTCTATAGTGGGGCTCATAGAAATTCATAACTTTTTTACTCATGTTTAAAATCTTCTCAAGACATGCATGATGAATTAGAAATAAACCATAAACTCTTCCTGGATTTAGTGTTTGGCTGGGAATCTTAATGCCTCTTACAGCTCTTATGTATTGATCTTTCATTGTTCTTTGCCATTTCCAGTGAGAAACGATTAGGAAAATTTTGTAATATGGTGTTTTACTTAATTTTATCAGAACTTCTAAAAACTAAAACTTCCCAAGGAAGGAGAATAAAAATATGGAATATAATGAAGTTTGAATAATATCTGCAGATTTCATGATTTCATCCTGTCTTTGTTCTCAGTATAATACAAATTCAAACTCATTTTGGGAACTTGATGTACATAAACTCTATGTGAATATAAATAATAAAATTTAAAATTAGATTTTAAAATTGAACACTTCGCATTTCTCAGGAGTAATCGAGTGTTTTACAGATGTGAGGAAGAAGAACATCGTCCCCTTTAATTTTTTATTTTGTTTTGTTTTGTTTTGAGACGGAGTTTCGCTCTTGTTGCCCAGGCTGGAGTGCAGTGGCGTGATCTCCACTCACTGCACCCTCTGCCTCCTGGATTCAAGTGATTATCCTGCCTCAGCTTCCCAAGTAGCCGGGATTACAGGCATGTGTCAACCATGCCCAGCTAATTTTGTATTTTTAGTAGACGAGATTTCACCATGTTGGCCAGGCTGGTCTCGAACTCCTGAACTCAGGTGATCCACCTGCTTTGGCCTCCCATAATGCTAAGATTACAGGCATGTGAATGCTGAGATTACAGGCATGAGCCACCGCGCCTGGCCCATCATCCCCTTTTGAAGATTTTTTTTTTTGAATGCTGTGTCTTGGTATTCTTTTCTTTGTTATTTTTATACTGGAAGAATGCATGGATAAGCAAGGATGCGTGTCCTTAAAATTCTTTTTAACAGGCATTCATCTCTTTTAAAAAGCCTTTCCTAGAGTCCCCTAGCAGAAATGGGAAACTCCTATGGCATTTGAGTATTACTCTGTTAACTCTTATCACATTTGCTTTAAGAAATAGTTGGCAAGTCTTTGTTACCCATGAGATTCTGAACCTCCTCAGTGTCAGGAGCTGTGTCTGATTCATTTTTGAATCTTCAGTATCCAGCATAGTCCCTGGTATAATATGGAACGTTTTTCATAAATCTTCGCTAAGTGAAGCAAACAGTAAATACATTTCTCTATTAATCCAAAAAGTTATGGTTAATCTGGCTGTATACATAGGCCTGACTCCCCTTATAGGGGCTGCAGTTACCAGCATCCTGCCTTGCACTAAATCAGGTATACAAATATTGAATAGCTGAAGTAAATGTAATTTTTTTCCTCAAACTTGTGTGTGTGTAGTGTTGATGTATATATATTACCTAGGCTTTTAGGTCTAAAATGATTTATAGGACTTTTGGTTTCATTTTTAATATTAAAATTCTTTTATATTTTGCTTGAAAAAAATCTATCTTCAAGGGCTGGATGCGGTGGCTCACGCCTGTAATCCCAGCACTTTGGGAGGCCGAGGTGGGTGGATCACCTGAGGTCAGGAGTTCAAGACCAGCCTGACCAACATGGTGAAACTCCATCTCTACTAAGAAATACAAGAAAAAATTAGCCGGGCATGGTGGCAGGTGCCTGTAATCCCAGGTATTCAGGAGGCTGAGGCAGGAGAATCGCTTGAACCTGGGAGGTGGAGGTTGCAGTGAGCCGAGATTGCACCATTGCACTCCATCCTGGGCAACAAGAGCGAAACTCTGTCTCAGAAACAAACAAACAAAAAAAAAAAGGCCGGGCTTGGTGGCTCACACCTTTAATCCCAGCACTTTGGGAGGCCGAGGCAGGCGGATCACGAGGTCAGGAGGTCGAGACCAGCCTGACCAACATGGTGAAACCCCTTCTTTACTAAAAATACAAAAATTAGATGGGCGTGGTGATGTGTGTCTGTAATCCCAGCTACTCGGGAGGCTGAGGCAGGAGAATTGCTTGAACCAGGGAGTTGGAGACTGCAGATTGCAGCTAGCTGAGATCGCGCCACTGCACTCCAGCCTGGCAGCAGAGGGAGATCCATCTCAAAAAAAAAAAAAAAAAAATCTATCCTCAGAAATTGCTTTTGTATCATCTTGGGAGGCTATGTTTCTATCTAGTTTTAACTAATTTATTTTTTGTTTTGCTGTAAATGTGAAGCGTTTGTTCGAGTGGTCTGTATTAAAAAAGAAGAGAAAAATGAAGTAAAAGTGAACATACAAAAAACATGTTGCAACTTCTTAGTACCAGATTCCTGAGTCACATAAACTTACCCTGTCAAGTTACCATGACAGTTTCCAAATGCTTTCTCTACACTTGTGGACTTACTTGAGGACCAGTAAGTTTGCACACAGACCACACTTTGGTTGTCCTGGTTTAGAATAAACAATGGAGACTTTTGAGTCAGAAGATCGGGGCTTGTATCTTGCTTTACTGTGTTAATCTTGGATGGATAAGTTTTTGTAAGCTTTTGTTTCCTCAACTATAAATCTAGTGTAAGAATTCTACCTTGTGGAGGCCGGGCGCGGTGGCTCACCCCTGTAATCCCAGCAGTTTGGTAGGCTGAGGCGGGTGGATCACGAGGTCAGGAGATCGAGACCATCCTGGCTAATGCTGTGAAACCCCATCTCTACTAAGAAATACAAAAAATTAGCTGGGCCTGTTGGCGGGCGCCTGTCGTCCCAGCTACTAGGGAGGCTGAGGCAGGAGAATGGCGTGAACCCGGGACGTGGAGCTTGCAGTGAGCCAAGATCGCACCACTGCACTCCAGCCTCGGCGACAGAGCGAGACTCCGTCTAAAAAAAAAAAAAAAAGAATTCTAAAAGAATTCTACCTCGTGGAAATTTTTTGAGATTAAATGTGCTTGCCATGTGTAGGTGGTTAGTGCATCAGTAAAATGTTAGCTCCTTTCTCTTCGTTTAATTAGCCAACAGAAATAGAAGCGCATGCTTGGTAATTATGTGAAGGTTTACTGTATTTTGTTGTATTCTGAAATGTGATTAGGGCAGACCTTAGGTTATAAAGGTTCCTCAGAGTTTTAAAAAAATATTATGCATAGGTCAGGTATGCTGGCACATACCTGTAATCCCAGCACTTTGGGAGGCTGAAGCAGGAGGATCACTTGAAGACAGGAGTTTGAGACCAGCCTGGCTAACATAGTGAGACTCCTGTCCCTACAAAAAATTTTTAAAAATTAGCTGGGCATGTTGGCCTGAGCCTGTACTCCCAGCTACTCTGGAGGCTGAGGTGGGAGGATTCCTTCAGTCGAGGAGTTCAAGGCTGTAGTGAGCCACAATTGCTCCACGCCACTGCAACCTGGGCAACAGAGTGAGACCCTGTCTCTAAAAAAAAAAACAAAACAAAGAAAGAAAGAAACAAACAAAATATATATATATGTATAGTATGTATGGGTTATAAAAGTAACCCCTGCTCAGTGGGAAAGTTGGGAAAATATAGAAGAGTATAGTGAAGTAATGACAGTCATTATTATAGTCCCAAAGAGAACTACTGTTTTATCAGGCAATGTTTGTTGTTAAAAAAAAAAAAAAAAAAGAAAGAAAGAAAAGAGAACCACTGCTAATTTTGACATAGTAGCTTCCAGTCTGGTTTTTGGGCATATTTGTCTAAGTAAATATTAATATGTGTGTGTATGTATATATGTAAGATATATGTGTAAGGATATATATGTGTATACACACACACATATACCTACATACACACACTTGTAATTATGGAAAAGTTCAGACATAGGCAAAAATAGATGGAAAAGTATAATGAATCCCTATATAGTCATCCAGTTTCAACAGTTACCAGCTCCTGGCCAGTCTTGCTTTATCTGTATTCACCCCGTTCCCCCTAGTTATATTTTGAAATAATTCCCAAACATACTTAATTTCTGACAGTGTCGTAGCAGTGTCTAGTCCCCAATTCAACCAAAATAACCAGTATTTTTCTTTTTTCCTTTCTCAGAAAGCAAATGCCTTAAGGATGAGACTAGGTAGAATTCTACATAAATTCATTTTTTCGCATTTTAGTGGCATACCCTGGTTTTTAATTTTTTAAACAAATGATACAGAGCAGTGGTCCCCAACTTTTTCGGCACCAGGGACCGGTTTCATGGAAGACGGTTTTTCCATGGATCCCGAATGGTTTTGAGATGAAACTGATCCACCTCTGATCATCAGGCATTAGTTAGATTCTCATAAGGAGCATGCAACCTAGATCCCTCGCATGTACAGTTCACAGTAGGGTTCATGCTCCTATGAGAATCTAAAGCTGCCACTGATCTGACACGAGGCAGAGCTCAGGCTGTAATGCTCGTCTCCTGCTGTACCTCCCGGTTCTTAACGGGCCACGGTCAGTGGCCAGGGCTAGGGCTTAGGGATCCGTGAAATAGAGATAATACTATTAGCTATAGTAATTTACTCTAATAAATTTTTTCCTTATACTTTAAAAATAATCCCCCCCCCCGCCCCCATAATCCTTCCCCACCCATCCCCACTGCCAAGGAATTTTTTTTTTTTTGAGACAGGGTCTTGCTCTGTTGCCCAGGCTGGAGTGCAGTGATGTGGTCATGGCTCACTGCAGCTTCAACCTCCCAGGCTCAAGCAATCCTCTCACCTCAGCCTCCTGAGTAGCTGGGACTACAGGCACGTGCCACCATGCTCGGCTAATTTTTGTGTTTTTTTTGTAGAGACTGAGTTTCGCCTTTTTTGCCCAGGCTTGTCTTGAACTCATGGCTTAAGTGATCTGTCCGCCTCGGCTTCCCAAAGTACTGGAATTACAGGTGTGAGCCACTTTGCCCAACCAGCAAATTCTTTAATGCTCAAATTGACTTGCCCAGAGTCTTGATATTTTTTTTTTAAAGCTTTCCTATTTTGGGGGGAAATCTTCAGCTAGCATACTTAATGTTTAAACAAAATAGAGAAATTTTCATTCATACATACAAAAGTAGTGGGAACTACCCAGCTTAAACAATTTGTCAACACATAGTCAATCTTATTTCATCCCCATCCCAATTTACTACTCCTGACCCAACCTTCATTATTTGAAGGAAATCTGACGTCAAGTAAGTTCATTCATAAATAAGTATTCAATATGCTATTTGAGAAGATGTAACTTGTGAAAATTTCTACCAGTGCAGAACTCAGTGTTTCAAAGCTAGAATGAGGCCAACAGGCAGTTCATGATTATTTGCCTAACATAGGCAATAATTACTATATGGGTTCAGAGGAAAGAAAATTCCTATTACTGGGTTCTGTGAAGGCTTTGTGGAAGAGGTAGTATATAAGGTGGATTGGTATTTCTGGGCTCTTGGAGACTAGGGGTAGCATCATGCATTATGGACCAAGTAGAAGACATGGTGCTTGCAAAGAACTGTAGAAGCCATTTAGACTATTCAGAATAGAGTGATTAAACCAATATGGCTGGAGCAAAGGTCACTAGGTAAGAGTGGAAAGTAGGGTTGAAAGGTTAAGAGGAGGCCATAGGACCAACATAGTGAAACCCCGTCTCTACTAAAAATAGAAAAAAATTAGCTGGGTTTGGTGGCAGGCGCCTGTAATCCCAGCTACTTGGGAGGCTGAGGCAGGAGAATCGCTTGAAGGCAGGAGACGGAGGTTGCAGTGAGCTGAGATTGTGCCATTGCACTCCAGCCTGGGCTACAGTGCGAGACTCTGTCTCAAAAAAAAAAAAGGAGGCCATAGGAAAAAGGATCTAAAATGCAAGCCTAAGATGTTTGGCTTTTTTGCTTATGGGGTAAAAGTCCACTGAAAGCTGTTAAGCCAGAGCTGTTGTCAAAGTGGTGTTTTAGGAAGGGCTATGTGGATAGTGTAGAATGCAAAGAGACGAGCAAAGTTAGCTTATCATAGTGATTTAGACCTGAGGTGATGCAGACTTGATTTGGGCAGTGGCAATGGAAAGGAAGGCTGTGTTTAAAGGTGATCACTTAGGAAGTGATCAGACATGGGAGATATGAATAAAATAAGAGCAGATAAAATCTATCAGGGACAAGCTGTAGAGGAGTGCTGAGGATGGTGCATTGTAGGAAAGGCCTACATTTAAAGATTAAGGGGAAAGGAGTTAAGGAGGTACAGGGAGCTGACTTAGGTAGATTTTTCTCGTGCGTGCTTGCGTGTGTGCGTGTGTGTGTGTGTGTGTGTGTGTGTATAGCAATAATATACATTCTTTTAATTTGGCGGGTTTCTGATTGTTTTGTATCTAAGTACAAAACAATAATTCTAATTTCATGTTTTTAGTCTCAGATGAAGTTTGATTTCTGAAGAAAATTGTTATTTAAAGTTAGGGAAATGTTTCGTTGAATACTTACTGTTGTAAGTGAGAAGTAAGTGTTAACATTTAAAGAGATTTTAAAAAATAGAAAGTTGGCCGGGCGCGGTGGCTCACGTCTGTAATCCCAGCACTTTGGGAGGCCGAGGCGGGCGGATCACGAGGTCAGGAGATCGAGACCATCCCGGCTAAAACGGTGAAACCCCGTCTCTACTAAAAATACAAAAAATTAGCCGGGCGTAGTGGCGGGCGCCTGTAGTCCCAGCTACTTGGGAGGCTGAGGCAGGAGAATGGCGTGAACCCGGGAGGCGGAGCTTGCAGTGAGCCGAGATCCCGCCACTGCACTCCAGCCTGGGCGACAGAGCGAGACTCTGTCTCAAAAAAAAAAAAAAAAAAAAAAATAGAAAGTTGATGTTTCTTTTAGTCTCAAACATTTCCAGTGCTATAGCTTACAGAATTTTTAGTGTGGAGATTTTTATTATTCCCCATAAAGTATTTCCTGATACTGATGGGAAGTGATGTGCCTCTGAACATGCTGTTTAGCTATCTAGCTAGCCATCTGCCATCTGTGACACCCCTTGTCACTCACAGGCCATTTCATCTTACTCCAGTCTGGTGACTGCTACCCCCATCATGTTAGAAATTGATTTGAAAATAGACTTGTGTTTATTTAGAGCCCTGGCCTCATAATGGTTTGACTGAACATTATGATTATCCATGTTATCAAAGAAACAAGAAAAGGTATCTTCTGCTATATTAGAGCGGTGATTTCAGAGTACAGTTTCACATGCAGGCAGCAGGTCTTCTGGAGATGTAATTTTATGTCATAGACTGGCAGGGCATATTATAGTTGTCTAGCTCAGGTAATGGTAATTACAGGTAAGTTCACAGTGCGACAAAATATGAGTACCACTAAATTAAAGTGAGCGTAATCTGAGTATTTCTGGTTTCAATTACTTTTTTTTTGTTATTTTATTTTTATTTTTAAGTGATGAAATGTTCCTATGTGAACTGGAAAAATACAATTCATGTTTTGATTTTCATTTAATTAGTATGTTTCTTCAGGGCTTTTTTCAGAGTTTATTTAAATAGTGGGTAGAAGAAGTTAAAGGTGTGATCACAGTTGGTTCAGGAATGGCATATCTAGGGGGCAGTTGGTAGGGAATTTTTTTTTGTGGTTGAAAGTGAAATAGTATTTCATTACTGGGATTAGAAGTAATCATAATGGGCAGAGAGAACTGAAAATGACTAATATCCTTCACTCAGTCTTCTAGAGTTTTTGAACTTCCCTAAGTTACAAATTGATGCTTTTAAAATAAAAGCTTAGTCACTTTAAGTCTTGGTGTTTCTGAGACCAGGACCTACAGCAGCCATTATTGAGGGTAGACAGGTGATTAAACTTAATCACTTTGGGTAAGACTAGAACTTAGGTGACAGTCTTTTTGTTCATCTAGCATTTATTTCCTCAGTTTGCCTCTCCCAGGGTCAGTTTGCTACTGTACAGATGGTCTGTATCTCATCTCATGGGCAGAATTCCTACTTAATCATTCCCTTGGGCCTTGCCCTCCTCCATGTTTGCTTTCACCTCCTGAAGAGTAAAGTCTCTGGCCTAAAATCCCCTGGGGCAGCCAGGTTGACTTTCCTTAAAGCACCACAGACAGACTGTAGCAGTTACGGAGAAGAAAATGGCTTGTACTACTGTTTTCTGAAGGCAGCAGTATATATGATAGATACTTGTAGCTATCCAATACAGATGTTTCATAGAATTCCATCTGTAAAACAGGAAATGGTTATTCATTATGAATAAGAATTTACTGGTTACTAGTGAATATTCCAGCTTTCTTTTGGATATGCTAATAGTTAAAACTTCTACCTTTTTTCCTTCATTGCCAACTTAGTTTATTAGTAAAGGATGTCTAGCCTTTTTGTTTATAATAAATACCTTCCTTTTTTTTTTTTTTTTTTTTTTTGGAGATGGAGTCTCACTCTGTTGCCCAGGCTGGAGTGCAGTGGCACAATCTCAGCTCACTGCAACCTCCGCCTCCCAGGTTCAAGCAATTCTACTGCCTCAGCCTCCCCAAGTAGCAGGGATTACGGGCGCACGCCGCCACGCTGGGCTAATTTTTTTGTATTTTATTAGAGATGGGGTTTCACCGTGTTGCCCAGGCTGGTCTCAAACTCCTGAGCTCGGGCAATCCGCCCTCCTTGGCCTCCCAAAGTGCTGGGATTACAGGTGTGAGCCACCGTGCCTGGCCCCCCATTTCATTTTTAAAATTAATAAACAATAGAAATAATATGAAGCCGTGTTAAACTGCTGATGAACTGCTAATCTAGATGATAAACATAAGTGATCACATTTCGTGAGTATAGCCTTTTAATTGAGTTCAAATTATCTTGATTTGGGGGAGAGATCTAAAATGAACTGGTCTCTAATGAGTTTTGTTCTGTAGAGGAACATTGTGGTGAGGCTCTATTATGTTTTCAGCTGCAGTGGATAACTGACATTTCAACTTTAAGATAAGGAACTACTTATTGCAGGTTTAATTTGTGAAGTTTGTCAATTGATTCCCTCATAAATAGCTTCCTATTTGTCTCTAAGCCATAAGCTAAGAACAGTATGCTTATCTTTTTGGTAAGAGTTACTGCCTGAGTATTTCATCTTCTGGAAAATGAATTTGTTGAAATAAGGTGTCTACTCTAGAGCTGTTTTTTATTGCACAAAAGAGATCTATGTGAGAGACAGCTGATTGAGAATTGTCATTTTATTTTATTTTATTGAGACAGAGTTTTGCTCGTTGCCCAGGCTGGAGTGTAGTGGCGCCATCTCGGCTTGCCGCAACGTCTGTCTCCTGGGTTCAAGCGATTCTCCTGCCTCAGCCTCCCGAGTAGCTGGGGTTAGAGGCATGCGTCACAACGCCTGGCTAATTTTGTATTTTTAGTAGAGATGGGTTTTCTCCATGTTGGTCAGGCTGGTCGCAAACTCCCGAACTCAGGTGATCTGCCTGCCTTGGCCTCCCAAAGTGCTGGGATTACAGGCATGAGCCACCGTGCCTGGCCACAGAATTGTCATTTTTATTTTGTGGATTTTGTGTTTTCATTTTTTTGTGGTATGTTAACTAGTTTATCAGAATGTCGTTTACCAATAACTTGAGTATCTGATATCTGATAATAAGGACCATATGGCTATTGCAGCTTTTTGTTGTTGTTGTTGTTTTTTGTTGTTGTTTTTTGAGACAGACTCTCGATCTGTCGCCCAGGCTGGAGTGCAGTGGTGCGATCTCAGCTCACTGCAAGCTCCGCCTCCTGGGTTCATGTTATTCTCCTGCCTCAGCCTCCTGAGTAGCTGGGACTACAGGCGCCCGCCACCACGCCCGGCTAATTTTTTTGTATTTTTAGTAGAGACGGGGTTTCACCGTGTTAGCCAGGATGGTCTCGATCTTCTGACCTCGTGATCTGCCCGCCTCGGCCTCCCAAAGTGCTGGGATTACAGGCATGAACCACTGCGCCTGGCTATTGCAGCATTTTATAAGTGACATAATGGCAGAGTAATGTTACTAATTTTTCATATTAATTTAGGTCATTAGTAATACTTTATTTCTTATGTGGTAAAACACATTAATCATGAAAATATTTTCTAGCTTAGTTTTAAAAATTCTTTGCCATATAACTTTTAAATAAACAATAATATTTATCCCATTGTGTCTGCAAATGAAAACTACATCCTTTAGTATTGAACTGATAACGTTTTTTGCTCTCAGAAAGTTACCTTGTTCAGTGCTAGCCTATAATGGTGTTTGAAGTTTAAGAGTGGCATTGTTGTTTGACTCAGCAAGGAAATATATAGGAAATATTGTAATGAAAATAGAATTTCGAGTGGTAGTAGATTATTTCTGACTTGAATTGAAGAATCCCAGAAGACTTCCTAGTTGAGGTGGAGGATATTTTAGCTGGGCTTGGAGGATTTAATAGCTTTTTGATAGGCAGGATGTTGCTGTGCTCCTCCTTCCATCTGGAAAGACATGACTGGAAGATTCAAAGGTATATGGCATATTTTGGTGATTTAGAGTTTGGAATGTAGGCTACCAAAGCTGGTGGGAAAAGAGTCTGGGAAAAATTATATAACAGATATAAAGCTTTCGATGACTTATTAAGGAGGTGAAGCTTTTTTGTCAACATTGAGGAGCTTGAACATTTAGAACTTGGTACTGGATGTGTGGCTGAGACATGGGGGCGCTGAAAGATTGTGATGTGGCCTTCTAGCTTGGAGAATAAAGCACTAAGTGGACAGCAGCGCCACTGACACAGGTGCGGAATATAGAAGATCAGGTTTTGGGGTGGAACTCTGGTGGGCAGAGATGGTTCAAGTTTCGGACAATATTGCGAGTGACTTGCTATTTTATTTTGTGATACCGAGTATTCTGGAAGTCTAGGTTAGAGTTGGAGTTGAGCTTTGCTTGTGTAGAATCCTGTACTCTTTCCTCTGGTTTTTTCTTGTATTGTTCTTGTTGTTACTGGTTGTTATTTTCATCTGCCTGCTGAACTCTATACCTTGAATTGTGTTTCACGAATACTTAAGTCATGTGGTTGTGGAAAAAGAATGTTGATAGCATCTTCAGTTATCTTGAAGTGTGGTGGGACAGAATACCAAAGAGTTTGTGACAAGTCCGGGGTGTATTGCTGTGTATTTGACCCAGATAGAAGTTTTCTTGTTCCAAGAGAATATTTATTGCTTGGTTTTTCAGCCTTTTTCCTTTTATCTTCCTATGAGTTATTTTTCTTTTATTGTGGTCACTTGGTGCAAGGTTAAGTTCTAAATGTGACACATTGGCTTCTTTGAGAAGTATTCTACAATTCTCACAATTTTCTTGTGACATATCACACTGACTTTGTTCTAGCACATTTATTTAGTTCAGAAAATTTATTAGGTAACACTTTGGGGCATTATTCCTATAAAAACTTTCTTACAGATTAATGCCACACAGGAAAAAAATTTTTTAGGAAAGACTAGTCCTCCGTATAATTCTGGCACTTTTGTAACTTTCCAGCTTTGGCAGTATTACTTACAAGAAGTAAATTATTCTTCATATGCTTCCCTAAGGGAGGAGTTTGGCTAACAAAACTCAGGTCAGCATTGTACAAGCATGTTCACAAATATTTGCTCTAGTTTTCTCATTTCAGTAGTATTAGAGAGCATTTAAATATTGTCAAGATGTAAGAATTTTTTTATTGTGAGTGTTATGAGCCCAAATTGGTAGCTCAGATATCACATAGATTCCACATATTTGTGTGTGTGTGTGTGTGTGTGTGTGTATGTGTGTGTTTTAAACAAGGGTTGCTGACTTGAGAAGAATTTGTTCTCAAGTTTTTTCTGATTATTGCTGGCGTAGTTGTATATGTAGTACTTGCAGGGAAAAAAAAAGCATTTCAAAATCAATTTGGAAAGGAAGTTTGTGAGATTGAAGACATTTTTAGTATGCCTGTTACACTGTGCATGAAGTTTGGATTTAGGTTCTCGCAGTAGTTGCTGAGTGACCAGTGGGATAGGCTGTGGCAACATGTTATGTATTCCAGTGGACTACCTAGGGGAGCATTATATTAGGTGACACTTGATTTTTTCTTACAGGGAAGTTACGGAGTTCCCTGTAAAACTTTAACTTTTTTTTTTTTTTTTTTTTTGAGATAGAGTTTTGCTCTTGTTGCCCAGGCTGGAGTACAGTGACGCGATCTTGGCTCACTGCAACCTCCACCTCCTGAGTTCAAGCGATTCTCCTGCCTCAGCTTCCTGAATAGCTGGGATTACAGGCGCCCACCACCATGCCCGGCTAATTTTTTGTATTTTTTATTTTTTTATTTTTTTTAGCAGAGACGGGGTTTCACCATGTTGGCCGGACTGGTCTTGATCTCCTAACCTCAGGTGATCCACCTGCCTCTGCCTCCCAGAGTGCTGGGATTATAGGCGTGAGCCATCGCGCCTAGCAAAACTTTAACATTTCTTTAAAAATATGTAAAATTAGAATGGGGTATCAATTGAGGGTAGGGGAAGACATGAAGAAAAGGCTTATGTGGAGAATATTGTTGCCTTTTGTTCAATTAACCTTACTTTCTTCTAGTCCAAGTGGTAAGAAGTTCAGAAGCAAGCCTCAGTTGGCAAGGTACCTGGGAAATACTGTTGATCTCAGCAGTTTTGACTTCAGAACTGGAAAGATGATGCCTAGTAAATTACAGAAGAACAAACAGAGACTGCGAAACGATCCTCTCAATCAAAATAAGGTTGGTTAATTTACTTATCGCATGTATATGCTACTTCGAAAGCTCTTCAAAAAGTATCTCACATCATAATTAAGTGACTGGAATTTTGGTTGTCCAAATGTCCCGTGCATGTCCCCATACCCTGCCCACCCTGTCCCAGCAAGAGAGAGCATAAGTAAATTGTGCACAGTAGAAAACAGCATTTCAGTATCTCTCTAGGTCAGTGAACATCATACTTTCTGACCCACTGGGGCTGTTTACAAAAGGTTTCTTTGGTGTTAATTGTCTCCTTTTTTCTTTTTCCCCTCAAAATAGTTCCTGTTGACCAAAAAGTGGCAAAATTTTAATGTGTCAGGTATCTTCACCCCATAGTTTATAATTACGTATTGATTTTCAGGTTCAGATTTTGAGAAAGGGCAGTGTTTTTTTGACCTTTGATGATGTTGAGGATAATGACTTTTTGAATAATATCCTAATTCTATGTTTGGATATTTTTCCGTTAGCGCTTAGTTTTATCGAGCTGTTTGGTTGATAGTTTATTGTATAGCAATTTAAGCAAATCTCATTTGAATTATGATACAGTTTGAACATTCCAAATCTGAAAAATATCTGAAATCTGAAACTCTTCTGGTCCCAGGCATTTCAGATGAGAGATACTTAAGCCTGTACTAATTTAATTATGTTAAAGGACCCAATATCTTTACAAAGAAAGCTGCTTTTTCCCTGGGGACAACTAAACATATGTGACTATTTTTTCTTAGTTTTTCTTCCTCTAAACTTCAAGGATCTGTGTGTATGGGTATTGCCACCACCATTGTCTTCACACTGACAGTGAACATAGTGGAGGGAGAAGTAGGGGCTCTCTTTCTTAAGATGTGACTGATGTAACCCCATAAGTCCCTTGGGAGTGTGTGTTCATTTTAGGAACCCAGTGGCAGTGTAGTGGAATAAGAAGGGCTTTGGACCCAGGAAGGCATGGCTTGGTGAACTGGCTCTGCTACTTATTAGCTGATGCAGTCATGAGAAACTTTCTTAGGCTCCAAGGGCCTTCAGTTTCTCATTGGTAAAATTAAAGTAAGAAAATTTTCCCTTAGCATTGTTGTAAGGAGTAAATGGGAATTTATATAGAACATCTAGCAAAGTAAATTTGACCTATGTTAATTCCTTTGCTTTCCACACTGCTCGTTCCCTAAGCCACCCCCTTCCTGAGCACCAAGCCACCTTGGTGAACAGTGTTGCCTGGTGGCCTGCATTGGAAACTTTCTGACCCGAGCTCTCTTGCCTCTTGTCATGTTACATTTTCTGAGGGGCATGGGGTCTCTGCTTCATACCTGGCTTCACTCAATTTGTGCAGTTTACAGTAATATAATTCCTGATAATTGATACAGAGGTCAAAATGCATTGTTTCTTCATATCATACCTCGCATTGGTTTTCATAGGGACATTGGCAGGTCCTTTGTTTAGAGAGGCAGAATGAAAGAGAAGGCTAAATTGCCTCTGTATTGCTTAACTATGGGGTGGATTTGAGTTGGTCATTATGAAGATGTTAAGAAAGGTAAGAATAGCAGTAGAGGGAGCCCAAGTTAGCAAAAGTTAGGACCTTGTGTGTGTGTAAATCACTGTGATTTCAGCTTCAGGAAACCTTTATTCTGGGGTTACTTTGCTTCTTAAATGCACAGAGGAAAATTCAGGTGTATTTTTCTAAAATTGCCATCTTAAAACACAGTGCTGGGTACCTATAAAAGGGGCTTCAGTATTTATGAAATGAAGAGTACTTTTAGATTACTGTACTGTTACCAGAACCACAGTTTAGTTATGTTAAGTGTAATGTGCAGATTTATTTTCTGACACTTATGTTTCATCAAAAACCAAACACTAATTCATCTCTTCAGTTTGTGTGCACTTTTCTGCTCTAGCTGCGCTGGAACACTCATCGTCCTGCACCATGGCATGCGCTTTCAAGACTCTGCTTGCTCATACGCTGTTTGCTCTGCTTGGAATGTGCTTACCCCCTTCCCCTTCATCTGGTGAACTCCTACTCATCCAAGACCCAGCTTCATTGTCTCCATCTCTGGGAAGCCTGCCCTGCATACTCCAGGCAGAACCAATCCTTTCCTCCATAATGCTTCCCTGGTGCTTTGCCATTGTATTTGTGACTTGT
This sequence comes from Homo sapiens, assembly GCF_000001405.40. NCBI lineage: Eukaryota > Metazoa > Chordata > Mammalia > Primates > Hominidae > Homo > Homo sapiens. Next base: position 54,202,857 of record NC_000018.10, on the reverse strand, counting down.
TTGTCTGCTTCAGCTAGACTGTGAGCTCCATGAGGGCAGGGACCATGTCTTTTTTTGCTTTTGCACACGGTAGGTACTTAATATTGCTTTATGTTTATTTGATTTACCATCCACCTCATTCTAGAAGTGTATAGTGGTAATAAATGTTTATTAAATAAATAAATTATACCGTACATTATTTTGGAAATACCTTTCATTTTCATTGTTTTCTGAAGCTTTCTGCCTTAATTTTTGGAGGCATGGTCTTTTTTTGCATCTGATTTTATTTAAATGGTCAGAAAGTGGAGTTTTGCATTTTAAAAAATAAGTTCTCTTGGAAAGTAACACCAGCAACATATTAGATAGTTCTATAAAGCAGAAAATATATTTGTGGCTAGTTAAGTAATAACTATATTATGTCTTTTTTATGATGGTACAGTGTAAAGAAAGCTAAGAGCTTTAAAGTAATTAATAGAAATCTGAGGTAATGTTTTGCTTTGTGGTTGTGAATCTGGCTTCAGTACATTATTGTGTTTGTTTTGTTTTGTTTTGAGACAGAGTCTTGCTCTGTCGCCCAGGCTGGAGTGCAGTGGGGTGATGTTGGCCTCCCAAGTTCAAGCGATTGTCTCTTCCTCAGCCTCCTGAGTAGCTGGGATTACAGGCACCCACCACCACGCCTAGCTAATTTTTGTATTTTTAGTAGAGTTGGGGTTTCGTCATGTTGGCCAGGCTGGTCTCGAACTCCTGACCTCAGGTGATCCACCCACCTCAGCCTCCCAAAGTGCTGGGATTACAGGCGTGAGACACCACGCCCAACATGTTTTGTTTTTAAACTCTTATCTTGAAAGAATTAGAGCTTTAATTGACAAAATAAACTTTGAAACAGGCTACATTATAATTTACATTAAGTAATTACAAGCTATGATTTTAACATGTTTTCCATATCAGAGGTGAATTACTGGTGATGAATAATATCTTTAGGTGTGATTGGAAAGATGTCTTTTTTTTTTTTTTTTGAGATGGAGTCTCGCTCTGTCGCCCAGGCTGGAGTGCAGTGGTGCCATCTCAGCTTACTGCAAGCTTTGCCTCCCAGGTTCACGCCATTCTCCTGCCTCAGCCTCCCGAGTAGCTGGGACTACAGGCACCCGCCACCACGCCCGGCTAATTTCTTTGTATTTTTAGTAGAGACGGAGTTTCACCGTGTTAGCCAGGATGGTCTCGATCTCCTGACCTCGTGATCTGCCCTCCTCGGCCTCCCAAAGTGCTGGGATTACAGGTGTGAGCCACCGTGCCCGGCCAGAAAGATATCTTTTTAAGAACTCTGCACAGTGGTTTTTAATTATTTTAGGATGGGTGGGTAGGGTGAAGTGGGCATCATTTTTAATCTCTACTACTATTTTTGCAGTACCTATTTCAGATATCTCAAACTCAATCTTAACCTTACCCTGAAAATCGATTCCATTCTTGATTACATTATACCTTATTGATTTTCTTGACTGCCATAATTATTTCCAACCACCACCTCCATCTCTTCAACTGACGTTGAAATATCAAGAAGGTTACTGAAGATATTCCATTAGGTTAATGGAAAAAGACTAGAGAAAGATTTGGAAGTCATCAGCACAGTTTATATTTGAAGTCATGAGCAGGTTTCTCAGACCTTAAAGGGAAAAAGTTACAGAGCAGCATATCCAGGGGAACATTCTGTGATGACGGGACTCTTTTCAGCCACAGGTGGCTGTTGAGTGCTTGACATGTGGCTAGTCTGACTGAATAACTCAATTTTTTTTTTTTTTTTTGAGACGGGGTCTCGCTCTGTCGCCCAGGCTGGAGTGCAGTGGCGTGATCTTGGCTCACTGCAAGCTCTGCCTCCCGGGTTCATGCCATTCTCCTGCCTCAGCCTCCCAAGTAGCTGGGACTACAGGCCCCCGCCACCACGCCCAGCTAATTTTTTGTATTTCTTAGTAGAGATGGGGTTTCACAGCATTAGCCAGGATGGTCTCGATCTCCTGACCTCGTGATCCGCCCGCCTCGGCCTCCCAAAGTGCTGGGATTACAGACGTGAGCCACCGCGCTCGGCCTCAATTTTTAGTTTTACTTTAAAATTAAATAGCCAGATGTACCTAGTCACTATCCTATTGAACAGCACGGAGCTTTGCCTCTCAATATGCAAATAAGCTTTGCGCCTCAATATGCAAATAAAAACCAAACCTTTGCTTCAAAAGCTAAATATTGTTTAGGGATTTATGTTTGATTTTTCAAAGAGGTGGTGTTGCAGGGTTTCACAGATGTGACTGTCAACATTTTTAGCAGGGAACTGGGAGGAGAGGCAAGATGATACTAAAATTGAATTGGAGACACTCTAGGATTGGATAAAGAAGAGTACAGTGATTCTAAGTGCAAGATATGTTTTAGGGGACTTCATGCAGCTTGGTTTGTCACTAGAAGTTTATTTTAGTGTTTTAGATGTATAAACATACTGAATTTGTGTTTCTAGTCTTAACATCAAATGTTTTATAAATTAAATCTACAAAACTAATAAAATTCAAGTTCCCTAACATTAATTTAATGTGACATATGACATATTCTACAAATTGCTTACAATATGAATATGGTATGGAACAAATTATTTTTTAGTTTTGCTTGACAATACTACTGGTATCTTGGAAAGGCTCAATTCTTTCGTCACATTTCTCTATTCACCCAAATTGGATACATTTGAAAATAAAGAACATCATATTTTCTTGAATGGAATCAGTTGTGTGTTAAGTCTGCCATTATTTATTTCTCATGAATGATCTTGGTTTAAGGTGGTAGTATGTTTTTGTGAGTATAAATACACACTTGGATTGGTATATGGCTGTATACTAGGTTCTCAGTCACATGATCTAGAAAGTACTTGTTTTAATTATCAACAATAATAAAAAATTTTGTGGAGAGCTTACCTATCTTGGTGGCAATTTCTGTGTAGTTTGAGAAACTTAGTAGTGATGATAAGAATCAGATTTGGGTATATAGAGTGGGGCACAGTATGGAGACTGGATTTGGGAAGGGATGAAACTAGAAGTAGGGAGAATAGTTGGGCTCTTGTAGTCTAGAAAAATAAAGATGGCCTGAATGAATTCTGTGCAGGAAGTATGGAAAGGTGAGACTCGAGAAATTAGATGTAAGTACCTGATGGTTACACAAAGAGAATGGATGCTGCAATAACCCTGGCTTTGGTCACTTGGGGCAGAGGAGTCAGGGAATAGGGGAATAAGGGCAAGTTTTGGGGGTGGAGTGAGGAAGATCGAGTTAAAATAGTTTTGTTTCTTGGACTTCCAAAATGATCTTGGGGACCCCCAGGAATTCTCAGGTCACACTTTGAGAACTCCTTTCATAGTGTTTTTGTCATTGATAATGCCCAAAATAAGGACAAATGAAGTGTATCTTGTCACTCTGTAGGTCCATGAATTAAATGAATAAATGAATCTTGTGGAGAGTAAGAGGACCTTCCAGAAAATAAATAGGAGAATCAAGAGAATGTGGTGTTACAACAACCTGGAAAACAAGATTTTTGTTAGAGATCAGGGAGGATAAAGACTTTGTCTAGCCATTGGATTTCTAAATTATGAAGCAACTGGTGACTTTACCAGTTTCAATGGATAGAAAGGATAAGTCCTATTTAGAATTCCAGAAAGTTTCTGGGAAATGAGAGACTAGAAACACAATGTGCCTGTTCTTTCAAATGTTTTAAAATTTTATTATTATTTGGTTAAGTAATTTGGGCCCATAATGAAAAGGATATTCAGTGAAAAATGTCTCCCTCTCTCCTGTCTCTTAGTCCCAATCCTCTTTAGAGGAAACTTGTTAATGAGGCTTTTTGTATGTTTGTCTAGAGCTTATATGCATTTACAAACATGTACACATACATGCATTTTTTACCCCTTTCCTCACAAATGGTTGGCCTACTCTTAAGAAGCTTGAATGAGAAGAAGAGAGAAGACAATATTCAGAAGAGAATGCATGATCAAAGAACATTATGGTTATTTTTCCTTTAAAGATTTAAAGAGGTCAGCTTGGAAGGAACCAGTAGGCAGGGAGGTTTCTAATCTGGGCGACCATGCCTCAGAAAGACCTCCAGGAACCTTTGAATTGTGTGCAATTTTTGTGTGTGTACATTTTATTGTTGAGACGGTCTCACTTTCTCACCCAGGGGGAAGTGCAGTGGTGCAATCACAGTTCACGCAGCCTTGACCTGGGCTCAGGTGATCCTCCCATCTCAGCCTCCTGAGTAGCTGGGACTACAGGTGCAGGCCACCACTCCTGGCTAACGTTTTGTATTTTTTGTAGTGACAGGGTTTTGCCATGTTACCTAGGCTGGTCTCAAACTCCTGGGTTCAAGCGATCCACCTGCCTTGGCTTCCAAAGTGCTAGGATTACAGGCGTGAGCCACAGCATCCAGCCTTGTGTACATTTCTCCAAGAGCTTATTTTCCTCAAATTCTCAATGGAATCTATAACTGAAAAATAACCACTTTTTTAAAAGCAGGAGAAGGAGCTTGGCAGAAGATGTGAGGGAGTAGGTGAAGAGCCAGGTCACTTGCTGCAGCTCAGATTAGGCATTTGTTTGACTATGGATTTTTCAGTTAATGAAGTAATGCCTTACTGGGTTGACTTATTTCTGCCTGAGGTACTTCATGGTCAGTTCACCACCATCAGAGCCCTGTGGTAGGACCATTCTGATGACCAGCTCCTGGTAGGGCATAGTGTGGTAAGAACTGCCTCTTGGCTTCTACCTTCGTAGGATTCCTCCATCCAAACTGAAAACAAAGACTTCATTTATTCCACCAACATTCCTGACCTATGGAGAAAGTAAAATTGTTGCCAAAGATACTGATACCCTTTTTGTCAGTTATTAAAGTCTTGCTCAACTGAGTGTTGTCTGGTCTCTGTAGATAAAGTTGGGGACAGGGAAGGGGAACGAATAGGTCGTAGGTGATAAGTCTAGCATTTCTAGGCCCTAAAGTCCCTCCAAGGGATAAGTGTGGGCCACTGTTGAGTACAGGTTTCTATTAATTTGATACTGAAATCAAAAGTAGAAGTGAGGAGCAAGTAGCTGTTGTAGTATGATGATGATGATTTTGATGATGATAATGATGATCTAGACGCGTGCCCGTGGAGATAGAAGTGGACAGATTCTAAATCTCTTGAAAATAGGATTGACTGGTTTTGCTGATGAGTCGTGTGTAGAGCATAACACAAAAAGAGTACTAAAGGGTGAGTTCTTGGTTTTTAGATTAAGTGGGTAGATAGAGGTGCCATTTACTGAGGTCACTTTAGGGAAATAATTTATGTGAGTAAATAAAATCAATTTTAAATATTCAACATTTGAGGTGCTATACAAAACCAGAAGGAGAAGCTTTCCTTGTAGAGGCAGTAGCCAGTGTAAATTCCCTAAGGAAGGATGCACTCATCATGTGAAGACAAAAAGGCCAGGTTGGCTGGAGCTTAGGGAGTGGAGGAGTAGTACTAGGTGAGGTTTAAGTAGGCAAGCCTGGTAATAGGGCTGTGCCAGCCAGCATAAGGAATAGTATAGAATGCTGTCTGAGGGTTTTACATAGGGGGAAATACGACTGCTTTGACTGTGTGTGGAAAATGTAGAGACACAGAAGTGGAAGTCGGAGGCCAGTTAGGAAGCTGTTGTATTTGTCCAGGTGGGGATGATGATGACTTGGACAGTGCTGGTTTAATGAATGAATAAAGGAAGAAAGGGAAAGATGTAGCAAAAGACAGTAGAACGAGTTCATGTTCTCTTGTTCAAAGAGCTTCTAATTTTCTCGTATACAGAAATATTTTTAATAAGTGAATACATAAAGGATATTTAGCTGATATTCTTTAGCTAATGAAGATAATCAGGTTATTAGCTATTAATAATAGTACTGTTCCATCTTTTTGGCTAATTTGAGTCATGTAGCTATTGATTGGATAGCGATTGCTAGGAAGCAGAGTGACAGAAGAATGTTAGCCATGTTAGCAAATAGGCTTGCTGATGAGAATGATTTGTTCAGTATGATACTAGCTGTATTATATTATAAACTAGTGCTTCAAATGTGTCTAAGCGTGATAGAACTTTCTGAGAGGGTCTGGACTTGGCTATAGTGATAATCATGAAGGGAGATTCGGAGACAGAGTTGTCCATGATATGGCTTTAACAAGATTTGTTTGGTATGCCCAGGTGTTAACAGAACTTTTATAGGTCCTGAAGAGTTAACCTAACTTGCAGACTCCAGGTCAGCAATAGAATTAAGCCCTACAGAAAACCATTTGTGTCACTATTTCCATAGTTCTCCCAAGGATGTGTACATAGCTAATGCCAACTGAGAAGTAAAGGAGATGATTAACGCCATAGAATAACTGTCTGAGTTTGAGTAGGACTGTTCTAGGATATCTGGCTGAAACTCTGGCATCTTTGGTGATGTCCGTTACATTAACTAAAGCTCCAGTAAGTTATTTTTCAAGCAGAACTCTTCAAAACGTGTTTTCATTGATGAATTGTAATCATTCTTCTGTGAACAGGTGTAGTCCTTTTTAATGAGCTCAAAGTATACTCCATCCATCCTATTAATATTTTAATATGCCATTAATCTCCTTTAAAAAATCTTGTTACCCATATAGAATATTAGACTAAGTGGATTTTCTGCATAGACATCATGGGTACCAGATAATTTTTTCTTTACTTTTTGTAAAAACCTATGAAGTTGCACAAATTAGTGAATATACTAGAAACCACTGAATTATATATTTTAAAATGATGAGTTTTGTGGTATGTGAATTATATTAATTAAAAACTTACGAAGAATTGTAAGGCACTTTCCATTGTTGGCATTTGATTTTGTGGAAAGACATTCACTATGGACTACCGTATATATTCTGGAGCAAATCTCCAATTACTTTTTGAGAATAGCCTTGATTTGACCTAAAGGTATCACTCAGGCACACCTTTGTTTGAACCAGGGGATAGCTTTATTTCTGGGAAAACTTAACAGGTTAAATTTCTAAATTTTAATAGCATGTTCAATAACCTGTTTAGGTTAAATAAATAACTGCTATTTATTTAGAATTTGTACCAACATGACTATAAACTCTAAACTTGTTTTACTAAGCGCTGGTTTTTTTCTTTTTTTTTATGACTATATATGGATGGTCCAGTTAGTGCCTGCCACATAGTAGGCACTCAGTTTTGTTCAATGATCAACTGAATGAAAGCTGCATTTGTAGCAGCAGCAGCAGCATAACATGCATTATCTCGTTTGATTTTTATAAGAATTTTATCCAATAGCTATTATTATTCTCATTTACAGATGAGGAAACTGACCTTAGAGATATAGTCTCTGCTTCTCAAATTGGAGTATCTTTTGGGGAGTGTGCGGTGTATGCAAAAACCACAGAATTAAAATGACGCTTGAATAATACTTGGAATTGTCAGTTTTATTTGAACATTTTGGGTAGGTAGAGCAACATTTTTACCTTAAACATGACTAATGTTTAAGGTAACGTGCAAAATTTGTGTGAATTTTAAAGATAAAATGAGTCTACTAGGCTTGGACCCTAGAATATGTACAATTTGAACTGTCATATCACTTTATTTCAAAGCCATACTGAAAAAAAGTGGTATTTACAATATAGTATAGCGTAAGTCCCTGGTGCTCAAACTATGCTGTGTGGAGGCTTTACATGATATTCATAGACATGGATGGTTTTAAAGGAATCCATTTCGATATCTTTAAATTCCATATACACTCTTTCCTTCAGCTGATCTGAGAATGTAACCTGTGATAGAAGTACACATTATTTTTTCTGTAATTCTCCTTTATAGTCAACCTCCCATTTTACAGAACAGCATACTTCTCACTTGTATGCAATATTACCATGGTACAAAATGTTTGATATCATAAAGGGACACTATGAGATACTGGATTGAGAACACGAATGACTCAGGCACAGTCAGTTCTTTCCACAAGTACAATTACTTGCTTTCAACAAAATTTAGAGGACTTTATGTAGATGTTGACTGATTGTTAAATTTTTTTGATGGTTCACTGTTACATTCTATCATATAACTCAAAAGGAGTTCAGAGAATTTGAATGGCGTGGAATAAAATTCATTCTATCTACTCATTAATGTGAACAACATTTCTCAGTGCTACATCTATGAAAAAGGAAGACTAGGAATAGAATTGATGCTATACCTTGTCCCATTCTAGCAATTAGTAATACACACTTGAGAACATAAAATTATTTAAAAAATTTTTTTCATTAAGCTACATATATATATATATACACACACACACAACTTCTATATATGTAATTTAGGTACTAAAAATTGTAATACTTTATTTTGGTCACATATATACTAATAATTATAATAAACCAGAAGAAATTTGTTGTTTTATCACTAAGAGCTTTATGGTCACAGAAAGTGAAATAATTTCATGATCAGTGAAAGATTATCAGGTTTAAAATAAGAAATAAGTTTGGAAATGGAATTATTCAAAGAGTAAAGGGAATGAAAATTTATAACCATTGAAGAGTTTGTTCGTATATAAATAGGTAATGTAGGTAATGGTGGGTGCATTTAGATTCTGTTAGATTTAACAGTTTATTATTAAATATTAGCATTTAAATTCTGGTAAGTGCATCCTTTGCAACTGATTACATTAAAATATGAAATATTCTTGCTGACTTTAAAATGCAGGTGGGGTATATATATTTTCAAATTTCTCATAAGGGGTAGAAATACAAAAATATTTGACAGCCACTGGCTTATGATACATGTTCTTCATCTGCCTCTTTAGTTATTCTCTTGTATCCTTAATCATGTGAGATCATTGGAAGGTTACACAATAATTAGGCCCTTTCAGACTCACCTTTACTGAGTTGTCCTTTAAGTCTTATGTTCTTGGTTTTCATGGAAAGTCACTGAAAAAAGAAAGAGCATTTGAAATCTGCTTAATATTTGTTTTGAAGTTTAGTGTCTTTATCGATTTTCTTCTAGATTTAATACCTGGACATTTTTTGTTTTCCTCATTACTTGGTATGCGTCCTCCTTTCTGACCATGGTATCTGTGTAATTGAATGTTTCTCTCTTTGCCCAGGCCCCTTGAAAATTCAGATCCACATTTGATGCTTAGCTCTAGTATCACTATTGATCTTTTCCAAAGGATATCTGTTTTTTTCCTTGTTCTTGATTTTCTGTTTTTAAAAATTAATTTTTGTGTATTTTGTCCTTTGGGAGTGTACAAAAGATATATCTCAGATACTTACTGGAAAGAGAGGAAGTAAAATTTTTAAAAATAAGAAAGATTTATTTTTATGTTCCTCCCTGCAACTAGGGGATAAAATAGATCCTCAAGAAAAATACTTTCAGCCTAATATACACATTATTATAAAATGTATTAAATTTTGATTTGAGGGCTAGTCTGTACATAGTTTTGTCAAAGGTTGGAAACTTAGTTCTGATATTAGAATGTGTTTGCCAGTTTAATTTTGTAACAAAGAATTTCTGCTTCACTTTTTCTTATATTGAAGATATAAGAAGATTGCATATACATAAACAGCTTTAATCTTGTCCCATAAAAAAGTGTCTGGCTTTTAACTCCGACGGTGATGGTAGATTGGTCCTTTAGATTCTAAACTAAACTGTAGAAAAACTCAGACACACAACTGGGCATAAATTAATAGTGACTCAAGGCAGTCCTCAGGGTAGAGGTAATAGAATTGACTGTTTCTTTGACAGTTCCTGGGAAAACTAGTTAGTCCAGCTTTACAGATTGCTCAGCTTCATGTGATACTGTTTTAGAATAATAAATTAAAGACATTCTGTCGTCAGAGCTTCTAGGCCAGTTAAAAGGAGAAAAAATACTAAAAACCAAAATAAGATTGAGTGAAGAATAATGCAGCACATTTTGAATAATGTCTCATTCTGTGCCAGTAGGGAATGAACTGTCTCATTAGACAATGGAAGTTAGTTGTATATCTTAAATATTTTAGCCAGGCTTTTCTTTTAATTTTTTTTTATTGCACAGAAACATAAGTGAATGGAAGAACGTCCATCTTACCAGTGTAGCATCAATAGTTTGACCTGTTCCATGCTTCCTTCCAGTCTTCATGGATTCAGGATTCATAGTTTGAAACAGTTTAGAGTAGTTGCCTCCAGTCATCCTTGGTAACAATGAGAATCTCACAGGTTTGAATATGTTTACTCATGCAGACGGTTGCAAATACTTCTGTGTGTCTACTGAAGTAGACACATGATGCCACCTTTGTTCTAATACCAGCAGAGTATATCATTCTTTATTAAGAACAAAGGCTGGGTGCAGTGGCTCATGTCTGTAATCCCAGCACTTTGGGAGGCCGAGGCAGGCAGATCACAAGGTCAAGAGATCGAGACCATGCTGGCCAACATGGTGAAACCCTGTCTCTACTAAAAATAAAAAAATTAGCTGGGTGTGGTGGTGCGTGCCTGTAGTCCCAGCTACTCAGGAGGCTGAGGCAGGAGAATTGCTTGAACCCACGAGGCAGAGGTTGCAGTGAGCCAAGATCGCGCCACTGCACTCCAGCCTGGTGATAGAGCAAGACTCCGTCTCAAGAACAAAAACATTAAAAGCCAAACAAGGCATCGTTTAGTGATACATACTGATTATACCTAATTAGTGACAAGAAGTTCCCTGTAAGCATTTATGTGTGAAGCTGCTTAAGGATTGAATATTGTCTACTGTTGTTAACAGGTTGGGTGACTTCACTTAGGGCCTCCAAATGGTCGAGATGTCATAAATCAGAGGTGTTCAAACTTTCTTTGCATCACAGAATGACCAGGAGAGCATTTAAAATGCGTACTCCTGAGCCTCACACTTCGTAGAGTTAGCAACCTAAGTGGTTACTTTGCAGCTTGTCAGCCAAATTTGCACATTTTATATATTTTTTGAAAATCCATAAAGATAAAGCTAAATACCTGAGAAATAATACTGTTAGTCATTTGAGATGAGCATATCTTTTAAAGGTAAGCAGAGACATTGGGGGAAAAAAATGAGATAAAGGAATGACAGGATTGCCCAATACAAACAGGAGGGCTGTGTTGTGTGGAGAGGTGTAGAGGTGAGGACACATTTAATATTGGATCTAAAGAATACTGTAATTGTAATAATTGTCAGATTATTGTGAGGCTTACATTTCTAGGCATGCTAATGTTCTTTAAGTAGAGGTCACAAACTCAGTGCCTGCAGGGCCCAGACAGGTAATGCAAATGTGACTTGTTGAGGAATGTTGCAACAGGAGACCCTGAGGCCACTACTGGACAGCCATTTCTAATCAGTCACAGCCTATTGTTGCCAAACCAAGTCCAGTATTTCTAGATCTTTCAGTTTTTAAGAGAAGCTAGAATTCTGGATTTTATATGAAGACTCTAGATTTTTAGGTGCTGACTTAATTCATTAAAGGCACTAAAAAATGAACACTCATCTCTGGGTTAGGCTTGATCCACCTGCCATCAAATTGCAATCTTTGTTTTAGAGCTGTGTTTCTCCAGGTGTGGTCCCAGGATTAGCAGCATCAATATCACCTGAGACCTTAATAGAAATGCAAATTCCTAGGCCCTATCTCAGACCTGCTGAATGCCCAGTGCCAGGGGTGAGACTCAGTCACCTGTGTTTTAACAAGCCCTCTGGGTGATTCTGATGCATGCTCAGGCTTGAGAACCCCTGTTCTGGAGCATGGAAGTTGAGATTACAATTTATATGTGGGGGTAGTAGTAAAGATAAAAGTTCATCAAATATCCTGTAAATATCAAAAATATATCAGACGTATTTTGTTTTCAGGTATATGTTACTTCATCCTTTTTGCCAGAATCTGAGAAAACACGATAATTGTGTTTTCTCCCTTTTCTTTCTTGTTTGTTAAGAGTATTGCAAATGAACTTAATAGCAATTCTGTGCCACATTTTGACCTCACTGGAACACATCGTAGATTTTATTGATTGATTGATTAAAACTAGGTAAATAAGTTATATGGCTTTACGAAGCTTCAGTGTTAAGTCTCCTTTAAAAGTATTAAATATAATATTCAGTAAGTCCTCACTTAATGTTGTTGATAGGTTCTTGGAAACTGACTTTTAGCCATATGATGTATAATGAAACATATTTACTCTAGGCTAATTGATGTAAACAAAAATTAAGTTCCTGTGGCATATTTCTGGTCACAAAACATCCCAAACTTCTAAATAAAGACCAAAACACTTCTAATGATAAACACTGAAATTAACGTGAGCTCTCCACACATTTAAGAAAGATTAATATAAACAAGATTATTATTCACCCACTGATTCCAGTTCAGGGTCGTGGGTGGCCAGAGCCTCTCCCAGCAACTCAGGGTGCCAGGCGGGACCCCACCCTGGACAGCACCCCATCCCATCACAGGTCGCACTCACGCTCACTCAGGCTGGGACCATGTGGATGCTCCACTGAACCTAAAGTGCACTTATCACTGGGATGTGGGAGGAAACAGGAGTACACAGAGAAAACCCAAACAGACCTGGGGAGAACATGCCAAATTCACACAGATGGGCTTAGGCTGGGAATGGATTTTTTTTTCTCATCGTTATAACAAAATGACATTGAACAAAACGACATTATTCAAAGACCTACTGTATATTAAAAATAAGGAACACTTCCTTATCACATTTTTCTAAATTGAGTTCTGTTTGCTGGAATTAGAACTACCATTTGTACATATTTGTTTTTATATAAAAGAGGTTAATTTATGTGGTTTTATGTAAGTCTGGCCTCCTAATTGCTGATCAGGTTGTTTATATTTTAATGCCAAGTATGCCAATATTTTCCTCCATTCTCAGAATGTAGAAATGATTGCTATCCTGATTGGTATCCTTAAAGTTCTTGGCCAGGTGTGGAGGCTCACACCTGTAATCCCAGCACTTTGGGAGGCTGAGGCCTGCAGATTGCTAGAGTCCAGGAGTTTGAGACCAGCCTGGTAATGTAGGGAGACCCCATCTCTACAAAAAAAATACAAAAACTTAGCCTGCTGGTGGCACTGCCTATAGTCCCAGCTACTCGGGAGGCTGAGGTCGGAGGATTGCTTGAGCCCAGGAGGTCAAGGCTGCCGTGAGCCATGATCATGCCACTGAGCTCCAGTCTGGGCAACAGAGTGAGACCCTGCCCCTAAACAAACAAGCAAAACCCCAAGTTCTTTTTTTGGATAAACCAATCTTAAACATATTTGTTCATTTAAAAGTCATTAGTGCCTTGCTGATCAGATAGGAAATTTATGTAGAGAATTTTCTTACACTTAAAAGTATACAAAAAGCTGGCCGGGCGCGGTGGCTCACGCCTGTAATCCCAGCACTTTGGGAGGCCGAGGCGGGTGGATCATGAGGTCAGGAGATCGAGACCATCCTGGCTAACATGGTGAAACCCCGTCTCTACTGAAAATACACAAAATTAGCTGGCTTGGTGGCGGGCGCCTGTAGTCCCAGCTACTCGGGAGGCTGAGGCGGATGGCGTAAGCAGACCCGGGAGGCGGAGCTTGTAGTGAGCCTAGATCGCGCCACTGCACTCCAGCCTGGGCGACAGAGTGAGACTCCGTCTCAAAAAAAAAAAAAAAAAAGTATACAAAAAGTTTTTCATATATTTTGAGGAAACTTCATACATGTTTCACTTATTAGGTGCTTAACATGTACCCTAGAGTATTTAAAATGCTGCGATAGACTGAGAAGTTTGGAATAATTTGATTTAAAGTAATAGATATTGAATTAGTAGGAAGTCATCTGATTGTGTTTATATATAATATTTTAAATAAAAATACATTTATATTCACAGGGTAAACCAGACTTGAATACAACATTGCCAATTAGACAAACAGCATCAATTTTCAAACAACCGGTAACCAAAGTCACAAATCATCCTAGTAATAAAGTGAAATCAGACCCACAACGAATGAATGAACAGCCACGTCAGGTAAGGATCTAATTCGTTCTCCAATCTTATTTTTCAGAAAAATGCTGGTATTTTTACCAGAAATAATTCAAATAAATTCTGGTTAAAATGGAGTATATTTGGAAAGAAAATTATTTTATGTCCTAGGCTATTACATGAATGCTGAAGTATGCAAAATTTAGGTAAAATATTTTTAAGAAAAAATTTAAGAAGTTAATAATGAATCTAATTCATAATATGGACTAAATTTTTATGCTTTTCGTGTGGTAATATACATCAGACTTGGTTCTGCTAATCTTAGTTTTTTAAAGATTATCTTTCCAAGGATAATATTTCATAGAAGAATGAAGCATGTAGTTTGTGTTGCTTAGTTTAAAAATATTTTGTATTATTTGGAAGCTAAAACTACTTTTTATTCTGATTTCTTGTTTTGTGAAATCTGTCCCACCCCTTTTGAAAAACAGAATTAGATAAACTTTGTCAATATGGTATATTGTCCTGTGACTTCCATTTTTGTACCAATTCAATTTATTTTTCTCTTTCTTTATTGCTTCAAGCTGTATTCCACCAGAATCTTTTCTTAGAAAAAAAGCATTACCTGAAAGGCCTCCCTGCTGCCTGTTAATGCCATATAGCCCGGGGAGGGAGACTGGACAAAATGCTGAAACCTTCCACGTAACCTTACTTATTCACTCCCTAATTGTGGTCAAAAAGCCTAGGTAGTTCATGAATTTTTAGTAGCAATTGGGGTGAGGGAGTGGAGGGAGAAACATCTGTGCGTTTTTTTTTCTCTCCTTTCTCTGCCTCCTCCCACCTGAGTCCACCTAAGGATTAGAAACACTGATTTACCTACGACGGTTATCTTTTGCTCTCGTATTCCCCTTTTAGATGTCTCACTCTACCTTTTCATTTGAATTTTGTTTTTCACTAGTCCTTCAAGTGTCTCATCTCCAGACTTCATAAAGGATTGGGCCAAAACTTTCAGACAGTTGCTCTAGAAGAAACTACATAAAGAAATTCAGTTCCCACATCCTCTGTAGTGTTTTTTCCTCTTCAGGTGAGCCAGGAAAACAGAAGATATTTGGAGCCACATTGGATCAGCATCTTGCTATAGATGTCTCAAGATTTGAAGTTCTAAACTTGCTTTACTGTTGGTCCCCAAGAGATTCAACAGGGGCCATGTAAGTGTATCACATCCAACATAAAAGATGCGTACCTGCATGTGCCTTTAGGCTCTTGTCACCACTTAGGTTTTCTTTGGGCCATTCAGCTTTCTGTGTGAGGCTTTTCCCTTCTGTTTTACTACCACACCCAGTGATAGTCACGAAACCACAGGAGGTTGCAGTATATTCATTACAACAGGGAAGGAATTCTGGCATTCTGAACTTTGCCCACCTTGATAAAGCCGTTCCCTGGTTGTATTCTTTCTCAGATACTGTCTAAAGTCTTGAACATCTTGTCCTTTGACTTTTTGGTGATTTAAAAATCATTTCCCCAAAAATATATTTATTAATTGAGAATTTTGAAAGTATATAATTGGGTAAAACAGATTTGCTTCAAAAATTCTGAAAGATAAAGAAGGTGGAATGTAATCTTTAATTAGTAATATCATTCCACGTTGGAAATTTGAGTTTCCTTATGAGATCAGATAGTATTTAATAGATTTTATCCTCATCTTTTCTTTGCCAAATCATTCTCAATGTAGTCTGTAAACCCAAATGTTTTATTTAAAGATGAATTGATTAGCAAATTCTGGCCGTTTTAACAGTAATTTAATTATTTTCTGCACCTAAATTCAGTCACAGTTTTAAAAACCTCTAGTAATTATTTACTGGGTGTTTACCTGGCTATAGAGATATTGGTAACTTAGAGTTTTAAAGTTGAAATAACCAGACTAGTTGCTCCTTGTTCTTTGGTATGTTGAATAGTTTTAAGTTTTCCTTCTTTTATTATGGTGTATGAGATTATTCTCAAATGAAAGGTATGTGTCCAAAGAGCAAAGTTCTATCTCCTCCATCTCTCCCCAAAAAACTTACGTCATTTCAACCCAGATCTTTTGAGGGTTTAATCTTCCTTTTAGCTTGCATAGACAGGAAGTGTTTAAAATTATTTAGCAGGCCACTTCTCCAAAAGCTTTGGCTGTTTTTTACTTTATCCTTATGGTACCTGACAATTTTTGCTGGATGCTTTTGATTGTGCTAAGATATTAGTTGTCTTTCCTCTTTCTTTATCATCAATGTAAGAATTGAGGTAATATTTGACCACTGTCTCACCAATAGGACTGTGCATTGGGCAGAATATTGGAAAATAGTAAAAAGACAATTTTCATGTTAATGTTTTAAAAATCATGATCTGTTATCCCAAGTATTCCAGTTTAGATTCAGTTTGTTAGTAAAGGAAAGATGTTGGTTTTAATTCTATTTTGATATACATATGGTAGATGACTGCTAATCAGCTATTTGTAATTGAGGAGATAGTTGGCAAAATATACATAGGCAGAAATGATTCTTCCAATTTTGCTATCCATTCTTAGATTCATTGAATTCAGTTGATAATATAAATTGCCAAATATTCCAATTGGAGAAGTTATTTTTATTAGAGAGTAAATGAATTAGACAATGAGGTTTCTATTTTTGAGGTTCCCATAGATATAAATGTTTTTATTCTTTGTATCACATTCTTTTAATAAGATGTTCAAGATAGTGATATTGTAATTCCTTTTAAAGTGTTGAATTTTGAGGCCTATAACTAGGATTAGGCTTCTGAATATTAACTAGGCTTTACTGTGAGAAGATCTGAAATGTTTAATTTAGATGAGAAGCAATCATTAAAAATAATAATTCTGTCTTTTATAACCAACATCCTATGCCCAGGTCATTTATATGGCAGCCTAATTTGAATTCTATAAAATATATAAATTACGAATTTTTAATGTATTGACTCCTTGAAAATGCCTTAGCTTTAAAAGTGCAAATTAGGGTATGAAAAGAAAAGCATTAAACAGAATTCAGTAGTGATTTCTACTTATAATTAAAATTTTAAGGTAGTGATGGAATTTGTAAAACCTAGTTATAATAGGGTAGTAGCCAGCCATTTTTGTATATAGCATCAGTGTATTTGATGATTGCTTGTCTTTTCTTTAGATTAAAAAGACCCCTGTAGTGGGGAGGAGGGAACTCTGCCAGTTATCAGACTATTATCCCAAACAGTAATCACTGAAATATCCTTATTCAGCTAGATGCATAAAACACATCTCAAGGTCTTTTTAGTCTAATTGAGTTGTAATTTTTGCTGGTAACAATGCCTTTCCTAGTTTACCCCCTTCATAATGTGAAGAACTACCATTTCTATTTCTTATTTCTTTGCTGCTGTCATCTTTGATACTATCTGGTCTCTTGATTGCTTCTTTTTCTCTTTTAGCCTCAAACCAAAGAAGCTTCATCTTTGAACTATTACTTCTTCCTTTTAATTATTAGATTATAGAGGGCTAAAAGGCTTTTGTGTTTTTGACAGTCTTTGAATAGTAATTTCATTTCTTATAGAATATTCACTTTTTTGTAGGGGTAATTGTTTAACAGTAAAGAAGCAGATTTGAATCTTCCACTTGATCTTAGATTTTTTTCCTTTTATTTCATTTTGCCAATTCCCCTTTCAAGGATATGAAACTTTCCTTTACCTACTTCCAGAAGCCAGCCTTTTCTTTTAGAAGGAATGTTTTAAATTGTATTAGAAGAAACTTTCCTGATAAAAGATAAATTTTGTAAATGTGCAGTTTAAAGTCACTGTGTATGAAAAGTGTGTAAAATAGATCAGCTTTCAGTTGCTAAAACCCAGAGGGTTACTATTTCAGGCATTCTAGCAGCATTTTCTTGTTTCTAATCTCTAACAGTTATTTCTAGTATAGTCTCATTATAATGTTCTTAATGACTGACAAATAGATAAGCTAAAGCAGAGTCTCATGGTGGATATATTCCTTTGCTCTGGACAGAAAAATTGACTGTCTGGGCAGGGAAAATAGAGGATGTGTCCTATAACACTTAAAAATATTACTCTGGGTACTGTTGGGAAGATGCCATATACAAAGTGCCAAATGAATAGTAGAGTAGTACAGGCAAGTGCTATAGGTGTTTAAGAAAAGTGAGGTTACTGTTGCTAGGAGGCTTGAGGAAATCTTTAGAACAGGCATGAAACATATGCTGGACATATTTTTAAAATGTAAAAAATATTTTCTAACAATATTTTATAATGTTTCCTTGGGCTAGATTCCCAGAAATATAATTAGTGTGAATATTTACATTTTTGGTACATACTAGCAAATTGATTCCAAAGGGTTGTACCAAATTAAAAGACTATCAATAAGTTAGATACTTTCCAGTTTCAGCTTACCTTCTATAGCAGCAGTCCCCAACCTTTTTGGCATCAGGGACTGGTTTGGTGGCAGACAATTTTTCCATGGACCAGGTGAGGGCGAGGGGGATGGTTTTGGGATGAAACCATTCCACCTCAGATCATTAGGCATTAGATTTTTATAAGGAGCATGCAACCTAGATTCCTCACATGCGCAGAGCACAATGGGGTTCGCGCCTCTGTGAGAATTTAATGCTGCCTCTGATTGGGCAGGAGGTGGAGCCCAGGTGGTAATGCTTACCTCCTGCTGTGCCGCCCAGCTCCCAACAGGCCACAGACCGCTACCCGTCTGTGGCCTGGGGGTTGGGGACTCTTTTTCTATAGCTTTGAGTATTATTAGTACTTTTTTTTTGGGTGGGGGGAAGTAATTCAGTAGTTTAAAAGGGCATTTTATTTTAAATTTATATTTATTTCAATATGTATAAAGTTAAATAGACTGAGGCATTTGTGTTAAATTTTAAAAATGAGAAACATTTAGAGCTTTTTTAACTAGGGAGTAGCTTTTATATTACCCATCTGAACTGAACTTGAAGGAATATCCTGGTGGCCTAAAGCTAATTCCAACACCTGTACTCTGCAGATACACTTCCTCCTTCCTTCTCAGAGACCCCATCCAGTGGAATATGTCACTTACCTTTTATCTTCCAACTGTCTCTAAACTGGCTTCTTCCCA
Source organism: Homo sapiens (assembly GCF_000001405.40). NCBI lineage: Eukaryota > Metazoa > Chordata > Mammalia > Primates > Hominidae > Homo > Homo sapiens. Next base: position 54,183,814 of record NC_000018.10, on the reverse strand, counting down.
AAGCATTTAAATATACTCAAATCCACCCCATCTTAAAAAAAATTATCCACTTCACTGCTCCCCTTTTAGCATTTGTTCCCTTTCTTTTCTTGTTAAAGTCAAACTTCTTGGCATTGTGTGTGTTTACTATCTGCTTTACCTCTTACTCAGTATGTTTATGTCTCTGAAATAATAGCTTTTGTTCTCACTGAAACTGTTCTTTTCAGAATTGCTGATGTTCCTTGTTAAACTGAATGGACAAGTTTCGGTCTTTAAATTTCTTGCCCTGCTTTAACGTTAAACAATATGACTACCTCTCTTTCTGAAACATTTGCTTTCATTCTTTGACTCTACACTTTCTTTGTTTTCCTTCATACTTTTTTTTCTGAATCCCCTTCTTAGGTTCTTTCTCTATCTGTCTTTTAAAATGTTGAGGTTTCCCGGGGAATACTATGCATTCTTTTTTGTATGTAAACCCTCCATGGGTAATTTCACTCATTCTCATGGCTTCAGTTATCATCCATATGTTAATGATTTCCAAATTTATATCTTCATCCTGAGCTTCAGTCGTTTGTGTCAATTCTCCTACTAACATTGTTCACTTGGAAGTCTCATCAGCACCTGTAATCTATTGCTTTATCTCTATGAACTCCTTTGTCATCCAATCAAATCTGCCTTTTATTAGATGTGCTTTATCTCAGTGAAAGGACCACTGTCCGCTTGGCTGCCTAAGCTGGAAACTTGAGCATCATCCTTGATTCTTCCTATCTTTCACCCCAAGCGTCTATTTAGCCAGCAAGTCCTATCGATCCTACCTCCTGAATGTTCTCTTGCTCCGTTCTGAGACTAAGTAACTATTATTCATTTCATCTAATCTCTCTGCTTTTTGTCTTTTTTTTTTTTGGAGACAGGGACTTGCTTAGCTACCCAGGCTGGAGTGCAGGAGTGCAATCACGACTCATTGCAGCTTCAACCTCCTGGGCTCAAGTGATGCTCCCACCTCAGCCTCCTGAGTAGCCGGGACCACAGGTGCACACCACCATGCCTGGCTAATTTTGTGTTTTTCATAGAGATGGGATTTCACTATGTTGCCCAGGGTGGTCTTGAACTCCTGGGTGCAAGTGCTTCCTGTCTTGTTCCCTTACTTCACTCTTCATATTGCAGGCAGGTGTTCCTCTGGCATGATGGTCTGATAGTGTTAATAGTGTTATACTGCTGAAAACCCTGCAGTGCTTTCTGGTAGCTTTTAGGGTAAATTCAGAACACTTTAACATGACTGCCAAGCCCTTTTGCTTACCTCTCTGGCCTCACCTTCTTCTCTTGTTCTACATTCAAATCATATGGAACATTTTTCAGGTTTTTGCATATGCTATTCATCCCCTACCCCTGACCCTTACATACCTTGATCAGATTTCATGCTGTTTCCTTTCTCTCCTTCAGCGGCTGTTTCTTACTCATCTCTCAAGTGACATCAAGAACTTAGATGTCACTTCTGTTCAGAAAACCCCTGATTTACCAAGTTTGGATTTAGAGACATTCCTTAGTGTTTCTTCTTTCTTCTTTTCTGATCACAACTATATTAGGTTATTCATTGCTTTATCCCCAATTTCTCTATTATGTAAGTGCTTAATATGTAAATTAGTTGAATTAGTGAATTAAATTATTCATTCATTCAAAAATTATTTATTGAGCCTTCACCTTGTACTTTTCTAAACAATGGGATACTGCAGTGAACAAGACAAAGTCCCTGCTGTCATGGAACTTTCCATCTAGTGTGAGAATAGGAAGTGAGTCAGACAAATACATGTATAGATAATGTATCATGTTGTGTTAAGTGCAATGAAAAAAACACCAGAAGAGTGAGAGAGCATGTGGTCTTCAAAAGCAGAGAAATATGGAGGGAACATTCTAGACAGAAGTCTGTCAATTGTATATAGTATGAGGACTGACAGGGTTAGGAGATCACTGAAGAAACTCTTACAGAAGTTAGGGCATAAGCGATAAGGTGTGTTTTATGCTGGTCATACAATAACTGATGGCCGGGCACAGTGGCCCACACCTGTAATCCCAGCACTTTGGGAGGCCGAGGCGGGTGGATCACGTGGTCAGGAGTTCAAGACCAGCCTGGCCAAGATGCGAAACCCTGTCTCTACTAAAAATACAAAAAAAATTAGCTGGGTGTGGTGGCAGGTGCCTGTAATCCCAGCTACTTGGGAGGCTGAGGCAGAGAATTGCCTGAACCTGGGAGGTGGAGGTTGTAGTGAGCCGAGATCGCACCGCTGCACTCCAGCCTGGGCGACAGAGCAAGAATCCGTCTTAAAAAAAAGAATAAAATAAATAATTGACAAAATTTATTGACTTATCAGCTCTGCCTATATGAAGAATCTTAGAATAAAGTGGGAGAATGATATCTTTGACAGAAATATGGACATAATAAAGGGTAGCTCAATATTTTTTAAAAATAATAAAATATGAATTTGAGTGGTAGAAAATTTATACTCTTAAAGTAATTGTTGCATGTTGAGCTAGTAAAAGATGATGGGCTAGAGCCCAAGAGAGTCTGGAGATATGGTCAGTCTTTATGCAGGGAAGAATTGCAATTGAGACATTACATGTGAATTTTTAAAAATTAAGGAATGAGGCTAGATGCAGTGGCTCAACATCTGTAATCCCAGCACTTTGGGAGGCTGAGGCAGGCACATTTCTTGAGGCCAGGAGTTCAAAACCAACCTGGCCAACATGGTGAAAACGCATCTCTACTAAAAATGCCAAAAATTAGCCGAGCATGGTGGCGCGTGCCTGTAGTCCCAGCTTGGGAAGCTGACGCATGAGAATTGCTTGAACCCAGGAGGCAGTGGTTGCAGTGAGCCGAGATCAGGCCACTGCACTCCAGAATGAGACCCTGTCTCAAAAAAAAAAAAAAAAAAAAAAAGAAAAAGAAAAAATTAAGGAATACATAGGCTGTTGGTTCATAGTTACCAATAATTGTGTATTTTTCTAGTTCATTTTAAAAACATGACAACTGTCATGAGGGAGGATCTGTGAACTTTTTTTATTTCTCTAAGTAACATAGGAATACAGATGAAAAAATCGAATAGTGTTTTTAAAAACTACTTCTCAAAACAGTAGTTTACTACTCCAGTTAAGTCTTCTAGTCTCTGCCAGAAACATTTATTCTTAATTCTTATCATATCTCTTTATAATTATCTTCATATTTCTAATTAATATACTTGTTAGGCTGTCTTTGTTAATTTTAGCCATTATTTCTTTACTTTCCCCAAGGATAGGTGACTACATAGTTCTCTCTCTCTGCCGTCATGCTCCCAACCTAGATGTATCACAATTTTAGGTAAATAGGTTAAATAGTCAGGGTTTACGTTATTATGAATGGAAATTTTTCTGGGTAGGGTAAGTAATGCCCTGCCACTCCTTTCTGTCATAATTCTTTGTTGTTTTTAATCTTAATAACTCTATGTTAGGTTTTCTAATATAATTATAGTTAACCTTTTCTGATTTTAAAATTTCTGCCACATGCTCATCAAAAATATTTTCTTTATGCTGCTAGGATGTAAATCTGTGGGGAGAATTAATATTTTTATAATATTAAGTGTTACAGTCCACGAATCTTAGGTATTCCTCCAGTAAGCTTTTATAGTTTTCAGTCTAGTGATCTTATATATCTTTAATTGATTCTTAGATATTTGAGGTTACTGTAAATGGTGTCATTTATAAAATTTTTATTTTCTAATTATCTTTTGCTAATATTAGAAATGAATTGATTTTGTGTATTGACTCTGATTTCAGTTATCCTTCTAAATTATTAAGTCACCTATGATTCTTTTGGACTTTACATGTGAATAAACATGTCATCTGTCAATGAGAGTTTTTCTTTCTTTCCTTCTTTCTTTCTTAACAATATTTAAACCTTTGATTTTTTTGTCCTTTTTCTATTTTATTAGTTAGAACTTCCAATACAATGTTGAATAGAATTGATGGTAACAGATATTCTAGTCTCATTCGTGATGTCAGGGAACATTTTTAATGTTTCTCCATTAAATGTGATACTTGCTCTAGGCTTTTTTGTAAATATTCTTTGTCAGATTAAGGAAATTTGCTTCTCTTTCTGTTTTACTAAGAATATTTCTTATGAATGGATATTAAATTCTATCAATTATTTTCCTCTACCTAGTTAAGTGATCAAATAATGTTTATTTATTCTGTTAATAAAGTGTATCATATTGATTGGTTTATGTGATTAATTTCACTGTTTGATGTTTTTGAATGTTAAACAGATCTAGAATTCCTGGAGTAAGCCCAATGTGGTTGTAATGTATTATCATTGTTATCACTGTTTAGAGTTGCTGTTATTAGGTTTAGGATGTTTTGCCTTTATATTCATGATTGAAATTGACTTGTACTTTTCTTTTCTTGTAATTTGCTTCTCAAGCTTTAGTATCAAGGTTTTCTGGCTTTATAAAATGAGCTTGGAGGTGATCCTTCTTATAGTCTCTGGAAGAGTTTCTATAAAATTGGCATTTTTAAAAAACAAAATTTTCTTTTTGGAATAATTAATTGGGAGGTCATCTCAGCCTATTTTTTTTATGGAAAAGTTTTAACTTACAGATTCATTTTTTTTCTTTGTTTTTGAGACAAGGTCTCGCTGTATCGCTCAGGCTGGAGTGTAATGGTGTGATCACAGCTCACTGCAGCCTTGCCCTCCTGGGCTCAAGTGAGCCTCACACCTCAGCCTCTAGAGTAGCTGGGACTACAGGTGCACACCACCACGCCTGGCTAGTTTTTAAAAATTTTGTTACTTTTTGTAGGGATGGGGTCTCACTATGTTGCTCAGGCTTCAATTTTTAAAATAGATACATGGAAGAATATTCATTTTTTCTTTCTAGTTTTTTTCATGTGATTTTCTAGGAATTTGTGCATTTTATAATTTTCAAAGTTAGTGGCAAAAGATTGTTTATATATTTCTAGTAATATTTTTAATGTTTACAGTATCTATTGTGATATTCTTTTCTCTGATATTGGTAGTATCCAAATGAAAAGTGGAATGAGGTATTGGGGAGACCTTTCCTAACAAGTTTTGAACTCAGTCTGTATATGAGCTTTTCCTCATTGAAATTCAAATCCAATTCTATCAAATTTCTTTTTATAAGAAAACATTTCTTTTATAGAAGTTATTTCTTTATAATGGATTATGCCTTGTCTTATTTGACACTGTTGCCTTGAAGTAATCTTATAGTACTATTGGGATCTTTGTTTTTTTTTATGCCTGTATTTGTTTGCTATTTCTTTGCACTTTCTTTTTATTTCCAGCTTTCTGAGTCTCTTTATTTTTAAATCTGTCTCTTGCATAAACATACAGTTGAGTTTTTAAATTTGTTTTAAAATATGATCTGAAGGTCTTTTTCATAATTGGTGAGATTACCCTTACATTTATTGTTTTACAGATATGTTTAGTCCTAATTCTGTCACTGTGTTTATATACTGTTTTTAATATTTTGTGATTATTTTTTGGTATTTCTGTTTTTGTTCTGTGGTCTGGGTTTTTCATTTAAATTTATACTTCTGGTAATTTTGAGGATTTATAACCTGATTTTAATTCTAGTGGTTGATTAATGTCATATTCTAAATAGTGCATATGTACTTCTATTTCTCGATGTATTGGTATTAAAAAGGAAGAACGGCTGGGCATGGTGGCTTATGCCTGTAATCCAAGCACTTTGGGAGGCTGAGATGGGAGGACTGCTTGAGGCCATGAGTTTGAGAGCAGCCTGCCAAGAAAGTGAGACTCCATCTCTACAGGAAATTTTTTAAGAAACTAGCTGGCGCAGTGGTGTGGGCCTGTAGTTCCAGTTACTCGGGTGGCTGAGGCAGGAGGATTCCTTGAGCCCCGGAGTTGCAGGTTGCAGCGAGCTATGATCATACCCACTGCATCCCTGACTCCTGCTTGGGCAACAGAGTGATACTCTGTCTCAAAAAAAAAAAAAAAAAAAAAAGAGAGGAAAAAAAAAATAGTGCCTGTTAGTGTCCTACAGAAAGAATAGGAATTAATTTAGTGGCTCACGCCTGTAATCCCAGCATCTTGGGAGGCTGAGGCGGGCGGATAACGAGTCAGGAGATTGAGATCATCCTGGCTAACACAGTGAAACCCCCGTCCCTACTAAAATTACAAAAAATTAGCCGGGCGTGGTGGCGGGCGCCTGTAGTCCCAGCTACTCCGGAGGCCGAGGCAGGAGAATGGCGTGAACGCGGGAGGCGGAGCTTGCAGTGAGCCGAGATCGCGCCACTGCACTCCAGCCAGGGCGACAGAGCGAGACTCCGTCTCGAAAAAAAAAAAAGGAATTAATTTACACTACCGAGATTAGTTTCAAGAAAGCTTTTCTTAAGCGCACATCTTCTTATAAAGAACTAATGATAGATCCTTATCTATTAGAGATCAAAGTTCCTGCAGTCGAGTGGGTTTTGAAATCATCAGTTTATTCATTTCACAGCAGATATTGCTGATTAACAGGTGCTATATAAACAAAAAAGTCGAACATGCCCCCATCTTCATAAAACTTTGAATCTGAAAATCAACACTGAGCAAATAATTCCAAGTATACTGACATGTGACAAATATGTGAAAAGTAGTGAAGGAGCACATCTAAGTTCCTATATGAACTTGCGTATCAATAAGAAAATGATTGTAGCTTTTTCTGTGGGAGGAGCACATGAAAAATCTAGGCACCACGAATGATACTCTTATTCCATGGTCATCTTAGGATAATTGTACCTTTTCAGGCACTTGACAAGTATTGTATACCCACTGTGTGTAAGTTAGAGAGTATTCATGGCAAAATTTAGTCAAACAACTACAGCAAACGCTTACTGCACCTCTGTCTTCATCAGCCCTAAAATTTGCCCTTTGGTTTATTCATCTATCCTGTTTAGCCCAAATTATCTTTTGCCTTAACGAGAGATCACATTGTAGTTTGCACAGCCACACGAAGTAACCTTCTCCTTGGTTTATGCAATAATTTTCTTGTCATTATCTAGCTCTTTCTTCTTAGGCCACCCTGACAAAATAAGAGGGTAGCTCATACTTGATCTTTGATGTTTGCAGGCCATGGTATTTAAGTTGTTTTTGCTGACCATAACTAGACAATTCAGATACTATATGGGGCTGATTGGAAATAAAGCAGTTTAGAAACTGGACAGTGAATTTCTTCTTGGCAGGAAACACCATTCATCCACGTAGCCCTAACCCAGTGTCTTGTATATTTAGCCTTTTGAGAGTGACTAGAAAGTACACACTTTCTGGATTTTGCTTTAATCGACAATTATGTGACAAGAGTCTCTATTATGTGATTAGATTTAGTAACTGTCTTATGAAAGTAAGATATTCATTCAATTGATGGAATCCTAACATTAGAAAAAAATTCTGAGCAATTTGATAAAAGATTTGTATTCTCAAAGAACTTTCTCATATTTTATTAGTGTTTTGATAACCTGAGATAGATCTGACAGTTACTAAGACTTCTAGTTTACTAGTGAAAATATATGCAAAGAGTTTAAGTACTTTGCCCAAGCAAATCTATTTAGTGTTTGAGCCAGGATTAAAGCATTTAGCTGCCAAACCAGCGCTTTCTATCACCCTGTCCTCCCTCTACTTAGCCAAATATTCATCCCACAAACATCTGAGTGCGAATTTTGTGTCTAGCATCATGCTCTTGACAGATGTAGATTGCAGATAAAACTCTAAAAATGGTGAGATTTTTAAGGTAACTTTTGCTTCTTCTGTTTTATAAGGCATTAACACTGTTGTCCTCATATACTTTAAAAAGTATATCACATATCTTACGCATTTAAATTTTTTTCATTAGAAAAAAGAAAAGAAATGCTTGTAGTCTAAATCTTTGACAATTAATGTTAGACATTTTAATTTGTTGCTGAATAGTTGTAAAGAATACAGAAACATACAGAGAACCATCACAAAATGTCTTCAGTCCCCTGACGGCAGGCGAATGTATCAGTGAAGTAGGACAGGGGAGGCTTGAGCTAGGAATTGGATTTGGTAATTAGGTGACTGTGACCTTGGGCAAGGTCAGTGTTCATATAAATAAGAGGGGCAGAGCCTGGGTTAGAAGGAAAAGAATGAATAGAATGTGAGGAAATAAGACACAAGTTCTCTCTACTAGTGGGAGGGGAAGATAAAGATGGCTTGAGGGGGAAGCAGTGTGAATAAGGACATGTTTTAAGTTGTCAGTGTTCAAGTGCATCTGTCACTTAAAAGAAGAAGTCCCAGGGGAGGAGGGGAAAAATGGAAAATGTGAGAAGAGAAGTTGGGCAAATTGATGGGGCAAGATGAGGAGGAGGTAGAAGATGTGATCAGGAGCACAGGTGGTGGGATAACCTTAGGAGGGCAGCAGGATTCTTATTTCTCTAAAATAGGAGGAGATCTGAGGTGGAAAGGACGATGTTCATAGAGGCTCTAGACCTTCAGGCTTCACGCCTGGCTTTTCTAGTCAGTCTGAAGTTGCTCTGTAGGCTTCTTGGCTTGGGGGTTAATATTCAGCTATGGTGTCTAAAATAAACAATAAAAAACAGGAGTTTGGATATGTAGGAATTTTAGATGAACTTCCCTTAGTTTCATTATTGAAGTTCAGCATGTTCCTCTGGTCAGTTCACTTTGTTCTAATAGAGATTATAATTTCAAAAGGGAAGATGCTTTTTAAGACAATACATGAGAGCTAAAATAAGTTTTAGGTTTTTGTGTGGCTCAGTTTGGTGAATTTTCTCCAGTTTTCATGTAAGAATAAGCCAGACCTACTGATAGCTACCTGCTAATTTATGGAAATTAACATGTTCCAAATAAACCTGTCTGTTCTATTTTGCTGCTGTACCTACATTTGAACACTTAAAGTCATTCTAAATGGAGCCGTGCCTTTCTCAGTAGTCAGTGACAGATTCACACATGTGTGGGAACCCCGATCCTGTGGTAAATAAGAGAGCCCCTTCTAAAATCTAAAATCTCTCTGTACAGACACTTTCTAGTTTATAGGTTGTGATATAAAATTTCATGTTTCATTTATTTGGAACTCTACATCTTCCAATAGAAATGATATTATAAATGGCTCTAGTGTCCCAGACCGACCCATAAAATACCATTTAACCTAAAGTATATCTGAATTGTTAAAAATAATTACAACCACATTTCTAGCAGCAAATACATTGACTATCAACTTTCTGAGGTAAGAAATGTTTCTCCCAGTTGTGCTTTATCTTACTTTCCAGAATGACTGGATTCTCCACCACTCCTAGTTGTCTGGCAGTAAAAAAAAAGAGGCACCCACCTCCAAGCCATTTAGATTGGTTCTTCTAAGGCCCATGAATGAGGAGCTGGGAGAGACACTACTGAGAACTGAGAGAGGAGCTTGCAGTGATGGTGCATGCTGGCAGGGGCCCTTCTTTCTGTTTCTGCTGTGAGATCTGGGCACCTGCCTTTATAAACCTCCTATTTCCCTATCCTTTTTCTCTTTCTCTGGACCAGTGGTTCTCAACTAGACATGATTTTGCTTCCTCCATTTCCTCTTACTGCCTCACTTCCCACCTACCTGGGTACATTTGGTATATCCAGAGATATTTTTCGGTTGTCACAACTAGGGTGTTTCTACTGACATCTTGTGGGTGTATAAACCAAGCAAGCTGATAATCATCTACCCCCAAATGTCAAGAATGCCAAGACTGAGAAATTCTGCTCCAGACAGTTGCTACTGGTTAAGGTTGTTTTTGCCTTTTTTGATTCATTGCAGCATAGAAATATAGTCTGTGTTCCCTGATTCTCTCCCACCTTCTATTCTTGAAACAAGCTCACAGCTCTTTTGAGGTTTTTCTAAGGGCTTTACCATCATCATAACATGAAACTAGATGGACTAAAAATAACAAGAAGATTACAGTTTTAGGAAATCTTAATTAAAAGCTATCCATGCTCTCCACTGGGCTTTAAATAGAGCAAAATTCTGATCCTTTTCTAGGCTTCAGTCCTTTCCTCCCCGTGATACTGGTTTCCTCATTCCCTGGTCTTCCAATCTTCCTTACTAATACTGCTCCACCATGGAGAGCCTTAGTAGTGATTCTGTTCCTCCCAATGAGAAACAACAGGGATGAAAAATCCTTGCATTATTTTAATGAGGAGTTAAGGAAAGGTTCCCTTCCTTATTGCATAGATTGTATTGCATAGATCTGGCCAGAACTGTTTTCTGTTGTTCTCCTTCTTTTAAGAAAGTTTCAGGATGAGATTACATCCCAGCCTTTCCTTACGTACTGCTGCACAGCACAGGGACCTCCTTTCTCTACTCTTCTCTCCTTCTTTCTACTGCTGCGTCATACTTGCCACCAATGCCAGCTTTGTGGACATGTGACCTGTGCAGTTACACAGGGCCTTGTGCTTAAAAGAGCCCCTCACTTAGAAGGAAGGGCCATGCCTGGTTTAATGCTCTGCTGCCATACCCTTGAAATTCTTAATTTTTTTTTAACAAGAGGCCTCACATTTTTAATTTGTTCTGGGCCCAGTAAATTATATAGCCAGTACTGCTTACCAAAGTACTCCCAACTGACCTTAGGTCCAGGTGAGAGGCAGTCTGGCCTGGAGGAGGGGAGGAAGAGGAATAATTTTAAAATATTCGTAGTAGCAAGAAATCCCCAACTGAAAGGGAAGGGAAGGGAAGATTCATATTCATGTGCTCAGACTCTTCATTTGCTAATACTTACCTTTCAGAATTGATTATTTTTGCTTTGTTTATACTTCCTAATTTTAATAAAATGACCAACTACTTATTAAGTGCTATTGTATGATCAGCAATGTGCTACAAGCCACAGGTGAAACGAAATAGTAAAATGATAGTTGCTGTGTACTGGGCATGTTCAAGTGTTTATAACGCTTCCTCATTTTGTTCCCATAACCCTTTGAGATTGCTTATATTGTCCCATTCGATATAGTATGAAACCGATATTTAGAGAGGTCAATTGTCCAATTTATAAAGCTAGTGAAAAAGCAAGTTTGAACATTGGTTGTTCAGATTCTAAAACCCAATCCCATTCACTCTGCTAATAAGTTAGATATTCCCGTCCTCAGGGTTGACTGTCAAGTTGAGGTCGTGAGTATACAGGGAAAGTCAGTTTCATTTTGTCTAGTGAATTTTTTTTTTTAACACAACAGAGACACATCAGTACTTTTCAAATTGGATATAATGATTAATGAAAATCGTGCTAGGATATATGATGTAGATGCTTTTCAGTGTGGTCATGAGAAGTAGCTATTAGTATAATTAATCTGAAACAGTATTCTTAAGAAAAAATTCAAAAGCCTTCAGTTATATATGCAAATCACTCCCTTTCTTTTTCCATTTTTTGAAATACTTGCTCCCATACCATCGTTAGTGTCGCTTATCTGGAAGTGTTTTCTTGGAGTGGGGTCTCTTTAATTTCTATCCACCAAATAACAATTTCATGTTCTATGTGATTGATATTTGTAATTGTGGTCTAAGAACGCTAATTTGCAGAGAAAATATGTTACACCAATTCTTTATTTTTTACCATGTGAGCTACTTCTCATGACAATTTGATATCCCCATAAAACTCTATGCTGGTTTTAGCTTCAATATATTATAAGCCTGTCTTCTCAATTCTGCCTAAGGAAGAGGCAGCATCAGGCACAGATCACCTACAATTGAGACTTATACAGTATCTATTACTTAGGAGTTAAATGGATTAAGAGTAATTTGATAGTTCTCTTAAAGTTTACTGATCTATTATTATCAGCCTTTGATGGCATGAGTAGAAGTGTCTGAGGCTTGTACTATATAACCTAACAAGAGCCAAACATGTAAATGCTCTTTCAGAGTTTTTGTTAAGAGAAGGACTGTTTAATCACACTGACCTGAGTTTTAATTCCAGCTGCACCACTGATTAATTGTGTAAGTTATTTAAGTTCCCCATGCTTCCGTTTCTTTATCTGTAAATGGGAGTAATATCTTCTCCAAAATGCTGCAGGAAAGTTTAACTGAATTTCTGTACAGAAGGTGCTTAGCACAGTGCCAGGCCTATGGAAAGGTGTTGATGGCTAAGTGGTAGTTTTCCTCCTCTTCCTCTCCCTATTTCATCAAGACAGTATGACTGGGCATAGTTTCACTGGGTAAGACAGAACATTGGGTAAGCCCTTTCTTCATTTAACCTAAACAATTAGCTCTACTTTTAAATAAACTTATCTGCTTTTAAATAAACATATCTCCTCCTGCAATGAAATAATAGGAAGGCAAATGTCTTCCTCTTGTTGTCTGCAAGGAAGAGGATGGAATAATATTTTTTAAAATCTTTCAGCATAGTGAAGAATAATACTTGGAGATCTTGGTGGTCACTACACCCCCACTACGTGCATGCTTTTTTTTTTGAGATGGAGTTTTGCTCTGTCACCCAGGCTGGAGTGCAATGGTGCGATCCCAGCTCACTGCAACCTCCACCTCCTGGGTTCAAGTGATTCTCCTGCCTCAGCTTCCTGAGTAGCATTACAGGCATGCGCCACCACGCCCAGCTAATTTTGTATTTTTAGGAGAGATGGGGTTTCACCATCTTGGTCAGGCTGGTCTCGAACTCCTGACCTCAGATGATCTGCCCGCCTCGGCCTCCCAAAGTGCTGGGATTACAGGTGTGAGCCACCACACCTGGCTACTACCACTCTTTCAACACAAACCAAACCAGTCTTTCTCATAACTCGAACCTGCATCAGAATCACCTTAAGTATTTGTAAAAAAAAAAATAAAACTAGCTTTCTAATCCCAGATCTATTGAATAGAATCTCTGGGGATGAGGCCTTGGAATATATTTTTAAAATAAGCCACCTTGGTTATTGTTCTTTATAAGATCTTTAGAAACACTGACCTGCACTCTGTTACCTCCTTGCCCATACAATTTCTTGGGTTGGAATAGTCTTTTCTCTTCTACATGCTTATAGAATTCTTACACAATTTTCAAGGGCTACCTCTTCCTAGAAGCCTTTCCAGGTCTTCCCAAATTGAAGTTAGTTTTGGATCTTCATTATTGCAGTCGGCCTTGTAGAGTTTTGCATGTTTTCCACCAAACACCTCCTGGAGGGCAGCGATTGCCGATTATCCTACCAAGCATCCCCAGTGCAAGAAAAACACATTGCATATCATGGGCATTCAAAGAGTATTTGTTGAATATTGTTGATCCTCAAATTCCTTTTTCCTAGTAAGCCATCTCTTTTGTTCTTCACTAAAGAGTACAAATCTCTTAGAGTAATATTAATAAACTCGGAGTGATGAAGGTAAATAATAATCAACATTATCAGCCTCGGTTCCCAGAGCATCAGAATAGGGATCGGTGTCTGTGAATGGTGGCGAGGAGTTGTTTGTGATCCCTGTTTCTTTCTCATCCTCTTTAGATATTCTTCATAAGGCAAGTTGAACAAATCCCTCAAAGTCCAAGTTAAATATATAACAATTATGAAAAGAAAATGCTATCGTGGGTTCATTTTACTTTCAGTAAACAGATTTGATCATTGACCTCACTAAAGAAGCAGTTTTTGTAATACACCTTCATGTTTGTTCTTTGGGACACTAAGTGGGGTAAAGTACATGCAACTATGCTTCCGTTGATGTCCTTACTAGGAGAACTGTGTGGAGAAAATGTGTAGAGATGAACTGCAGTGACTACTAAGATGGTTTCTCCAAAGATGCTCTGCACTGTCAGTTAAATTTTAGGCACTTTTGTGGCTTTAAGTGACTTTTAATTCCATCCCATGTTTCTCCCTCAATCAGCTGGTTTCCTGGATAGGACATTGCCCAGACCATTAGTGTTATAAGGTGATAGGCATGTGGAGCTAGCCAATGTTCTAATATACTGGAAGGTAACAAAGAGAACAAGATATTAGATGTACTCAGAGCGTCTGGTTAGTGAGGATTAGAGGGAGGTGTAATAACTGAGGGTGATAGCACATTTTGGGAGTTTCTCCAAATATTAAATCACTGTTCCTTATACCTATTCTATTTATTGGTTATTTGGCCTCACACCAGGCAGCAAGATTAAGCTGAGAAAACCACTGGATTTGGCAGGGGAAATCAGATTTTCAGTGAGTAGTTTAGGATTTATGACAGCAGTAGTGCTTATGAAGTGTAGTGCAAGAGACTAGGTAGCCATCATAGAGGGGGAGTCCTTACATATGTTTTGAATATTTTGAATATTACTCACCTTTTGAATATTACTGTCTTTGGACTTCTAATGGTTGAGAAAGTAATAGAGTGGGGAGACCTCCAAGTGAACAGAATCGCCAAAGAAAAACCTACTCACCCAAGTGAGTACATCAGGAAATGTTAAACTTAGGCAAAGGAAGACCTTTTCCTTCCCTGCTCCCTCTGAAGCACTGAGGCCCATAGTGGCCAAAGATAATGAGAAAAGATCATGGAATTTGGTGAGAGGAGCTGACTGACTATTGGAGTACGTTTAGTGCAAGTTGGCTAGAAAGGGGGTGGGCTAATAAAGTTGCAGTAGACTTGGGAAAGGGCGATAGTGCACATTGGGCCATTCCTTGAGGAACAGGCTTGGAAAGAAAAGAACATGGTCATTATATAAGCTGGATAAAGTCTCAGTGTATTAAAAACCAGAAAGTACAGTCCTAGCACCCCAAAGAAGTTGCTTGTGCTGAGCCTTTGTTGTCAGACTCCCCTCCATCCCAATCTGGGGCAACCTTCCCTATAGGTTTTCCTTTTCTGGGTATCATAGGAGTGGAATCACACAGAGTGGGAAAGACTGGCTTCTTTCACTTAGCATAATGCCTACTGTATATACCTTTAAAATGCATTTTAAAATGCAAAGAATCCTTGCCCTCGTCCCCCGCCCAAACAAATAAAACAGGGATCTGAGAAGATGGATGTACAGAAAAGGTGAGTTAGGAACATACTGAGATGTAAACAGACATTTACCGCCTGAGGACTGTTTCAGTTTTCAGTGAAATTAGGTGAGCTTCTTAGCTTTGAGTGAGTGTTGGAAAGGTTGGAGAGGAAGTGACCTTGACCAGTTAAGTGTTTTCTTTTTTTAAACTAGCTTCCTTTCCTTCTCTGACCTTTTTCACTCCCCATTTCTCCCCTGGGTTGCGGATGGGAGAAGATACACACACACACACACACACACACACACACACACACACACACACACACAAATATGCATACATAAATATATATATATATATATATATATATGTATCTCCATTTTCATGGCATAACAATTTTATTATTTTTGCTCCTGGACTCTGGAAATGGTGCTTTTACTATTGAAAGAGCATACGCAAAATCTTAGTTTCTTATGTCCTCTCTTATAAAGAGGGCATCCACACATATCAGATTCTAACTTCAGCTGTAGTTGCGGGGTATCAGATGACATGTGGTGGTACCAGGATGTGATATAAGCTAGAGCCATATACTTGTATTTCAGTCCAGGATTTATTTTTACTAATTTTTTCTTTATAAATTTTTTGTATTGTTTTCCTTGTTACTGATAGAAGTTTGAAAGTTGAGAATTAAAAATGATAGAATAAAACAAATTATTTTTTAATATCTGGAATTGGAACTTTTAGATGTAAAATATAAACAATGTATCTGTTCATAATTCCCATGCTTTTATGTGGTAGTGTTGATTTATTTTTACAAATCAGTGACTATGAGATTAATAAGTGCTTTTATAATTGTATATATATATACACATATATATAAAGTTTAATTATATTTAATTATAAAAGCACTTACTAATCTTATCCTCACTAATTCTCCTAGATGCTTTGTCATTAGAAATTTAACTGGGTTTTGTTTTCCTTTTTTTTTTTTTTCTATAGCTGTGATATTCAAAACACAGATGATGTTATTCCACCAGAGAGCAAATAGAAAGCAGGCAGGGCAGGTTTTCTTGGGACATTTATTGCATTCATCAATTATTACCTCCACCTTACTACTTTTCATCCATGATGATTAATATATTTATATCCTCATATTGTTGACCTGCTTATATTGACAACATATTCTACTGATAATGTGATTAGCAGGGAGATGTAAGGAAATGTTACCATATACCAAAGGCCTTCCTTGGTGCTAGCGTTGTGCTTATTACAAATTCAGCATATTGCTCTTCTGACATAAATAGAATTACACTACTTTATCTTCTCATTTGTCTGGAGGACAATTATCTGATACTTCACATATATCCAGAAGTCGGAATGTAAGCCCCAAAAGCCCTCAGAGTGGCCACAGTTTGCTAAAAGCAAATGCGATAAATCTTGTGCCCAGTATATAATGGATACTTTATACATATTGCCTTATTTAACTCCCACAGTAATCTTTTGTGATAGCCATTGTTGCCATATTTATAGAAGAGAAAATAAATTGAAGATTCTGAAGAGGTTATAGACCTTGTCCAAGGTCGTCTATCTAGAGATGGAGAGTGTTGCAGCTGAGATTTCAGCATGGGTTTAGACCTTGTCCAAGGTTGTCTATCTGGAGATAGTGTTGCAGCTGAGATTTCAGTATGGGTTTGTGTGTCCCCCAGATCCTCACGCTGAGTCCAGTTGCTCCCATTTTCAGTCATTCCCACAAATATTTTTTCAGTACCAACTATGTGACAGGCCCTGGTATCCAGGATTAAAGACAGTTATACAGAGTCCTATAGAATTCCTTTATCTGTTTTTTTTTGGCTGCAGTAAATGTGAAACAGACTAGAAAAGAGATGAGGCATGAGGACAGTGACATTGTCTCTCTTACTGACTGTCACATCTGCAGGGTGAGCACAGCACCTAGTAGGAGCTCAATAAAGATATGTTGAATGGATGAGTGATATTAGTGAAAAGTAATAACTAGGAGAGAGAATCAAATATGAAAAGGATATAAAATAAAAACTATAATTGCCTTGGACCATTTAGTGTTTGAATAAGCAAAAGGCTCCATAGCCCCTAGGGCACGAGGAGCCACTCAGTGTACTCACTGATGCCCGTAATGATGACCTGGGGCTACTAAGTGACCATGGTGACCCAGGCCCTGTGCAGCAGGGAAAGAGTCACTCATGAATGTGACATCCAGTTTAAAAATAAAGGAGGCATCTAAAACATTTTAGAAAACTTTTCATTGAAAATGGTCTTTTCTCCCTTAAAGTGTGCTAAAGGGCTAAACTTCATTGTACTGGAAAAATCCCATATTGGAGTAGCTCTTTCTCTAATGATATTGGATAAAGGGGGATAACACATCACGTAATTTGTTTTCTTTTCCTTAATAAGTCGTAGCATTAAAATTTCATGCCAGGTGAATCTTTAAAAAATTCAAATTATTTTCTTTGGAAGATACCTTATAAGAAACTATACATAGTATACAGCATATAACCATCTATAGTATTGTAACAAGTGAATAGGTTATGTAAAACAACCTTTTTTGAGCAATGCCATCTGAGAGGATTATGATGTGTGGAAATAATTCATGTTTGGAATATCATTTAGCTTTTTATAAGGAAAAAATGAGGAAATTATAGGAAACTATTGAAATGATTTAAATTTCATTATTCAACAGCATCGATGCGCTACTTTCTTGTTTCAAAAATGTATCTATTAACAGTGATATTTTGCCTTACAGCTTTTCTGGGAGAAGAGGCTACAAGGACTTAGTGCATCAGATGTAACAGAACAAATTATAAAAACCATGGAACTACCCAAAGGTCTTCAAGGTATTATCTAAGTTCAGTTGAGCAGACATTTATCAAGTACCTACTGCATGCCAGGCACTCTGTTAGATGCTGTGGATTCAGCAATGACTGACAGGAGGCCTTTGCTTTGGGAGGTCATATGCCTTGCTGGATGACGTACCTCTTGTGTTTTAGTAAAGCCAGGAAGAAGGTACATGAGAAACTTGTATGTTGCAGGGATGCTGCAGTGTAGTATATTATCTTAGATTTTTTTCTTTGTAAAAATTTTGGCTTTAGGTTAGGTTCATCATAGAAGCTAACCCATGTGCTGCTTTTAGCACTGGATGCGGATGAGTAACAGAATTTCTCAAAGCTTCCTGCTTATAGCAACATCTGGCCCTACCACCTGCTCTTTCTCTCATCCTCTTCCCAAAAGAACAACCAACAGCTCTCCTTCTGCCCCTCCCTCCACAAACTGGTGCTCTAAGTAGAAGTGGGAACAGATGCACTTTGGTCCAGCAACAGCAGCCAGTGGGATCTGGGGTGGAAAACTCAGTCACTAGTCTACATTTCATGCTGTATGAGAACTCCAAGTTCTAGAGAAGAGTTATTTTTCAAGTATTAAAACTTTGGCTTCTAAAGCTTGATATATTGTGGATTGCTCAAAAATCCTCATAATTCATGGTTAGATTATTGCCTTATCCCTTTATGTTCTTGGAAATGTTGGCCTTAACTAGTTAAACAGGTTTAGGACTTTAAGCATTGCATTTAAATGTGACCATGGTACCAGTATCTTACAAGTAATCAAAGTGTGCAGTTATTAATTCTCTGATTTTGGATATTTTGTTAGGTTTATGAAAAAAGCTGTTAAAGCCACAGATACAGCTTGCTTGCATTGGCTTTTTCTTTGAATCCTGAGACAAAGAAGATAATTGTTGAGATATTGCTGGAAATTAATGTTAAAAGCTACAAGGAGAGACTATACCAGTACTCTAGGAATACATTAAAAGGGATACTTGAGTATAGTCGCTTCACAAAGTCTTACCTCATTAAAATAATTAACATTGCTTGAGGAAATATAGCCAACTTTTTAAAAGTTTAGTACCTTGGAAAATGCATTTTAAAGTTCTGGTAAAGTATTATTAAAATGCTCAGCTATAAGCTTACAGCAAGCATGAGGATTTGTTTTTTAAAGTAAGAAAAAATGCTCAGCTATTTTGTTACTATTTCTTTAGTGTGAATTCTTTAGTGTGTCATATCTATTAAGTAGATATATTATCTTTTGCTGCTTTGTCTTATGTCAGTTTTACATATATGATCCCAAATGAATATAAAAATATCAGTTGTTTTATGTCACATAAAGTTTGCTCAGCACATTGAGACATTTCCTTTAACTAGTACTTGTTTCTCATTGCAGGAGTTGGTCCAGGTAGCAATGATGAGACCCTTTTATCTGCTGTTGCCAGTGCTTTGCACACAAGCTCTGCGCCAATCACAGGGCAAGTCTCCGCTGCTGTGGAAAAGAACCCTGCTGTTTGGCTTAACACATCTCAACCCCTCTGCAAAGCTTTTATTGTCACAGATGAAGACATCAGGTAATGCAGTTTAACATGACTTCATAAACTTGGGTTTTTACGTTTGGGTAAATTTTTTACTGTTCATTAGGTTCAGTGGCATATCTAGTAAGTGATATATCACCTAGAAAGTTATACTTTTCTTTTTTAACAGAGTTTTTCAGAAACTGATAGAAGGTGAAAAAAGACCATTATAACAAATACATGCTTGAAACGGGTATAAATGCTGCATGCCAGGGGTATCGTCATGGTCCTGTCCAAAGGACAGACACCAGATCAGTTATATTCCCTAAGCATCATTTTTACAGTGTCTTTTGCAATTTGGGATTCTGACTTTCTATTCTAAAGAACCTCTTTCTGCCAGACACAGTGGCTCATGCCTATAATCCCAGCACTTTGGGAGGCCGAGGTGGGAGGATTGCTTGAGCCCAGGAGTTTGAGACCAGCCTGGGCAACACAGTGAGACCCCATCTCCACAAAAAATTTTTAACAATTAGTGAGGCATGGTAGTATGTAACTGTAGTCCCAGCTACTTGGGAGATTGAGGTGGGAGGACTGCTTGAGCATGGGAGGTCGAGGCTCCAGTGAGCTGTCGTCACATCCCTGCACTCCAGCCGTGGTGACAGAGCTAGATCCTGTCTTAGAAAAATAAAAATACAGAACCCCTTTCACTCAGTTATGCCTTTTCTGATTGCCTCCTTCACTGGTTTGTCTGGAAACCAATCTCTCTTTAAATCAGATGATAGTGATGCTGCTCTTAAACTTACTTGTGACACGGTAGAGCAAGAAGAGAAGCAAGTAAGAAAGAAGAAGCCACAGGTAAAGCAATAAAACAGAGCCAGGAATGAGACAAGACACAAACTATGTCTACTGACATCTTTCACTCTTTCTAAGGCTGACTCACAAGTTAGGGTTTCAGCAGCAAATGGTAAAAGGAAAACATCCAGCTCAGATTGGTAGAACCCAGAAAGTAGAAGCAAACCATTGCACAGGAAAAGCAAAAGTACTCCAGTTAGTAAGATCACAGAGCAATTCTTATGTGGGTTTTATGACCTCAATATCATTATTTTATAGTGATACTGTACTATATTGCATTTATATTATATTATAGTATATTAAAAATATGACCTTGTGTATACTTCACTATTTCTGTCCCCTGAATGTAAATCAGTTTAATTTGAGTATTATTCCTAGACAAAATCAGCAGATGACACTTTCGAATCATATAATTTTAAGATGTTTTATATTTGTTCTTTTGTTTGTTTGTTTTTTGAGACAGAGTTTTGCTCTGTTGCCCAGGCTGGAGTGGAGTGGCACAAACTCAGCTCACTGCAACCTCTGCCTCCCGGGTTCAAGCAATTCTCCTGCCTCAGCCGCCCGAGTAGCTGGGACTACAGGCGAGCGCCACTATACCCAGCTAATT
Organism: Homo sapiens; assembly: GCF_000001405.40. Lineage (NCBI taxonomy): Eukaryota > Metazoa > Chordata > Mammalia > Primates > Hominidae > Homo > Homo sapiens. Next base: position 54,163,120 of record NC_000018.10, on the reverse strand, counting down.
TTTTTATTTTTAGTAGAGACAGGGTTTCACCATATTGGCCAGGCTGGTCTTGAACTCCTGACATCATGATCCGCCTGCCTCAGCCTTCCAAAGTGCTGGGATACAGGTGTTACAGGTGTGAGCCACCACGCCCAGCCTATATTTGTATTTTTTAAAAAAATCCATACAAAGTTGACATGAAAGTTTTTTTAAATGGGTAAGTCTAGCTAGGTTTATAATGGGAAAGCCCTTCTTGGGTCTTAAAGTAATTATTTTGCAAAGATAAAAAGTGGTGCAAAGTTGTATTCATATGCCTTGATTGCATATGAATATGAATGAAGTTTCTTAAAAACTTTATTTTTTAAGAAAACAAAATGTAAAATCAATGAAAGGAATCAACTTGCTCATTGGATTGTTCTTACCCTTGAGGAAGAAAATTACTCCAGAGACAAGTTCTTTTCCATCTTGGGATGAATGCTGAATTAATCAGCAGGGATTCTGCCAGGTCCTTATATGTGTTGACGGAGGTTCTCTGAGTTATATCACAGGAATGTTGGTGGCTTCAACACCAGTTCTTTTGATAGTTGAGGAAACTATCTCAAAGCCAATTCTGGATGATTTCCTTTTTGGGTAAATTTGTCTAACAAATTGCTCATTTGATTTAATTGTCATGACGGAAATTAGGAAGAAAATACTCCTTGTTGAATTAGTACATGTTCAAAATAAATTACTGCAAATGGAACTGTTACTCTTTACCTAATTGGGTATCCAATAGTCTGTCTACATTAAACCTCCAGCTGAAGACCCCAACAAGATATATCTCAAGTATTTTTAGCGTATTTTATAATGTTTGCATTGATGAGTACTTTCGTTTTTTAATACTTTGTAACAAATTCTCACAAACTTTGCAGCTTAAAACAATACCCATTTATTAGCTTAAAGTTCTGTGGGGTCAGAAGTCTGGGCCTGGTATGACTGGCTTCTGTGTTTGGGTCTTAAAAGTGTCACCGGACTGTGTTCCCTTCTGAAGCTTGGGGTTCTCTTTCAAGCTCATATGGTGGTTGCAGAATTCATGCCTTGTGTTTTAGGGCTAAGGCCCCTGTTCTCTTCTTGGCTATGGGATGGTGGCTGTCTTAGCTCCTGGAAGCTGCCTGTAGTTCCTTGTCTCGTGGCTCCTCCGTGTGCCCCTTTATGCTTCTGTCAGGAAGATCCCAGCTCCACTAAGGGGTCCTATTAGGTCAGGCCCACTACAATAATCTCTCTCGATTGACTCAAAATCAGTTGATTGGTAACCTAATCATGGAGAGATATCCCATCATATTCACAAGTTCTGCTCACCCTTAAGAGGAGAGAATTATATAAAGAGTGCACGTAAGGGTGGTTTTGGGGAAGAGGGACTGTTGGGGACCATCTTACAATTCTGCCTACAGCAATGGGCAAATGATTAAATTTCAGCTCTCACAAATGTGGAAAGTAATGCTCAAGAGAGAAGAAAATCAATGGCAAATGTTAGAGTTTAAGATAAAATTCTCCATCCAAATTACTGCATATGGTGCCATTTGCTCCATTTTCTCCTTCTTCCTAATGAGGTTACTCTAGGACAGCTGTGAAGATTCTTGTACTCTTATTAGTGAGAGACTGCCAGTGAAACCAATATGTCATTTGTCATAAACTTTGAGTCACTGACCCAGAGGTGAGACTAACTGTATAAGAAATAAACAAATGTGTTCTGCTTGACCCTGCCCCATGACATGAAAATCTGTCAAATTCCAGTTTCTTTTAATATGACAGAGGCTATAGAGCTAAGACTGACCCAGTGACAGCTTCCCTCTTTTTGAAAATTCATTTAATAAGTGGAAGTCTATACCTTTTAACTCTTTGTGGTGTTTTGGAGTTTAATAAAGATATCCAAAGTTTTTGTGGGAAGCAGTACATATATGTTACCTTGACTACCTTGGACATAGTCTTATTTGGTCAAAGGGGTGTGATCTTGAGTAGACTGAATATAACTTGGCAGCTGGTTGAGCCCCTATGGAGTGAATACTCAGGGACCCTTAGGGCAATCTTCTATAGCATTGCTCCTCTACCTCTCTGCTGTCCCAGTTTTGGGAATTGCTGCAATCTGTCTTCCTCGGTTATTGGTAGAGAAAATTACTTTTTTTTTTTCAGTAGAACCCTTTGTATATTCCTTGTTGCATCTTCATCTCCCTGTCTGCATCTTTCCTTATCTCCTTTCTTCTGGTCTCAAGAGCTTTGCCCCCTTTTCTGTTCTGCTGACCCTCCCTCCTCTGCCATTGCCTTCTGTTCTTGTTCCCACTGGAATCTTTTCCTACCAGTCTTCTCTCTTCTCTTGTCTTTCTTCAACCTTTGCTTCTCTACTTGGTTCTGGATGTCAATTTCTATTTACCGAGCTTTGTTTGCTAGACACGTATTAGGAATTTATCTCTTACCATCTGGGGGATCTACTTTCTTTTCTTTTTTTTTTTTTTTTACTTTTTAAAGGTAAGTGTATACTGATAGCCTTTCTTCCTGTGCTCTAATGGTTCAGAGCCTTTTTAATGACTTGGAGTTATTAACCCTCACTTTTGAGGTTCCTTTGTAATCACCGAGACACAGAGAAACTCATGGCATGTTCTTAAGTAACTCACTTTCTTATTTGAAGAGAGGCTTTTCAGTGTCTGTCCTCGGTGTGCAGGATCATGTAGTCTTGGCTCCTTCATGCTGACCTGTTGCCTGCAGACCTCAGAATCCAGGAGAGAGCTCTCTCCTAACTAACCTAGCCGCAGAATGTCAATCAAACCCCAGCTTATCACGCCTCTGCTTCCTCCATCTTTCTCAGTGCTTCTATGAACAAGTCACTTTTCCTTTGTTATTTATGTTCCCTCCATCTTTTATTCCTGCTTCTAAGTTATTTCTAATTGTCCTTATAGGAATAAACCCAAATCTTGACACAGTTGACATTTTCAAAGTTGAAGAAAAGGTCACTGACGTCAATCTGCTCTTTCTAGAATTTCATGTGTGATGAGGGATAACTGCCTCTGTGAACATTCCTCTTTTTGGCAAGGCTCATTGGTGAGGTTTGATTTGTGTGTAGAAGCAACCTCTGCAAAAATCTGAAAAGGAAGTCTATTCTTCTTAGGAATTTAATTATTTTGAAGTAAGGATGAACTTCTGTAGCAGATTCATATTGTCATTACTTGCCAAATTCTCAGTGCCTTTTTATTCTGTTTTTAAAAAGGAAACAGGAAGAGCGAGTACAGCAAGTACGCAAGAAATTGGAAGAAGCACTGATGGCAGACATCTTGTCGCGAGCTGCTGATACAGAAGAGATGGATATTGAAATGGACAGTGGAGATGAAGCCTAAGAATATGATCAGGTAAACTGACACCAGAGAGAGTGACTTGGAACTTAAGGTGTGTTTTCTTGGCCGGACATAGTGCTTCTGCCTGTAATCCCAGCACTTGGGTGGCTGAGGCGGGCGATCAGTTGAGCTCAGTAGTTCGAGACCAGCTTGAGCAACATGGCAAAACCCCATCTCTACCCAAAATACAAAAAATTAACTGGGTGTGGTGTTGTGTGTGTGTGGTTCCAGCTACTCAGGAGGCTGAGGTGGGAGGATCACTCGAGCCTGGGAGGCAGAAATTTCAGTGAGCCAAAATTGTGCTACTGTTCTCCAACCTGGGTGACAGAGTGAAACCCCATCTCAGAAAAAAAAAAAAAGGTGTCGCTGTATTTTCTTGTTATTTTCCCTGTAGCTTCCTCAGCAGTGAATGAAAAAGCTACTCCTCTGCTCGGGTTCTGCATGTGCTGTTGTTTGTTTCTTCTCTCTGGATTGAAGGACCATATAAGTTATTGCATTCTTTTGTTCTCATACTGGGAGGACATTCACACCCCTGCAGTCACTTGCAAGGGATCTAGTCTCCTTCATTAAGACCAGGTGGAAAGCCTCTAAGGTGTCACTAGAGAAGAGCAGCAGCAGAAGAAAAGGACTTTGTCATGTAGGGAGGAACGGCCCCAGAAGAAGAAGGTGACTGTCATCTCCATCACAGTAGCATCCAGGGCATATTGCTTCCTCTTTAAAATTATGGTGGCAAAGCAGGCAAAATCTCTTTCTTTTTCTTAGATTCTCCCTAGCACAGATTTGATGCAGGGAGAACAAGAAGGACACTAAAAAGTATAATAAATACTTTACCTTAAAAAATACACATTTTTAGGCTGGGTTTGGTGGCTCATGCCTGTAATCTCAGCGCTTTGGCATGCCAAGGCAGGCGGATCACTTGAGGTCAGGAGTTTGAGACTAGCTTGGCCAACATGGTGAAACCTTGTCTCTACTAAAAATATAAAAATTAGCTGGGCGTGGTAGAATAGCTGGAATTTTGTAATTCTAGCTACTCGGGAGGCTGAGACATGAGAATTGCTTGAACCCGGGAGGCAGAGGTTGCAGTGAGCCGAGATTGTGCCACTACACTCCAGCCTGGGATGGAGTAAGACTCTGACTCAAAAAACAGCAACAAAAATGCACATTTTGATCTTATCTCAAACTCACATTCCAGGCTCATGGCTCTGTGCCATGGGCATACCTTGTCTTCAGAGGAGCACGTGCAGATCTTAAGGCTTTCTGTGACGTCTTGCTTCCCGGCTTCCATCCTGCTTTGTTTCAGCAGGCCATGTCTTCCTTTTTGGCACCCCAAAACCAATTATTTACTAGTTTCCTTTGAAGCCAAAACAGAGGGAGGGATGGGGTGCTAATATGATGTCAAGGGTCAACAGAGCCTCTCTGAGAAAGTGACATTTATGTTGAGCCTGAAAGATATATAGGAGTGAGCCAGGAGAGGTTTGGGTAAAAGTGTTCCCATTAGAAGGAACAGCAAGGAGAAACTTGGTTTCTTTAAGGAATGAAGAAATTATCCACGTGGTTGGAATGCAGTATGTCTGGGGAGGGGTGGGGGGAATGTGTGGGTGGTGAACCTAGTCACGTAGGACCTGTGGGTTGTTAGGGAGATTGATGACCACTTGAGATTGATCATGAAAATTAGCAGGAATCACTGAAGAGTCAGTAGCATGATCAGATTTGCTTCTTTACAAGAGCCCTATGGCTGCTGCATGAATACAAGGATTGGAGTAGGGAAAGCTTGGAAGCAAGGAGACCAGTTGGGATGTTGCTGCGGTAGTCTCGCAAGAGATGATGGTGGCTTTAGGAGGATGTTGACATGCCAATAGGTTGGGAGAAGAAGAGATGGGTAGATCTGAGATATAGCTGGAGAAAGAATCACGTGACCAGGTGACTGCCTGGAAGTGCGGGTGAGAGAGTGGCGAGGATGCCTCAGGGTTTTCACTTGAGCCATCACTTGAGCTGGGTGGGAGGGAACTCTGTTTGGTAGGGGAACAGGCTAAGGGTAGGGATTGCAGGGAGGGTGAGTTGAATTGTTAACACAATTATCCCCTTCCATAGTGCCTTTATCTTTCATGCCACAGCAAGACCAAAATCCAATAATACATATAATGTCTTACATTTACATGTCCATCCATGGCAGCACTCACTTCTGGGTCACAGTTTCCTGACCATACAGAATCATTTCAGGCTGGGTGTGGTGGCTCACGCCTATAATCCCAGCACTTTGGGAGGCTGAGGTGGATGGATGTCCTGAGGTCAGGAGTTTGAGACCAGCCTGGCCAACATGACGAAACCCTGTCTCTACTAAAAATACAAAAATTAGCTGGGCATGGTGGCGGGCACCTGTAATCCCAACTACTTGAGAGGCTGAGGCAGGAGAATCGCTTGAACCTGGGAGGCGGAGGTTGCAGTGAGCCGAGATCGCGCCACTGCACTACAGCCTGGGTGATAGAGTGAGACTCTGTCTCAAAAAAAAAAAAAAATCATTTCAATCCAGTTCAGTGCTGTTTTAGCTCTTTTCTCTTCCCTTATTGAAGACATGAAGATGCTGTGTTGATACTTGGATTTTGTTTTCCAAGCTGGCAAGGATGTATTTATGGGCTTTGATGAGTATACTTAATATGCTGGAAGTCTTTCAGAGGGAAGTCTGAAGTGTGTTTCTACTGTCCACGGCTGCAGCCACACCGTCTCTGGAGCACAGAGGGATCTGGATCTCACCTGATCCAGATTCTGCACTGTTGCTTCGGAATGGACTCTCAGAAAGCCCTTCTCTTCTGTCAGGGCTTTTTGGTTTTTTTCTAGACTTTTCTCATGAAATCATTTCAGATAATCAAGGGTCACCTAATTGAGGTTTTACTAGACTTCTGTTTCCTTTTTTTTTATTATTATTTTTGAGATGGAGTTTCGCTCTTGTCATCCAGGCTGGAGTACAGGGGTGCAATCTCAGCTCACTGCAACCTCTGCCTCCCGGGTTCAAGCGATTCTCCTGCCTCAGTCTCCCAAGTAGCTGGAATTACAGGTGCCTGACACCATGCCCAGTTAATTTTTTGTATTTTTTCTAGAGACGGTTTTCGCCATGTTGGGCAGGTTGGTCTTGAACTCTTGAACTCCTGACCTCAGGTGATCCACCCGTCTCAGCCTCCCAAAGTGCTGGGATTACAGCATGAGCCACTGGCCGACTTTTGCTTCCTTTACAGATTACTTTGCAGATTGACATCCAGGCTATACCCTTGTTTATGTGAGCGAGGCTGTGTTGTAGGCACTGGCACTATACTTACACAGAAGTTGGCAACTTCTCATTGCCTTGCACAAATGTGGATAATAGTAATAACAAACTAATGTTGAATGATTAGAATTTTAATCAGTTCTTTAAAAGTAGCCATTATTTTGGCATGTTAGGTAGGGAGAGATTCAAATTATTTATGTTATCTTCCCAACTTGAGAATGGCATTATTAGATCAAGCCATTAGACTTATAGATTGCGGAAGATTTAGATGTACTTCTTAATTATGAAAATTACATTTACCTTACTCAAATAACCCCATATATACCTAAAAGTTTTAATAAACTAAAGCATGACCACATGACTCAATCAGCTGTCCGTAATAACCTGTGGTATAGGTAGGACTTAGTTGGGCAAAGGGTGAGATGTGGCCATCTTCACGGGCTCATAAGAGATAACCAAGGTCCCTTCAGGTCGGCCAGCCTCATCATGCCTCAGCTCTTTCTAATCCTGCTTATTAGTAAGGTGGATGTTTATTCATTTATTTATTTGGTTAGTTAAATAACAGGCCGCAATTTACTGTGTTACTTAAATTTTACTTAAGTAAAATTTAAGAAGAAGAAGAAGATGATGACTGTAAAAACAAAGGTGTGAATATATTTAGCTATACATGAGATAGGATATCAAATACATAAATAGTTCAATTTGCAGTTGCACAGTGCCATTTCACCCAGGTTAAACAATAGGAAGACTCGATGCATACGTGTCATCTGTAAATGCTCTCATGTGAAAGAAATTGTGAAGTAAAATAAAGTATCTTGAGTAGAAATTTTTCTACATTTTCTCAAAATATATTTGGATTGGTCTGTATCTGTTCTGCTTTTTCATTTGTATGCCCTTTGAATTCTCTTTTTATGCTGATGTAGTTAATTGTAGTTAGAAAATATTTGCATAAACATAGAAGAATACATATGATTTCTTTGGAAAATTAACAGGATAGTAAAGGTTATCATCAAAATAAAACGAAACAATGAGGGGATATGTTGAGCACTTTTTATTTATGAAGTGCTGTAACTACATGTTCATCAAGGCTGTAAAAGCATGGTTCTTAAGTGGAATTCAATCTCTAATTCTTTTTTGAGTATTGCTGACCTCTCACCTGATAAATCACTGGATTACTTAAGTTTGTTCTTTTTTTTTTTTTTTTAACAGGTAACTTTCGACCGACTTTCCCCAAGAGAAAATTCCTAGAAATTGAACAAAAATGTTTCCACTGGCTTTTGCCTGTAAGAAAAAAAATGTACCCGAGCACATAGAGCTTTTTAATAGCACTAACCAATGCCTTTTTAGATGTATTTTTGATGTATATATCTATTATTCAAAAAATCATGTTTATTTTGAGTCCTAGGACTTAAAATTAGTCTTTTGTAATATCAAGCAGGACCCTAAGATGAAGCTGAGCTTTTGATGCCAGGTGCAATCTACTGGAAATGTAGCACTTACGTAAAACATTTGTTTCCCCCACAGTTTTAATAAGAACAGATCAGGAATTCTAAATAAATTTCCCAGTTAAAGATTATTGTGACTTCACTGTATATAAACATATTTTTATACTTTATTGAAAGGGGACACCTGTACATTCTTCCATCATCACTGTAAAGACAAATAAATGATTATATTCACAGACTGATTGGAATTCTTTCTGTTGAAAAGCACACACAATAAAGAACCCCTCGTTAGCCTTCCTCTGATTTACATTCAACTCTGATCCCTGGGCCTTAGGTTTGACATGGAGGTGGAGGAAGATAGCGCATATATTTGCAGTATGAACTATTGCCTCTGGACGTTGTGAGAATTGTGCTTTCACCAGAATTTCTAAGAATTTCTGCTAAATATCACCTAGCATGTGTAATTTTTTTTCCTTGCCTGTGACTTGGACTTTTGATAGTTCTATAAGAATAAGGCTTTTTCTTCCCTTGGGCATGAGTCAGATACACAAGGACCCTTCAGGTGTTACTAGAAGGCGTCCATGTTTATTGTTTTTTAAAGAATGTTTGGCACTCTCTAACGTCCACTAGCTTACTGAGTTATCAGGTGCAGGTCAGACTCTTGGCTACAGTGAGAGGCAGCTTCTAGACAGAGTTGCTTAATGAAAGGGTTTGTAATACTTTACAAACCATTACCTGTACCTGGCCTGGCCTCCAAAATATTAACATTCTTTTTCTGTTGAAACTCGCGAGTGTAACTTTCATACCACTTGAATTTATTGATATTTAATTATGAAAACTAGCATTACATTATTAAACGATTTCTAAAATCAAAACATACTTAATCTGATACCAAGGAAGGGAGGGAGTGGTTATAAGCAAATGAAAACAAATTTTGAGAGACAGAGCAAAAGTAAAATCATTCTATAGAAAAGGTGTGTTTATTTCTTAACTCTTGAGTTCTTTTAAAATTAGAACCTAAATGATGCAGTCAGGGGTATGACCAATTCCACATGAGTGTCACCTGTACATTTTATTACCACTACCTCCAGTTTCCAAGGCAGGGAAGAAGAGGGGAATAGTCAAAGCAATATGACTAGCTAGGTTTGGGCTGCTGTTTGGGCTGCTGTTTTTCCTGGACTTTTATGCCAAACTACATAAATACTTCTTGGAATTCCTGATTTACGCTCAACTTTGATCCCTGGACCCTAGGGCCATTAGTTTCCTTGAAGCAGTCCTGCTGGTGGATGAGCAGGGAAACTTGTAGACCCTGGGAAGCCAATTGGTAGAGGGTGCCTGCCCGCCCCATCAGACTGTCCCAACTGGGGTGGGGGTGAGGATCATAGTGATTTCTTTTTAAAAGCTAGTATGACTAGTGAGAATGGATGTCCAAGGGCTTTTCTCTTCCTCCCCCGAGTCCACGATTCTTCATTTGTGATCAGGGTTGGGGTAACTTCACCTTGGTGATCATATATTCTTTTTACAAACCAATCCAGCCAAGATATATGTGCTTTTCTAAACAGCTTGTAAAAGCAAAAACACAATGTATACACATATAAAACTGATTTTTTTTTTTTTGCTTATATACTTTGCTCAGGTGGAGAACAAGGTATGAAAGCCATTATATGGTGTCCCTTGGGGACCATCCCATAAGTCCAGGGTGTTCCCAATATACCCACAAGACAACATGTTCAAAACTTCATCACCTGGTCCCCACAAACCTACCACCCTCTTCCATTCCCTCACTCTGGTAAAAGCAAGCCATCTTCTCCAGTTACGCAAGGCAGAAGCCCAGGAGTGAGCACAATGCTGCCCTTTCCCTTGCTTCTGACTTCTCATCAATCCTATTAGAACTACTGACTGCACCCCACCTCTCCTCCATCCCCACGATCACTGCCTTCATATGAACTGCCTTTCCTGTCCTCTGGACTTTCAGTGGCTTCCTTTTTTGCTCACCTGTCCACTTTCTTCCCCTTCCCTCTCTCCATCCCTCCACATAGTCATCAGAAAGATCATCAAAACAGGCAAATGTGACTGTATTATTTCCCTCACTTATCTTTGTATGCAGTTTAGAGTGATTTTTAAGAGCACACACTTTGAAATTAGGAGAACCTGTGTCTGAATCCTGATTTTTGCCATTTGTGTGACTTGTCAGGTTATTTAATCTCTTTGAGCCTGTCCCTCCTCAGTGAAATAGGAATAATAATACCTACCTCATAGAGTTGTTGTGAGGATTCAGTGAGATAGACTGTTTCTAAAGTGTGTAGCACAGTGCCTGGCACATAGTGGGTGCTCACATTGGAGCACACTATTGTCGCTATCCCTGCAGGTGTGAGTTTTACATCCTTTCCAAGAGGCATTTGCTAATAACCCTAACTACCGCCTATCCCTGTGACACTATTTTCTGCCTCAGCACCCTATTTCTTTTGTAGACATTTTCTAAGTCTGTATTTTATTTATTTGTTGGCTTTTTGTCTATTTCTCTACTAGAATGTAAGCTCCATGAGAGCAAGGATGTGTTTGTCTGATTTCCCGTTACAGCCCCAGCACTTAGCTGAGTGACTGGCACCTAGTAAGCACTCAGTAACTGTTTGCTGAATAAATGGAAGAATGGTCAAAAGGCTCTTCTTGATCTGATCCCTGCTTGTCTGTCTGGCCTCATGCTGCCACTATTCCTCACTGCACCTTCAGCTCAAGAAAAACCTCTTTACTTGCTTCTTTGAAGTGCCCCTTGGGCCTCTGTGTCTTTGTACCTGTTGTTCCCTTTGCCTGAAACACCCTTTGCCTGCCCGTCTACATGGTGAATTCCTAATCATTGATGAAGTCTCAGCTCAATGGCTACCTCCTCTGTGAAGCTGTCCCTGATTTCTTCAGGCAGATGTTCTTTCCCGCCTTCCCTGTTCCCACCGCACTTTGTAAATACCTCCATGGAAGCACTTTATTGTATTGTATTGTAATTTTTTTTTGCATGTCTGTTTCTACTATTAGACTGTAAGCACCGTAAAAGCAGAGATTGTGCTTTTTCATCCTCATGTTCCCCGAGCCTAGCCCAGTGCCTGGCACGTAATAGCTTGTCATTAAATATTTGTTGAATGAATCTGTGAATGAACAAGAGTCATGCAGTTGGAAAAGTGTTAGAAGCTGTATGTATTATAAAGGAAAGAAATGCCCTTGGTGGCTTCCAGGGTGTTTTTTTTTTTTTTTTTGGTCTAAAGAGGAGATCTAGAGAGTGTTATACAATCTCTTTGAATATAAGATTACTCGTTTGGATTTTTAAAATAATATAGATCTTCATAAATAATTGCAAAGATATAAACAAGCTTTGTGATTTCTCAAATGCTATGAAGTCCAAAATAAATATTTGCACTATTAGTATTTCCATAGTAAATGCTATGAGAAAATGTACAGCAATAAATTTTGAAGCTTTAAAACTGTTTGTGTAAGTCATCTTCAATGACTTAATCCATGAAGGACATCTCTGGATCATGTTTCTCGGGCACAGGGGACATCAGACTGGGGGGTGGGGTCCCAAAGTTCACAGGTAGGGCAGGGAACACCAGTCAGTTACAACCCAATTAGCTAGCAGTAGCTGTGGGATTTGGACTTGGAGCAGCAGGCTGTCAAAATGCATGACTCGAAGGATCTGGAGTAGGCTTTAAAATTTTAATTTGCATGCTGGTTTTCTCTATAAGGGCACATGCAAATTTTATGTGAAAATAGTTACTTTTATCAATTATTTGACTTTTAATGATGGGAAAACAAAAAGTGTTTTATTTCCTCACATTTATATAGCATTTAATAATTTATGGAACACTTTCACCTCCATTAATGTTATCTTTGAATTTTAATCTACATGTAAGCCATGTAATATGTACATATTCTTCTTCTCCTCATTTATGAGTTAAGGAATCTAAGACCCAGATAAGTTAAATGACTTATCCTAGCCAATAAGATTCAGAGAGGGAAATTTGAATGTAAAGGTTTTCTGTCTCGAGAACGCCACACAACCTTCCAATGCTATTCTCCACTCGGGTCTTAAGCTGACAAAAAGCAACACAGTTTGGTTTAACAAGTACAGTATGACTGTGGCCTGAAAGCAGAGCGATTCTTCCTAGGAGATCTGGTCCTTTTGTGGGTGACTAGTCAAAGCTTTTCCAGTAAACCTCCCTGCTGAGAAATCTTTACTAGGATTATTTATCTTATAAAAGAGGTGAGAATAGGTAAAGCTTCTTAATCACAGAATGTTAGGAATTATTTTTATCCGACGGTTAGCGTTTTCTTTGTAGTACTTTCAGCTTTTTGCCTCATGAACTTGATCCTCTGAGAAGTCTGGCAGCAAGATGCAACTGGACCATAGGCCCTGGGGCAAGAGTCCCCAACCTTTTTGGCACCAGGGACTGGTTTCATGGAAGACAATTTTTCCAAAGAGCAGGGTGGGGTGGGGTGATGGTTCTGAGATGAAACTATTCCACCTCAGATCATCAGGCATTAGATTCCCATAAGGAGTGTGCAATCTAGATCCCTCGCATGTGCGAGTCACAGTAAAGTTTGTGCGCCAATGAGAATCTAATGACACAGCTGATCTGAGAGGAGGCGGAGCTCAGGCGGGAATGCCTGCTCACCTGCTCACCTCCTGCTGTGTGGCCCTGTTCCTAACAGGCTGAAGATCAGTACGAGCCTGCTGCCGCCCAGGGCTTGGGGCCCCTGATGTAGGGCATGTGTAAAACCATTCACTGGGAGTGGGACCTTTTAATATTTGTTTTTATCTAATGTTATTGTGATTCTAATTTTTGAGTGTTTTTTAATATACATATTAGTAGAACAGTACATGTATATTATTTGTAAGTAAATATCCATAAATTTGGGAATACGTTTTTGTCTCAGAAAGGATTTATTAGCAAAGGAGTTTTGAGACCACTGCTCCAGTGCAGGACTCCTCATCGGGGGTCCATATTCCCCTGGAGTCAAGGAGCCTGCCAGACTCTTGCCATTACATACACAATTTTATGACGATGTGCCTTTCTCCTGGGGTAGTATCAGTAGCTTCTGTAGAATTCTCAGTGGGGAATGTATATCCAAGAATGAACCACTGAGGGCTGGTCTAGTGATTTCACTCCACTCTTGAGGCAGAATGGCTGTCACATACAAATTCAGATCATCTACAGCTTGATTTGTTATTGTTGTTGTTGTTGCATTTGTTGGTAGCCTCCAAATGACTTTCCATTTTGATTTAATGAATTAATGCTAACAAAATACCTAATAGAGTGGCCTCCGTATGGTAATGTATTTCATAAATGGGAGCAACCGCTTCCCCCAAAAACAAACAAACAAAAAACGCTGGTAAATTGTTAGGTATTGGAATATGCTTCTTGGGGAGTTACCTTGATTTTCGCTGACTGGATAAATATTCCCTGGACTGAGAGAGAACCAAAGCAGGGAGTTAATTGTGTGTGTGTTGGGAGAGGTTGATAGCAAGCAAGAATATGCTTGTTGAACACAGCATGATTCATACGAAGGCCTTACACCCAACAGTAGCTAGTTGTGAGAAAACAGAAACATTTGGAAACTTGAGGGGACTGATACAAATAGCAACATGGTAGAATGTGCTACTGGGAATGAATGCCTTCTTTTAAACCTTTCTCTTCCTCTCTTCTGTCTCCTACAAGAGCCGAGTCACTTAGTATAATTTTACAAATGAGAAAACTATAACCTTCCAACTATGACTTTCATTTTAAGAAACTCATGTGGCTTTTTGGAACAAACAAGATTTTGGTTTTACAGAAGCTGCTGTGAGAAGAGGATGAATTAGTCACCTAACTCTGAAAACATTTAACACTGGGGGTGGAGGGCTGGGGGAAGGGTGAATGCATTATTACTCAGTGAGTCAGAAACACACTCAACTTTACTGGAACTTTGTATTCATTCAAGGAATGGTCACAATCTTTGTTGTTGTTGTTCTTCCTCTTCTTTTTTTAAAATGACATTCCATAGGCTCTATTGCCATTTTATTAAAGATCAGTAGAAAGGCAAGAGGAAATATGGGTGTGAATTAAAGAATGGAGATAATTCAAATTACTCAGGGAAATTTCTTTGTGATAGGGTGGGACTGAGGTCCCTGATTTTTTGCTGACTGTTAGTCGGGGTTTGTCCTCAATGTCTAGAGGCTGCCCACATTCCTTGGCTAATGGCTCCTTTCATCGTTTTTGTTTGTTTGTTTTTGTTTTTGTTTTTGTTTTTTTTTGAAAGCCTCGCTCTGTCATCCAGGTTGGAGGCTGGAGTGCAGTGGCTTGATCTTGGCTCACTGCAGCCTCTGCCTCCCGGGTTCCAGTGATTCTCCTGCCTCAGCCTCCTGGGTAGCTGGGATTACAGGCATGCGTACAACCATGCCTGGCTAATTTTTATATTTTTAGTAGAGATGGGGTTTCACTATGTTGGCCAGGCTGGTCTTGAACTACTGACCTCAGGTGACCCGCCCACCTCGGCCTCCCAAAGTGCTGGGATTACAGGCATGAGCCACCATGCCCAGCCAGCTGCCTTAATCTTTAAAGCCAGAAATCAGGTCAATTTGTCTTATTGCTCCAACTTCCCCTTCTGCCTCATGTCTTTCACTCCAGCCAGAGAAAGTTCTCTTCCTTCAAAAACTCATTTAATTAGATTAAGCTCACCCAGATAATCCAAGATAATCTTTCCATTTTGAGATCTGCAAACTTAATTGTATCTGCAGAATCACTTTAGCCATGTAACCTAACATGATTACAATTTCTAGACATTAGAGCATGGGTAATTTTTTGGAAAAGGGCCTTCTGCCTGCCACATACTGTTAGCTACAAGTAACAGATTATCAGTCTCAGATGGCTTAAACAATAAGGAAATGTACATTAAATGTATCTAAAAGACAATTCTAGGCTACTTTAGATTCTTAATGCAAACCACAGGGCTCTAGCTTTGCTTCTGTGTAGTCTTCTAATCATGGCCTCTCCTTCGTGAATTGACTTCAGCCTCAGCTCAGTAGCAAGATGCTTCCAGGTGTCCAGACATGACAATGGCAAGAAGGAGAAGATAGATGTCTTCCTGTGCCTGCTTTTTATTATTTATTTATTTATTTACTCTTTTAAATATATGATAGAGATAGGATCTCGCTATGTCGACCAGGTTGGTCTTGAACTCCTGATCTCAAGCAATTCTGTCTCAGCTTCCCAAAGTGCTGGGATTACAGGTATTAGCCACCACACCCAGCCATATGCCTGCTTTTTAGAAGGCCCCAAACACTTTCCCTTGTACCTCATTGGCTAGAATTGGTTAACACGCCCATTCCTAAACTAGTTGCTGAGAAAGGGGGTTGGAATTACCCCAGATGGCTTAGATTAATCATCATATGGGAGTGTTGGGGCTGCTAGGGGGTCAACCACAACACCTGCTTCAATCTTCTGTCTCAAACTGCCTGCTATTCTTTTGTGCTTTCCCCTACCTTTGTGCTTTCATTTTTACTGGTTTCTCTGTAGAATTAGCTTCTTTTTTTCTCACAATCAGTCCGGACCCTATATTTTCTTTTCTTTTTTTTTTCCAGATCCCATCTTTTACTTAAGCCAAAAAAAAAAAAAGCATCACATTTCTTTCCTAAAGCCTTGTCAAATGCATTCCTCCCTCCAATCTGTCCCTTCTCAGTAGCGTGACTCTGCCTGACACCTTGTATATGAGTACATATTGCCTGTTCCTCAAATGCTTCTCATATTACCTAAGTTATAAGTTCCTCTAAGACATGAATATGACTTCTTAAAAGAATGGATTTGGGCATGAGTTCATAAACTCATTCCCAAATGAGTTAAGTATCAAAGTTGGAGGACACAGTCTTCCACAAGACCACCCTCACTTCTGACACCACTGCAATCTCCTAAACTTGCACAACCACCCTCAAGTTTGATAATTTGCTAGAAGGACTCACAGGACTTGCTAAAAATTATTATGTTCATGGTTATGATTTGTTGTAGGGAAAGAATACATGTTAACATTAGCCAGAGAGATACACAGTCTGCAAGGGTTCCAAACTTAAAGCCCACATTGTCCTCCTCCCATTGAGTGAGGAGACATTACCCTCCTAGCATTGATGTGTGATATATACGGGGTATTGCCAACCAGGAAAACTCACCTAAGCTTTGGTGTTCAGAGTTTTTAACCAGGACTGTGCTTAAGACATGATTGATTGACTGCCCACACGATTTTACTCAGTCTCCAGGTCAACTGAATGCATAACACAAAATCCCCACCCTAACTCACATGGTTGATCTTTCTGGAGTGGTCAGATCCTACCCTGACACATGTGGCCCTACCCTAAAATCCAGTCTGACCAGGTCACACCCTAAAAAGAAGACACCTTTTATCAGATATGACCTAGAATATCCCCCAGACACTGAGGGGAAAGGCTAGTTCTTTATTTGGGCAAGGCCAGATTCTTTATTTCATACTTTGTGATAAGTATTTTGGTAGTAAACACTAATTTGGTTATTACTGTGGCCCTGAGAAAAGTTCCCTTGATAATTAAATTAATATTTAGCTATTCTAGAATTATCATATTTTAAGAGCAATTAGCATTTAATGCCATTCCACTAACGCTTTGTTTTTCAACTTTATTCTTTCTATGTAGGAATACTTTCTTGTAATCATCGCATAAAATAAGCAAGATAATTTCTCTGTTGTGCTTCTTCACAAATTAGATAAGATAATTAAGACATAATTGCTTTCTTTTTCCTTAATATGGAGCAAATAAATAGTTCAAGAATATACAACAAGGGCATAGACTGAGTAATCTTGCAAACACTTTACCTCCTGGAAAGCAAAGGCAATGATCTCCATTAAAATTCAGCAATAATACTTAGTTATTATAGCAATTACAAAGCCATAGGTCTTTCCTATCTCTAATATGTTTTAAACCTTTTTAAATACATTTTTTGTCTATACCATATTAGAACTATTTTGGTTCTAATCTTATGACTCTAATAAAAGAGATAAACCAACTCAGTGAGGCTATAGGACAAGAGACAAAGTCTTGACATATATTATTTCTATAATAAAGTCATCATTATCTGGGCAGTCCTGAGGTTCCAAAGTCGATATATCAAGGTGAAAAATATCTCTCTCTATCCACCCAGTCAAAATTACCCTAGAAAACTTTCTAAACCCCTATAAAGTACACCATATATAGTTTGGCATATTCAATTCTATAAAGTAATTCTTTTTTTTTTTCTTTTGAGACAGGATCTTGCTCTGTCAATCAGGCTAGAGTGTAGTGGCAAGATCTTGGCTCACTGCAGCCTTGGCTTCCCAGGCTCAAGTGATCCTCCCATCTCAGCCTCCCAAGTAGCTGGGACTACCAGCACATGCTACCATGCCCAGCTAATTTCTTTTTTTTTAAATAGAAATGAGGTCTCACTATGTTGCCCAAGCTCAAGCCATCCTCCTGCCTTGGCCTCCCAAGTGTTGGGATTATAGGCATAAGCCTCTGGGCCTGGCCAAAGTAGTTCTTAAAATTAGTCTAAAGCAGTGATTCTCAGTCTAAGACAGCTTTGCCTTAGACTGCCTAGGAAATACATGACAACAGTAAACCATTTTTGGTTGTCACAATGAGGGGAGAATAGTGCAGTAGTTATTGACATCAAGTGCATAAAGGCCAGGCATGCTGCTAAAAGTCCTGCAACGCACAGGACACACCCCGAAAATATCAATACTGCCAAAACCCGATTTAAGGAAATACCTATTTTTAAGGCTCTATGGAGAAGTCTGATCATTTCTTTTTGGCTTTCAGGTAACTGTCAATCTCCAGAAGTGAATGGAGGGTGGAGGGGAGGGTAGAGAATTCTAAAGTGTTCCCGCATGCCTGAAAAGCTACATACCATTTTATTTTTGTTTTTATGTTTCTGGTTGGGGTTCATTTATTCAACACATATATTAAGCACTTAATTTGTACAGTTGCTTTTTAAAAAACTAGGCATAATTCAGTGAACAAAGATGACAATCCTGGGCCTCAGTTCTCTTTTGGGAGTCAGACACTCACAGGTCATGTCCACAGAATGTTAAATGTGATGCCCTATCAGGGACCCCTCTAGGTATGGATGCATTTCCCCAAATTCTGACCTCAGGACCAAGTATACCATTTAAATAGATTCAGAAAAAGTATTTGACATAACTTACCATTCTTTTATGATAATAACTCTCAGTATATTCAGTGTAGAACAAATGTACCTCAACCCAATACAGACCATGCATGACAAATGCACAGGTAAC
The DNA here is from genome assembly GCF_000001405.40 of Homo sapiens. NCBI lineage: Eukaryota > Metazoa > Chordata > Mammalia > Primates > Hominidae > Homo > Homo sapiens. The sequence goes on along the minus strand of NC_000018.10, from coordinate 54,144,758 downwards.
ATCATACTAAACAAAAACAAGTAAGGCTTTTTCTCTAAGAGCTATAACAAGACAGGGAAGGCCACTTTCATCACTTTTGTTCGACATAGTACTGGATGTCCAAATCTGAGCCTTTAGAGAACAAAATCAAAGTCATCCAGATTGTAAAGGAAACAGTTAAATAGTCCTTCTTTGCAGATGATGTAATTTTATATAATAAAAATCCTAAACACTCCACCAAAAAACTTCGAACTAATAAATTCTGCAAACTTTCAGGATACAAAATTAAAACACAAAAGTCAGTAGCATTTCTATACAGTAAGAACATATTCTCTGAAAAAGAAATCAAGAAACAATCACAACTACATAGCTATAAAATATATATTTAGAAATACATTTAACCAAGAAAGTGAAAGAGCTCTACATTAAAAGCCAAAGAATATTAAGGTAAGAAATTAAGTAAAGATTGGGCATGGTGGCTCACTCCTGTAATCTCAGCATTTTGGGAGACCAAGGCAGGAGAATCATTTGAGCCCAGAAGTTCAAGACTCGCCTGGGAAACATAGAGAGACCTCATCTCTACAAAATTTTAAAAGTTACGCAGACATGGTGGCATGCACCTGTGGTCCCAGCTATTCAGAAGGCTGAGTTGGGAGGATTACTTGAGCCCAGGCGGTTTAGGCTGCATGAGCCACGGTTGTGTCACTGAATGCCAGCCTGGGTGATAGAGCAAGACTCTGTCTGGAAAAAAAAAAAGTAAAAGACAAACAAAAAGAAAGATGTTCTTTATTAATAAATTGGTAGAATTAATATTGTTAAAATGTTTATGTTACCTAAAATGATCTACAGGTTTAATACAATCAGTGTCAAAATAACAATGACATTCTTCACATACAAAAGGAATCACCCAATTTATATGGTACCACAAAAAACACTGAATAGTCCAAATAATTGAGCAAAATAAAGTAAAGCTGAAGGCATCACAGTACTTCACTTTGAAATATACTACAAAGCTATAATAAGCAAAACTGCATGGTATTGGCATAAAAACAGACACATAGTACAATAGAGCAGAATAGAGAGCCCAGAAATAAATCCATGCATTTACAGCTAACTGATTTTAGACAAAGGTGACAAAAACACATAATAGTTAAAGTACAGTCTCTTCAGTAAATGGTGTTGGGAAAAAATGGATATCCACATGCAGAACGAAGAAATGAGACCCTCATCTCGTCTCATACCACATATAAAAAACAACTCAAGATGGATCAAACACTTAAATATAACATCTGAAACTACTGGAAGACAACATAAGGTAAAAGAAAATATGATATTGGTTTGGGCAATTACTTTTTGAATTTAACCTGAAAATGCCAGGAAACAGAAGTAAACACAGACAAATAAGATTATTTCAAACTGAAAAACTTCTGCACCGCACTAGATACAATCAATGGAATGATAACCTAGGAATGGGAAAAATATTTCCAAATTATGAATCTGACAAGGAATTAATATCTAAAATATTTAAGAATCTCAACCAACTATGTAACAAAAACAAATATGTATTAAAAATAAGGAAAAAGCTTAGGCATTTCTCAAAGGAAGACACACATATGACAAATAGATATATTAAAAATGTGAAACATTAATAATTATCCAGGAAAGGCAAATGAAAACCACTATGAGATATTAACTCACTCCTTTTAGAATGACTATTATTAAAAAGGCAAAAAATAACAAATGCTGGCAAAGATTTGGAGAAGGAGAATGCTTGCACACTGTTGGTGTGGATGTAAATCAGTACAGTCATTATAAACTTTCCCAGTTGTATTAGTCTATTTTCACACTGCTATAAAAGAACTGCCCAAGACTGGGAAATTTATAAAGAAAAGAGGTTTAATTGACTCAGAGTTCCGCATGGCTGAGGAGGCATCAGCAAACCTACAATCATGGCAGAAGGAGAAGCAGGCACGTCTTACATGGCAGCAGGTGAGAAAGCATGTGAAGGAGGAACTGTCAAACACTTAAACAACCAACAGATCTTGTGAGAACTCACTATCGCAAGAACAGCATGGGGGAAACCATCCCCATGATTCACTCACCTCCCACAAGGTCCCTCCCTTGACACCTGGGGATAGCAATTCAGATTACAATTCAAGATGAGATCTGGGTGGGGACACAGAGCCATACTATATCATGAGTCTTTCCTTAAGTGTAAATTATAATGACCACCACAGTTTCCATACCTTCTCAGTATTGGTATTTTTTTTTTAATGAATCTTTTGTGCATTGCTCTGGCTAAAGATCTTGGGTCAAATGAGAAGACATAGCTGAATGTTTGACTACTGTCTCATGTCTTGTCACATTCCAGGGCTCTATTCTTTGCTCTAGGCAGGTGATCAAACCTGGCTTAGAGACAGTGAGGCCAATGGAGAACAAGTTTCCATAGTTCTCTAACATCACATCCCTATACAAATTTTGCTGAGCAGGGTCGAGGAATTTCCACTTCTCCAGAGAGAATTCTATGGCCACATAATGTCAACAGCTTCATTTCCTGGCTTCCAGGGATCCTGGTGTTTGACTTAGGGATCTCCCAATACCTTCAGGTCACAGGGCCATATATGAGCAGAGAACATAGAGCAGTGAAGACAGGAACTGGAGCTCTGTCTGGAGTGAGAGACAATAGCCCCACCCCATTCTGGTTTAAAACGAAACTTGAGTTTATTTAAAAAAAAATATACATTAAAATTTAGCCTTTTTGATGTGCAGTTCTGAGTGTTGACAAATGAATAGAATCCACTGCCGTAATTACACAGAGCTATTTTATCACCTCCCCAAATTCCTTAGTGATACTCCTTCATAGTCAACACCTTCTTTACCCTGATCTGTTGTCAGCCACTGATTTGTTCTCTGTTTCTATAGTTTTGCCTTTTCCAGAATGTTGTATAAATGGAATTATGCAGTATGTAGACTTATGGGTCTGGCTTCTTTCACTTAACATAATACATTGAGAATAATTCACATATCAAGAGTTTATTATTTTATTGCCATAGATTTTTAAAATCCATTGTTATCCTTTCACCTGTTGAAGGATAATACTTCATTCTGTTCTAATAGCAAAGATTGATAACCTTGACACATTTTGAAATTTTTTTGTTGTTGGGAGAATCAAATACAAGAGAAGGCTTATATCCTGTACATAATGAAGTTCCAAATTCAATGTAGGTCAAAGGCACAAATGACGCAATTGCTCTGTTTTTAACCATTGTGTTTTTTGCTTCAGAGAACTGCATTCATTCACCTCAATATATGCTCAAGATTGTGCTGTATGCAATCATGAAAATGTAAAATACTCTACAGATGCAACACATATCCCAGCATAATAGTCAAAGCCTGGCAGGAAATTGATGCCACCCTCGAACAGATTAACTAAATGTTACTCAAGGAAGGAACTCAGTGAAGGGATTATTTTCATAGGTGTTGGCAGTGTTTGAATCAAATGCTTGTTAAACATTCAGAGACCAGCCACACCAAGAACCGAACAGGAAGCCAGAAGGCATGTGTGTAGAGCCCAGCTTTCTGGAACACAGGGCAAGTCAGAGAAAGATGGGTTGGGACAAGGGGCCACACTGAGTAACCTGCACACCCTGTTAGGCTCATCTTCTGTCCTTGTCTTTCCACTAATGTTGGTTTTGCTCTTGTTCTTGTCCCCAGTTCTTTCCCCTTTAGTTCTACAGAAATATAATCAATTCTTTAAGGCCCTTTCTTTATAAATTGCTTCACCCTTACTCCAGTCAACTTTGATCTTTTCTCACCTCTGCTGTTCATGACATCAGTTGTCTGTATCCCACATTCTGGCAGTTGGTTACGGTCATTTGGGGTTGTTATTCTATGCAGTCTTATTCCTAACCAATCCTATTGCTTTGTCTCATCTTCATAACCAGATTGTAGTGACTAAGCAATGTCTTTTATTTCCCACAGTTCTTGGCATAGAGGAGACCAGATATTTTTTGAATGAATGGCCAGTCTATATCACCAGAAAGCACTTATTGCTTACTTTAATAACTGTTAGATGGAACAAAGCTGGCATATTTGTTCTCACACTGCTATAAAGAACCACCTGACACTGGTAAGAGAAAAGAGGTTTAATTGATTCATGGTTCTGCAGGCCCTACAGGAAGCATGGATGCCAGACCTCAGGAAACTTACAATTATGGTGGAAGGGCAAAGAGGAAGCAAGCATATCTTCATCTGGTGGCAGGAGAGAGAGAGCATGAAGAGGGAAGTGGTAAACTCTTTTAAACAACAATATCTCATGAGAAATCACTCACTATCATGAGAACAGCCAGGGGAAAATTCACCCCTATGATCCAATTACCTCCTGCCAGGTCCCTTCCCCAACATTGGGAATTACAATTCAACATGAGGTTTGTGTGGGGACACAGAGCCAAATTCTATTATTCTGCCTCTGGCCCTTCCCAAATCTCATGTCCTTCTCACATTTCAAAACACAATCATGTCTTCCCAATAATATCCCAAAGTCTTAACTCATTCCAGCACTAACCCAAAAGTTCAGGTCCAAAGTCTCATTTGAGACAAATTTCTTTTGCCTAGGAGCCTGTAAAATAAGAAACAAGTTAGATACTTCCAAGATACAATGGGGATACAGGCATTTGGTAAATGCTCCCATTCCAAAGTGGAGAAATTGGCCAAAACAAAGGAGCTACAGGCCCAGTGCAAGTCTGAAACCCAGCAGGGGAGTCACTAAATCTTAAAGCTTTAAAATAATCTCCTTTGACTCAATGTGTCACATCCAGGGCACACTGATGCAATGGGTGGGCTCCCAAGGTCTGGGGAAGCTCTGCCTTTGTGACTCTGCAGGGTACAGCCCCTGTGGCTGCTTTCATGGGCTGGCATTGAATGCCTGTGGCTTTTCCAGGCACAGGGTGCAGGTTGTTGGTGGATCTACCATTTTAGGGTATGGAGGACAGTGGCCTTCTTCTCACAGCTCCATTAGGCAGTGTCCCAATGGAGACTCTGTGTGGGGGTTCATATACCATATTTCCCCTCTGCACTGCTCTAGTAGAGGTTCTCCATGAGGGTTCTGCCCCTGCAGCAGACTTCTGCCTGGACATCCAGGCATTTCCATACATACTCTGAAATCTAGGCAGAAGTTTTCAAACCTGAACTCTTGCCTTTTATGTACCTGCATGCCCAACACCACGTGGAAGCTACTGAGGCTTGAGGCTTGCACCCTCTGAAACAACAGCCCAAGCTGTACCTTGGCCTCTTTTAGCCATGGCTGGAGCTGGAGCAGCTGGGACACAGGGTGCCATGTCCAGGCCACAGATCAGCGGGGCCCTGGGCATGGCCCATGAAACAACTATTCCCTCCTAGGCCTCTGGGCCTGTGATAGGTGGGGCTGCCACAAAGGTCTCTGAAATTCCTTGGAGTCATTTTCCTCATTATCTTGGCTATTAACATTCGGCTCCTCTTTACTTATGCAAATTTCTCCAGCTGGCTTGAATTTCTCCCTGGAAAATGGGTTTTACTTTTCTTGCATATGGTCAGGCAGCAAATTTTCTGAAACTTTATGCTCTGCTTCCCTTTTAAACATAAGTTCCAGTTCCAGATAATCTCTTTGTTCACACATATGAGCATAGACTATCAGAAGCAGCCAGGTAACACCTTGAATGCTTTGCTGCTTAGAATATTCTTCTGCCAGAAATCCTAAATCATCTCTCTCAAGTTCAAAGTTCCACAGATCTGTATAGCAGGGGCACAATGTCACCAGTCTCTTTGCTAAAGCATACCAAGAGTGACTTTTACTTCAGTTCTCAATAAGTTTCTCATCTTCATCTGAGACCTCAACCTGAACTTCACTGTCCCTATCACTATGAGCATTTTGGTCACAACCATTCAACAAGTCTCTAGACAGTTCCAAACTTTCCCTTATCTTTCTGTCTTCTTATAAGCCCTCCAAACTGTTCCAATCTCTGCCCATTACCCAGTTCCAAAGTTGCTTCCACATTTTCAGGTATCTTTATAGCAACACCCTACTTTTCTGGTACCATTTTTTTGTATTAGTCCATTCTCACACTTCTGTAAAGAACTATTTGAGACTGGGTAATTTATAAAGAAAAGAGGTTTAATAGACTCACTGTTCTGCAGGCTGTACAGAAAGCATGGCTAGGAAGTCTCAGGAAGCTTACAATCATGGCTCAGAAGGGCAAAGGGGAAGCAAGCACATTTTCACATGGCAGCAGGAAACAGAGTGAGCAAACAGGGATGCGGTACACACTTTTAAACAACCAGATCTCATGAGAACTCACTGTCATGAGAACAGCAAGGGGGAAATCCACCCTTGTGATCCAATCACCTTCCACCAGGTCCCTCCCCCAACATTGGAGATTACAATTCAACATGAGATTTGGGTGGGGACACAGAACCAAACCATATCTACCAGTCACAATAAGACAAATAATGTATAATTCTACTTGCTTGAGAGATCTGGAATAGTTACATTCATAGAGAGAGAAAATAGAATGGTGATTGCCAGGGGCTTAGGGAAAGGGATATTAAGAAAGTTATATTTAATGAATACTAAGTTTCAGTTGGGGAAGATGAAAACATTCTCGAGATGAATGTTGGTGATGGTTGTACCACAATGTGAATGTACTTAATGCCACTGAACTGTACACTTAAAAATTGTTAAAACTGTGAATTCTATATTATGTATATTTTACCATATTATAAAAATAAAAATAAGATAGTTATGTTAGATAATGAGTTGGACATCATTTTTATCCTCTGGCCTAACCCAAGATAATACGGGGATGTGATTTGCCTGGTAATCACAATCTTTGTGGGGCTAAAGAGAAAAAGGAAACAATATAGTATAATGCTAATGATATTCTTACGGAACTATAACTTAATTCTGATATTTATTTCCACATTTCTGTAGTATTTTTGAGTGACCTTTTTCTTATCTTAGTGACTTTCATCCTTAGAGATCAGAATTTCTTTGGCTATCATACTATTAAACAAATGTGGATAGGAGGCTACACATCTGGCTGCAACATCTACCATACCACAAATCTGCAGGATAGATTCAGCAGATCTGGCCGGAAAAGGGTATGTTGCCTTTCTCATTTATCGTTTATCAGAGAAAACAGAATGGTGATTGCCAGGGGCTTAGGGAAAGGGATATTAAGAAAGTTAATGTTTAATGAGTACTAAGTTTCAGTTGGGGAAGATGAAAACATTCTTGAGATGAATGGTGGTGATGGTTGTATAACAATGTGAATCTACTTAATTCTATATTATGTATATTTTACCATATTATAAAAATAATATGGTAATATGACCCTCCTCAAGCTCTGAGAAAAGGCAGACTTTCCAGGTAGATCTTGGCTATGGTAGTCTAAATGTGGAACTTATAAGTCATAATAGCATCTTCCTTACTACATACATTTCAGTTTTAATTTCTTTCCTTTCTTGATGACAGACTAATTTCTGTGTTTTCTTGGAAAGTTGTGGGACAATTTTTGGTTAATTCCTGAAGAAGAAAAGGTGAAATCTGATTTCATCATCTGTAGTAATCCTAAATAATGAAAAATTGGCAGGCTGAACTAGTGAGCACAGGAAATAACTCTCAGTTTGATTCAGTGATGTGCTATCAAAAGATGCAACTACTTTTAGAACCCTGTGTGAAGAAACAGATGAGAAGGGGGAGAGATACAGGAGGCAAGAACCCAGAGTCACTCTTGTGATCAATTAGGGGGCCACATTGGAAAAGGGAGAGAATGTCCTGCAATGACTGCCCTTCCTGCCTGGGAAATTACATAGGTAAGATACATCCAGGATAAATACTACTTTCTTGTTTCTTACCACAATCCATTTTTGCTTCCATAGAAAATGTTAATCAGTCCTTACTGAATTGGTGAACTTCCAGAGCCTAGCTCATGAAATATAGTTGGCCCTGGAATAATGTGCACAGCCAAAAATCTGCACATAACTTTCAGCTTCCCCAAAACTCAACTACTAATAGCCTGCTGTTGACTGGAACCCTTGTCAATAACATAAACAGTCAATTAATGCATATGATGTATGTTAAATGTATTATATGCTGCATTCTTGTGATAAAGTAAGCTAGAGAAAAGAAAATGTTATTAAAATCATAAAGAAGAGAAAACATTTACTATTCAATAAGTGGAAGTGCATCATTATAAAGTCCTTCTTCCTCATTGTTTTCACATTGGGTAAGCTGAGGAGGAGGGGGAAAAGGAAGGGTTGCTCTTGCCATCTCAAGGGTGGTAGAGGCAGAAGAAAACCTGCATGTAAGTGGACCAGCACTGTTCAAACCCATGTTGTTCAAGGGTCAACTGTAATAACAATAACACCAGATATACATGATCTCAATTTAAACTCACAGTAACCCTACAAGAGAGAGATTACTATCCTAATTTTGCAGATGAGAGAACTGAGTCCTAGAGGACCTTCAGCAGGGCCACTCAGCTGGTGGGCCGCAGACAGAGCTTGAACCCCAGCAGTGTGGTGCCAGGGTCCACACAGGACACCATCTTCACCTCTCAATTCTGTCTGTGTGGGTCAGGTTAGTATATTTGCAGAAATAATGGCACTGGGGAACCACCACGATCCTAGAGCAAGACAGATTGTGTTAAAGGGAGAGAACAACCTTTTTGGCAACAATTATTGTAAAATCTCCAGAATTGAGAGAAGTAAAATAACCTCTATTAAGTGGTGAATGGAGAGTTTGAGAGCAGTAGGGGAACTGGGAATGAGGAAAGAATGAGAAAGGTGAGAAAATGTGGCTTATGATAGAAATACATACATATATATTCCTTATTCCCTATTTTAAAATGTATAGATGGGACCATACTCATATATACAGGAAATGATAAGGAAAAATGATGATTAAAAAAAAGCAAAAACAAAACCTTGCGTCAAAGATTGAAAGAAAATAAAGGAATAGTCTCATGGTGAGAGAAGCCACATTTAGATGTTAGAAAATATTGCTTCTTTAGCATTTTGCATCTTTGCTAGTCCCATGGTGAAAGCAGCCACATTTAGATATGTTAGAAAATATTGCTTCTTTAGCATTTTGCATCTTTGCTGTGTTTCTTTAATGCTTCACTTTTTCTAGCCTTTGGTTGGGGAGGCAGCCTCATTACCTTCATTTTTTTCCTAGCTGTCCAGATAGCTCAGGTTCAGATGGGCCAAGCAGAGTTAATGAACCAGGCAGGGTAAATGGGAAACTTTCTGTCCTCTTGGGAATAAGTCATCAATTTAATGTCTTTCCTGAATGCTACATTCTTTCTAAAAATAATATAAAAAATATGTGCAAACCAGTTTCTGAATTGTTTGTATTCAAGAAAATTTAAGATGAGCATTGCAAGCTCATTCATCAATGTCAGTGAAATACTTAAAATGAAATGTGTTCCGTGAAGCAGGCGTTAAAAAGTTACTGCTAAATTTCTAAAATAACTCTTCTGAGGTCCTATTCAAGTTTACCATACTCAGACATTTTGTCGTGATTTCTTTACAGAGCCGGTATGTAATAATTGCCCAGGCTACATCAAAGAGAACCATTTCTAGGATGGGGAACCATTTCTTTCCTCTTCTTTCCTTTTTCTTTCTTTCTTTCTTTCTTTCTTTCTTTCTTTCTTTCTTTCTTTCTTTCTTTCTTTCTTTCTTTTCTTTCTTTCTTTCCCTTCCTTCCTTCCTTCCTTCCTTCCTTCCTTCCTTCCTTCCTTCCTTCCTTCCTTCCTTCCTTCCTTCTTTCTCTTTCTTTCTTTCTTTCTTTCTTTCTTTCTTTCTTTCTTTCTTTCTTTCTTTCTTTCTTTCTTTCTTTCTTTCTTTCTTTCTTTCTTTCTTTCTTTCTTTTTGAAACAGTCTGACTCTGTCTCCCAGGCTGGAGTGCAGTGGCCGGATCATAGCTCACTGCAACCTTGAATTCTCAGCTGAAGGAATCCTTCTGCCTTAGCCTCCTGAGTAGCTGGGACTACAGGCTTATATATACCACCATCCCTTAGCTAATTTTTTTGTTTGTTTGTTTATAGAGAAAGAGTCTTGCTATGTTGCCCACGCTGATCTCAAATTCTCGGCCTCAAGCGACCCTCCTATCTTGGCCTCCAAAAGTGCTGGGATTACAGGCACGAGCCACCCCACCCATCCTCCTCTCCTCTTCTTTCTTTTCTCTCATTAGCACCACAGTGTACATAGCTTCATTTCAGAATCTGCTTCAGGAGAGGAAAAGCAATCAAGGTTGGCTGACAGAATTGAGCAATTATTTCCCTTGAACCTACATTTGGTGTTAACATTCACATCCCATCTACCTGAAATAGAGCCCTACCATTACCCTCAATTATGTATGCTGATAGTCTAGGTACTATACAGGGAGATGCAATCTTTGCCTTCTGGCCAAACCCAGTGAGTGTTTTTAACAAGGGACAGCCACAGTTTTCCCCCAAACATAAATACCTACATCTACATCTTTCATGCTTGTGAGTACTTGCCTATGAATTCTTTTCCTCTTACCATGTAATTGAATTTATGTGGGATATGAAAAGCTTTGTATTTATTGCTGACTCATTGGGAGTAATAAATTGTATCTTACATAGTATCATATTATAATATTTTAGGAATTTCAAAGCATGTAGTAGTATTTCAAAACAAGGTCCCAATAAAATTCATAATAGCAATTCCAATAGAATTCACTGTTTTTCTTCTTCTCTTTTCAATATCAACACATCAAAGTATAAAGGAATCAATGTTCTTCCTCTTTTTTGCCACCTTTCCACTTTCTGGTGTAGGGTACTTCATTGCTCCCACTCTTTCTATTACCCTGGCTATTGGTTTGCTAGGGCTTCCATAAGAAAGTATGACAGACGGAGTTGTTTTAAGCAACAGAAATGTACTTTCCTATAGTTTTGGAGGCTAGAAGTTCAAGATAAAGATGTCAGCAGGATTGGTTTCTTCTGAGGTCTCTCTCCTTGGCTGGTGGGCGACCATCTTCTCTTCCCTGAGTTTTCACTCTGTGCCTGTCTATATCCAAATTTCTGCTTCTTATAAGGACACCAGTTACATTAGGTTAGGGCCCAACCTAATGGCCTCATTTGAACTTAATCACCTCTTTAAAGGATTAAGTTTGGTCCAAATATGGTCACATTCTAAGCTACTGGGGGTTAGAAATTCAACATATGAATTTGGCAGGGGTTGGGGGTGTGGGAACACAGCTCTGCACTTAACACCCTAAATACCTCATACAACATCTCAGATGTTTATATATATATATATATATATATTTTTTTTTTTTTTTTTTTTTTTTTAGACGGAGTCTTGCTCTTTCCCCCAGGCTGGAGTGCAGTGGTGCGATCTCGGCTCACTGCAAGCTCCGCCTCCCGGGTTCACGCCATTCTCCTGCCTCAGCCTCCCAAGTAGCTGGGACTACAGGCACCCGCCACCATGCCCGGCTAATTTTTTTTTTTTTTTTTGTATTTTTAGTAGAGACGGGGTTTCACTGTGTTAGCCAGGATGGTCTTGATCTCCTGACCTCGTGATCTGCCCGCCTCGGCCTCCCAAAGTGCTGAGATTACAGGCTTGAGCCACCATGCCTGGCCGTTTATATTTGTTAAATGTATGTGAATGTTCATTGTGCCAGCATATTTTCACTATAAACATGATTTTAGTTTAATGCAAGGCTTCTTATCTACAGCCCATGGGCTACTTGGGGTAGGAGTCCATAAACATGCTGAAATCATATGCCAAAATTTATTATGTTATACAATATGAACATTTTTCTATCAGACTCTTAAAATGTTTGTCATGCAAAAAAAAATGATCTAACGACTGATGTAAAGGGATTTTGTCTTGTTTATCTCGCAACATCTTTCCAATTAATAACAAACACTCCATGTTTTGTTATTGTATTCAACAAACACATATATAGCATTGTATAACCCTGACAATGTGCCAGACTCTGTTTTAAGTGCTTCCCAAATAGGATCTCATTTAATCCTCATAGGGACACTTGAGGAAGGTAATATTTACAGATGGGGAACTGAGGTACACAAAGGTTAAGAAACTCAGGTCACAGAATTAGCAAATGGCAGAGCCAGGATTCAAAACTAGGTGCCTGGGTTAAGAGCGTTAACCACGACCTTGGACTACTTGTCCTTTCTCATCATAATACACATGAGAATTCCAAGCCATGTTATTTGCACCCACAGAATCAATGATCTTCATTACTGTGTTAGTCTGTTCTTGCATTGCTATTAATATAAAGAAATACCTGAGATTGGGTAATTTATAAAGAAAATAGGTTTAATTGGCTCACAGGTCTGCAGGCTGCACAGGAAGCATGGTGTTGGCATCTGCTTGGCTTCTGGGGAGGCCTTTGGAAACTTATAATCGTGGTGGAAGGTGAAGGGGGAGTAGGCAGGTCATGTGGCCAGAGCAGGAGCAAGAGAGTGGGGAGGTGTCACACACTTTTAAATGACTAGATCTTGCAAGAACTCATTCACTATCCTGAGAACAGCATCAAGAGGATGGTGCTAAACCATTCATGAGATATCTTCCTCCATGATCCAATCATCTCACACCAGGCCCCACCTCCAACACTGGGGATTACATTTCAACATGAGATTTGGGTGGGGAAAAATATCCAAACTATATCAATAACTATTGGCATAACTTACATTTTTTTACCCAAAACTTACAATGAGAAGGAACTTGAAAGTTCTGTGAAAGCCCTTGCTGTGTATGCATCTCACTTTGGTAACTGCTAGTATTAGAGCTCTCTACCTCCACTTAGTCAATAATTTTGTGTTTCTACAATCATGCATTCAAGCAACATCCAAACCTCCTAAATTAAACTCTTATATTTGCCTGGGATATATGGACAATGATAATTGCATGTAAACTCTATAATAATCAGAAATCGCTTTAATAATACAAATAACAATCTTTAAAACTTTATCAAGCTTTCTAGAATGTCATAGTATGTTGACCTAAAAGGAAGAAGAAGAAGCAAAATTAATAAAAGTAGAGAGTTTATTTGGGTCATGCTTGAGGATTGCAAGCATAGATTCAAGTTGCCCTGAATATGTACTCCTATTAGCAGGTGCTACAAGCAGGTTTTTTTTTTTTTTTTTTTTTTTGAGACAGAGTTTCACTCTTCTTGCCTAGGCTGGAGTGCAATGGCGTGATCTCAGCTCACTGCAACCTTGGCCTCCCGGGTTCAAGCGATTCTCCTGCCTCGGCCTCCCAAGTAGCTGGGATTACAGGCATGTACCATCACACCTGGCTAATTTTGTATTTTTAGTAGAGATGGGGTTTCTCTGTGTTGGTCAGGCTGATCTCGAGCTCCTGACCTCAGGTGATCCGCCCGCCTTGGCCTCCCAAAGTGCTGGGATTACGGGTGTCAGCCACTGCGCCCAGCCACAAGTAGGTTTTTAAAGGAAAAGAGAGAGTTCCTAAATTGTTAACCAAAAATCTACATTAAAATAATAAGATATGATTGGCTATACATTGTTCTTTGTGTCACAAATTCCAGAAACATAAAGACTACGAGTGAAACAGCAAGTCAGGAACAAAATGCCTTTAAACAATTGTCCCCAGGCAGGGGTTGGTAGGAGTGGAAGTCCCATACTCATATCTTTCTGGGCCTGATAAATGACTGAAGTCCCATACTTTTGCCTTTCTGGGGCTGATGCATTTTGCATAGCTCACATAGCTCAGACTTCCCTTAGTTATTTTTCTTTTCTCAATCACTTTATGTATACCCAACAGTTTGAAGGCAGGGAAAAAAAGACACTCTCAATACAATTTTTACTTTCTCCTAGGCTTTGAAAGAACAATAGTATTGTCAATGGGCTTCTTTAAATAGAACATTCTATCATTTGCCTCAGGCTGGGGTGGGGACTGGAGTTAGCCAGGCAGCACTTGCTTTTGTGATTCCAGTGGCTGCCTAATCTCTACTTACTTTTACCTTCCAAACCCAGGGAGAACAAGAAGTTCCTCATTCCCTCAGGCAAAAGATGCTTAATTAACAAAACACAACTGACAGGGAAAGTAAATATTAGTGACATCTTTCTGTAATTGGGAAATGTGAGTATGCTCCCAGTTTTCCAGAATTATAGCTGTAACCATGAAGCCTTGTAATTTTGCAACTGGTGTTTGTTCTGATACTTTCTGGGAACTCAATATATGTGTAAGGAAATGGGATACATTTTTAAGGCATTCTTAGTCCTATATGCCTTAGGACTGTGTCAAGGTTCCTTAAGTAGATGAAAATGGGAGCTCCTAGACTGAAGGTTGGCAACAGTGAGGTGAATCATTTAATAAGGGCTTACATATTTAGGCATTTTTTCTGCTGAGCTTCTTGGCATACTTTCTGAGTGACAACTGCAGTGGGAAATTGGAAAATTTTGTGAATAATTATGATTCTCTGAATCCATTGGAGTAAATGCATAACATCCTAATGGGTGAAAGATGGTGTGGTGAGTGAACACCTCATCTATGGAAATTGTCAATCCAATTATTTCAGCTAGCTCACCTATTAAATCAGATCACTGCCCAATCAATTACTAGATGATCAGTAGTAAAGACAGCCTGAAATTCCAGATGCATAATGCTTGGGCCAGTGTCTAAGTCACAAGTGTAATTTCATGAAAAAGGCAAGTGGTTAAACCACAGGACATAAGTGGTTTAATTACTTTCCATGTTTTTATTTTTGGTGTCAAATCAAATGTCTAGACTAGAAATAACTCCCTCCTCTTGTAAGTTTTGTAGACCTAAAAGGAAGAGGCTGAGACACAACAGACAACGTAAAGAGTTTAATTGAGTCAAAGTGAAGACAGCTGCCTGGAAGACTCAACCCCCTAGTAATCTTGGATATGAGCTTCTTTTGGCCTTTATTACAAGCACATTCTTAAAGGCAAAAAAGAGGGAAAGGGAGTGGGCTGATACAAAATTGCTTTGTATAAATCCAGGAATTCTCATGGGTTTATAGAAATGACACTGATTAGTGATTGGCTATACATTGTTAAGCTACAGGATGTGGGTAATCGTGTCCGGTGCAGCATTCTGAGGTGAATCTATGGCTATTTGTGGCACTAGCAAGCAGTTTCAAGAGATGAATACATAGATCAAAGTGGGGAGTCGTGTGTGATTGCTGTCTCATTGTTGTGTCTCTGTAGGCCTGATCAGTTAAAAAGACTTGCATTCCTCAGATAAAAGTTCTTTTCTCATATTCATTTTTTATAAGAATAAGATTCACCCATATATATACAGGTTTAAAAATGCTTCCTCCACAGTTCGTAGAGATAAAGAGATTTACCTAAGATTACCTCTTTCAGGCTCACCAGTTTTCAATACATTCAGCCTCTTCCCAGGTGCATGCTCTGGAGAGGCCAGCTTTGTTTGAGGTGGTAACGATCGCCACCGCTGAGGAAAGGAGCTTTCGGGTAGCTGTCGTGCAGGTAAGACCATTATTACCCAGAGAGAAATCGATTAGGACTCTCACAGGAACTCTTGCACGCTCAGACAAAGACAGTCTGGCAATGAGGATCCCAGACACCATGCAGCTTCTCCCACTGACCCCAGTGAACTCTCCAGGGCAGTTGGGGAGCATCATCCACTCAGTGGCGATCAGGTGGCCCTGAGTCCTGATCCTGGGCTGGTTGCAAATGAAGCCACTTTAAAACCAGAGATGCTGTCTTGGAAGGGCAAGGCTCCTTTAGGTAGAACTGGGCAGATTCACATGTGAGAAAATCTGTACGTGATGTTTAGAGAGTAACCAAGCTATTGTTTTCAAACTGTTGTTTCCAAAGGGCCTTACATTTTTCCTTCTTCCCTTTTAGTGAGACTATGGATGATGTAGATTATATATAACTATGTCATATAATCTATATAACTATAATGATGGATGCACAGTTGTGGATTATTTGAATTTTAGAGCACATGTCCCAGCCCCTCTTGGATCTCTTATTCCTCTGGACTGTCTGCCCTGAAGAGGGATTAATTCCTTAATTTGAGGGACACGCACTCTTAAAATTGCCCCCAAGTCACACTTGCAGACTGGAAATTCCAGCTCCCTCAATATTTCTGACTTCCTGCCTTTCTTCTCCATAAGAGGACAGATCTCTGGATGGCCTGTGGGTTAAAAATCAAATTTTCTATTGCCATAAGAGTGTCATTAAGATTCTTGTGAGGACTTGACATGCCACGCTCTTTTTCCCCCTACCCTATAACAGTGATGCAGCTTGCTTCCCCCAGCAGAGGTGTGTTTCAACCTAATGTGCATGTGGACACTCTGGGGACTCAACCTTCTCCTCTGGGTGAGATATTAAGCAACGTGGCAGTGATAAGGCAATCCAAGCAACTGGGTCTTCAGACAGGGCCACAATTTCCCACCGTCCTTGTATTGGGAAGGGACTGGATGGGGTTGGCAGCTGGTCTAGGGTCTCAGCTGCCACATGGGGCAGGGAATCAAAGATGCACATTTAAAATGCAAGTGCTTGTTCCCAATCTGTTTTACTAATATTGCAGCAAGCTTAACTGCTGGTGCTCGTGGCACGAGAAATTCACTGACGAGATTTGCTCCTCTTATTAAGGCGGTTTTAATTGATAGCACTTGGCAGTGAGATCACGCTTTCCTTCTTTTTCCTGCTTTTCATACCGCTTTTGATTGTAAGAAAGAAAAGCAACATTTTCTCTTATTTTATTTTTTTCCCCTGGGCCAAGTGTATAGCACATTGTGAATGAAAAGGAAGAACCTCTAGGGGTCAGTGCAGCGTAAAAAATGGCCAAAGCTCAGGCCCTGGAGCCGGGTCTTTAAGGTTTCAAGCATAGCTTTGTTCCTATTTCATTCTAATGAGGTAACAGTCCCATTACTTCATGCTGAGCCTGACTCCAGAAACAATCCCCTTGATGGTCATTTTCCTTTAATATAAGTTTAAACATTTGCAATCAAAGGCAGCTCTAATTTGAAATTTAGGATTGGGAATCCTATTTTAAAAAATGATGCTTTTCACATTTTCTGTTTGAACCTAGAAGGTTCTCCCCTCCCACTGTCCTTTCATGGGTTCTTGCCAGGGTGGGCAGGGCCTGCTGTTCTTTTACTTCCCTTTAGCTGCCCCCAACTTCATTTCTTTTAGTGAAACAGCCTTGGTTTGTTTTGTGCGTGTGTGTGTGTGTGTGTGTGTGTGTGTGTGTGTGTGTGTGTGTGTCTGTGTTTCCTTTTCCTTTGGTATGTATATGTCCCTTTGGCCTTTGCCTTTTTTTTTTTTTTTTTTTTAAGACAGAGTCTCAGTCTGTCACCCAGGCTGGAGTGCAATGGCGCAGTCTCTGCTCACTGCAACCTCCACCTCCTGAGTTCAAGTGATTCTCCTGCCTCAGCTTCCTGAGTAGTTGGGATTACAGGCATGTGCCACCACGCCTGGCTAATTTTTGTGTTTTTAGTAGAGACAGGGTTTCACCATGTTGGCCAGGCTGGTCTCAACCTCCCGACCTCAGATGATCTGCCTGCCTCGGCCTCCCAAAGTGCTGGGATTACGGGTGTTAGCTACCATACCCAGCCTGTCTTTTAAATTGGAAACTTCCTAACTTCTTTCGTTATATTATCAAAGAATAGTTAAGTTTAGGGCATGTTGTGGGTAGTGTGGGGTTTTGTGGGAGAGATGATAAAAAAAAACCCCACAGGACATGGGCAACATAGTGAGACTCCGTCTCTACAAATAACTAAAAATTTGCTGGGTGTGGTGGTGGTTGCCTGTGGTCCCAGCTACTCAGGAGGCTGAGGCGGGAGATTGCTTGAGTCTGGGAGGCAGAGGCTGCAGTGAGCTAGGACCACACCACTGCACTCCAGCCTGGGTGACAGAGTGAGACTCTGTCTCAAAACAAAAACAAAAACAAAACCCCAAAAAACACAGGACATACCAAAGTGGTAGGCTGGGATGAAGAATTTTGCTGAGATTCCTGGGCAGACATTGGAGACTATGTCGCCCAGGCTGGAGTGCAATTACTCAGAGGAAAATTGATTAGGACTCTCACTGGAACTCTTGCATTCCCAGACAAAGAGAGTCTGGCAATGAGGATCCCAGACACCATGTAGCTTCTCCCATTGACCCCAGCGAACTCTCCAGGGCAGCTGGGGAGCATCGTCCACTCAGTGGCGATCAGGTGGCTCTGAGTCCTGATGTAGCTAGGCCAGGTGCAAACAAAGCCAGTTTTAAAACCAAAGATACTGTCTTGGAAGGGCAAGTCTCCTTTAGGTAGAACTGGGCCGCTTCACAGTGTGGGTAAGACACTGGGAGTTTCTTGAGGGCATTGACTTCCCTCACTAAGGTCATTTAAACTCCTCCCCTTTGCTCTTCAACTCTCCTCAGTTCTGCCCCCTCGAAATCAATGAGACAGCTCTCCATGAAATCGCAAATGTCTAATTTCCAGCCTCCCTGCTTCAGCCTGTAATTCTGTATCATCTCCTGATGCACCTGCCTCCATTAAACATGTCTTTCTGATGTGTTTTCTTGTCATTCTTTTGCACTGTCACCTCTTGCTGCATCCTTTTTCCTCTGTCAGCCTCCTAAATCTGAGGTGCCACCACTTCCACCTCTCCTGCCGACTAACAACTCTGTGAATCCATCCTGGCATCCTGAATGTGGCCCTAGAGTCCTCCTTGGGGACTCCCTGCAGACACTACCAATTGATCAATGTCAACATGGTAAATGAAACCTCCTTTCCAGCCTCCCTTAATTGTGCTTCTCCTACAATCCTTGATTCCATTTCATTTTGATATCCATCCTTTCCATGGATGACATCATCTCTTCTTGCCATTTCAATTAGTACTCAGGTGCAAAAAACATGCCAATCTCTAGCTTGAGAACAAATCTTTCCCCTGATCTAACACTGACAATTGTTAAGTCAAAGTCACCTCCTTACATATTTTAAGTTCAGCCTAAAGGTTTCTTCCTATATAGTGAACTGTAACCCAACTGGATGTGTAAACAGACTGTAATCTACTCTTGTGCCAATCATAGCGCATCTGCCAATTACAGGAGGCTGACTATTCAAGTGTTCAAATAACGGAAATGCTGAGCCATAATCATTCCAGCTGTTTCTGCACCTCACTTCCGTTTTCTGGACCTCACTCCCTTTTTCTGTTCATAAATCTTATCCTGCCATATGGCAGGCCCAGAGTCACTCTGAACCTATTCTGGTGTGTGTGGCTGCCTGATTCACAAATTGTTCTTTGTTCAATTAAACTCTGTTAAATTTAATTTGTCTTAAGTTTTTCTTCTAACATAGTTCTATAACCAATTGAATTACTCCATCTGGAACTCCTACAAACATTTCCAATTTAGCATGTCCAAAACGAAGCTCATCATACACCCCCAAATCTCAGTGGCCTATATTCTCCACCTTTATTAATGGCATCATTATCTATCCAGTGGCCCAAGCCAGGTGCTTCTCTTCCTCTCTTTCAATTCCTCACATTCCTGATCCATCATGGCTGCTTCCTTTCCCTCAAAATCCAACCATAACAAAGGGCATATATGAAGTGCCAAATGAGTAAAATAGGTAATTATTTGGTGGAGAGGGCTCTAGCTTTTTTTTTTTTTTTCTTGAGACAGAGTCTCACTTTGTCACCCAGGCTAGAGTTTAGTGGCCCAATCTCTGCTCACTGCAACGTCCACCTCCCAGGTTCAAGAGATTCTCCTGTCTCAGTCTCCCAAGTAGCTGGGATTATAAGCATGTGCCACCACACCTCGCTAATTTTTGTATTTTTAGTAGAGATGGAGTTTCACCATGTTGGCCAGGCTAGTCGCAAACTCCTGACATCAAGTGGCCTGCCTGCCTTGGCTTCCCAAAGTGTTGGGATTACAGGCCTGAGCCAATGAACCCAGATGCCTTTTCACAATCTCTATTAAACCACCCTTCCCATCCAGCCATCCTATGTAAACATACATTGTAAGTATAATGATGTAGTTTCTCTGCAAACACAGCTTCTCCATGCCACCTCTCATTTGAGGAAAGCTGTCCTTAAACTTTTGTGTATGAGTTTTGGAGCTTTCTCCATGGGAGAGCTATCTAAAGCATAAATCTAGTCATACCACTTCCCAAATTAACAAATCTTCTCTCTCTCTCTCTCTCTCTCTCTCTGTGTGTGTGTGTGTGTGTGTGTGTGTGTGTGTGTGTGTGTGTGTGTGTGTCTTTGCTTATAACATAAATCCTAAACCTCTTAGCAAGGCTCTATCTGGCTCCACGCTCCCTGTTCAACCATGTTTTCTGCCCATTCCTTTCCCCAGATCCAGCCCCTATGCCTGGCATGTTTCTTACACACTTAATTGACATTTTTCAGGACAATTTCCTTGCAATTCTGTTTGGTGTGCCTTTTCCTACTAATTCTCTATTTGGTCACTGAGCTCTAATGTCATTTCTGGGAAATCTTCCTCAACTCATCCAAGCAGACCAATAAGAATTAGGTGCTTTCTCCACTATGCTCCCCCAGCACAGGATGTATTTCTCAATAGTGTGTATCCTGTAGAGTCCTGATTGTTTGTCTGATGACAGATTCTAAGATCCTAGAGTGTATCCTGTAGAGTCCTGATTGTTTGTCTGACGACAGATTCTAAGCTCCCAGAGTGTATCCTGTAGAGTCCTGATTGTTTGTCTGACGACAGATTCTAAGCTCCCAGAGTGTATCCTGTAGAGTCCTGATTGTTTGTCTGACGACAGATTCTAAGCTCCTAGAGTGTATCCTGTAGAGTCCTGATTGTTTGTCTGACGACAGATTCTAAGCTCCTAGAGTGTATCCTGTAGAGTCCTGATTGTTTGTCTGACAACAGATTCTAAGCTCCTAGAGGGAAAGACTGCTGCTGAGTTTTTGAGTCCATGGGATCTTGCTTCATGTCTAGCACAAGGCAGATATTCTTTCATTGTTTTGTGAATGAAGGAGGCAGTGGATGTGCTAAAAGAGAAAATGAGTGTTACTGATGGCAAAATGTTAGAATTTTGCTTCAGGCCAATCCCTAGTAAGGACATTTAAAATCTAAAAGTGTAGTTCTGTGCTGCGCAAGGCACAAAGGAACCCCTTCCCCACCCTCAGCTGGGATGAGAAAGAGAATAATATGGTGTCTGTGGAAGTTTAGACTCTTTGTACTCTGGTGGGTCTCTCTCTCTCTCTCTCTCTCTGTGTATGTGTAGGGGAGGATGATGGGGTAGGTAATTACCCATGGAATTATCTGTTTATTAGCAAAATAAGCATTCTCCACTGTCAAGGATAATAAGACTTGATTTTCAAGCACTGTTTGAGCCGTTCCTTTGGGCAAAGCACAGAGTAGTGTGAGCAGATGGGGTACAGAGGAATGGGACACAGTTCCATCATTGAGTCCTTTGAAGCTCAGCCAGGGAGATTAGATTTTTGCAAAGATAGGTTTGATAAGGTGGATGGTTGCATTTTATCATCCAGACTGGGACATTTTTGAGCATTTGTAAATGCTATTAAGTACTTCACCAGCAATACAGGTGCAAACCAGGATTGTTCCACACAAACTGGGGACAACTGGTCCCAGTAAGGAAGACTATCAGATGTGTAATGTGAACCATAAATGTTCTAGGTTCAGAGGAAAAGGCAATCACTACAAGACTGGTAGTTCACAGAATCTCTGAAGAGGGATGCCTTGACCTAGGCCTTGAAGAAAGAGGAAGAGTTTCTTTCTTTTTCTTTCTTTCTTTCTTTCTTTCTTTTTTTTTTGAGATGGAGTTTTGCTCTTGTTGCCCAGGCTGGAGTGCAATGGCACAATCTCGGCTCGGCACGATCTTGGCTCACCGCAACCTCCAACTCCCTGGTTCAAGTGATTCTCCTGTCTCAGCCTTCCGAGTAGCTGGGATTACAGGCATGTGCCACCATGCCCGGCTAATTTTGTGTTTTTAGTAGAGACGGGGTTTCTCCGTGTTGGTCGAGCTGGTCTCGAACTCCTGACCTCAGGTGATCTGCCTGCCTCAGCCTCTGAAAGTGCTAGGATTACAGGTGAGAGCCACCGCACCCGGCCAGAAAGAGGAAGATTTTTTTAGTGAGAGGAGGTGGGAGAAAATGTTAAAGTATGGAAAAGTGAGTGACATAAATTCACTGGGGGAAATAAGATGGTCTGTATGAATAACAGAGAGCAGGCCCATTTATTTGGAGCAGAGAATTCATAGAAGGTGGTGATGAGGCGGGTAGAAGAGGGACTGTAGAAGTTAGGAGGGTAGCTGAATGCCAAGTGGGAGCTGGAGAGAAATTTGTCAAACTGGAACATTTGGATTTTTTATTCAAGGCAATGAGGGACTGATATGGTTAGGCTTTTGGTCCCCACCCAAATCTCATCTTGAATTGTAGTTCCCATAATTCCCGTGTGTCATGGGAGGGACCAGGTGGAGATAATTGAATCGCGGCGGTGGTTTCCCTCATCCTGTTCTCATGACAGTGAATAAGTCTCATGAGATCTGATGGTTTTATAAAGGGCAGTTCCCCTGCACATACTCTCTTGCTTGCTGCCATGTAAGAGTAAGACGTGCCTTTGCTCCTTCTTCACCTTTCACCATGATTGTGAGACCTCCTCAGCCACATGGAACTGTGAGTCCATCAAACCTCTTCTTCTCTATAAATTACCCAGTCTCAAGTATGTCTTTATTAGCAGTGTGACAACAGACTAATACAGGGACCAATGACAGTTTTGACTGTAGTGATTTGCTCAAAACCAAAGAAATTATGCGTGTGTGTGTGCGTGTATATTTATTTATTTATCTTCTATTTATTTTTTGAGACAGGGTCTCTCTTGCCCAGGATGAGGTGCAGTGCTGCAATCATGGCTCACTGCAGCCTCTACCTCCTTGCCTTCAGCAATCCTCTCACCTCAACCTCCCAAGCAGCTGGGACTACAGGTGCATGCCAGCAAGTCAGGCTATTTTTTTTTATTTATATACATGGGGTCTTGCTATTTTGCCCAGGCTGGTCTCGAACTCCTGGGCTCAAGGGATCCTCCCACTTCAGTTTCCTAAAGTGCTGGGATTACAGGCATGAACAACCACCCCCAGCCTATATATTTTTAAGTTAAGGTTAACCTTGCAATATTTTCAGGATGTAGCAGGGAAAAGCTAGAAGTGCAACAGGAGATTGTAGCTATCTAGCCATAAGGTCATAGAATCTTCAGTGGGGTAGCGGCAGAGGAAATGGAAAAAAAAAAAAGATGTTTGCAAGATAATTTATGAAGGTGGGAAAAAAACCCAAATGTAATCTGGAGACTGTTTGCATCTGGGAGGTGAGCAACAGGGAAAGGAAGAATCCAGAAACACCTGAGGTTTGATACTGTGTGATTGGGAGGTGTGGCCCTACCATTAACAGAGAGTAAAAATGTAGGTAAAAATGTTTTATGAGAAGATACTTAAGCTGAAAAGATTTTTTAAATTTTGTTTTTTGACTTTGATGTTAAAAGTAATACACACTGATTTTAGGAAACTTAGTGCAGAAATTATGGATGAGAATTTTAGCATCTGATGATTTTGATATGTCTTATTCCTGGGATATTCCTAATGTCTAACTAATTCTGAAGGAATAGATGTAAAAAGCAGGTGGAGTGAAGTGAGGCCTGATTTCCATGTAAGTTTTAAGAATGGGTTGCCTTCTGTGTTGGGGAAGATATTTAACTTATAAAGTATGTTTATTTAAAATGTATTGGTCCCTTACTTTGTACCAGACATTGCGGAGGAAAAAGATTTTTAAAGTGGCATGGAAAAATCCAGAGGTGAAAACCTGTGGGACAAGTTTGGTATGAATGATGATAAGGAGTTCCGATACCCAAATGAAAAGCCCAATTGAAACATAGAAAACATGAACTCCCATGGTGGGAATAATTAACACAGTGAAGATGCTGACAGGTTCCTTGTATGTTTGAGGTTTAGACGATTGAAGATTCTCTGGGGTTTATTCTCTATGGAGCCTGGGTTTTTCCAGTCTTAACCAAACTATTTAGTTTCTTCCAGCCTTCTTCTGTTTCCTTTGTTCTTGATGTGTGTTCATTCATCAGAATTGTTGCTGCCTTATCAGCAAGAAAATTTACGTTGCATATTGGTAAGTCATGACAATGTTCCAGATGGTGCACAGGACTGATGGGACTTTCTTTATCAAGCCACATTAGCTTGCTCACAATAGTAGTCTAAATACTACTTGTCTGGCTCTTTCCTGTCCTGCAATTTTAGGATCTTCTAAAAGCCAGTTATTTCTAGCGATCTTCAGAGAGTATCTCATGCTGCTTATGAATATAATCCTGTCAGCCACCACAAGATGTTTCCATTTTCCTTCTCTTCGACAACATATCCTGACCTGTTCTGCCAAGGTCACTGGTGATGTGGTTCCCTGCAATGAATGGTGCCTTGTTTTTGGTTCTGGTGCTGCTGCTTGCTAAGCAGCTCTTGGTTACCAATATTTGCTCTTGGCCCCTGAAGTTGTGCTGTGCCATCCTTAAAGGGTCCTGTAGTTATTGCCCTGTGCTAAAACACTGACACTGTTGAGGCTATTTCATGTCCAGTGCCCTTGATGTGATGGTGCCATGCTGTGCTGACAGAGGAAGTGAGGGGACATCATTCCCCTAGCTTTGTGTCACACCCTCTTGGTTCCAGGGCAGTGCTACCTTCTGCTTCCATGATAACCCTGAAAATAAATCGGTTTTTATGAGCAGCTCTCAGCTTTCTAAAATTCTAGCAGAAGACCAGAGCTTCTTGGGCCAGAGGACAGTCTGAGTGAAGGATACGTGCTGTGCCCAAAATGATCCCTTGGCGTCTAGAACATTGTCATGTGACCAAGTGGATGGGCATAATGGCTTCCGCTTGAGCTCTTACCCAAGGCCTCTCCATTTCTCTGGTCTCTCATATCTCATACCTCTGCAGAGCCTACTCAACTAACTGAAAGACATACCCAGATGTGTCTTTTTCCTAGCATAACATGGTCAGTCAGGACGGAATCCGTACTCCTCTGGTAGTTCAGTAACGATGTTCCTCTAGTTGCAGGCAAATTTCTGTTGTGGAAACCAGAACAGCAAGCTTGAAGTGCTAATCCCATCTTTCCACTAGAGGGCAGATATGGCATATCTATTGAAACACACACAGGTTATGTTTTACAATAAAAACCACATTAGTAAAAAATGTCACCTAAAAATTATGTTCCTGTATCCTTCTCTGCATATCTTTAATATTTATGAGCATCTACAGTATATTAGTACATATAATATTGATATCTATCCTAAGTGAATGTGTATTCTTATAGTGGTTTTGTGCACACAGAAAGGGTATTTAGCAATAGAAATTGTTTTGTATACGCTGGTTTTCCTTTGAAGCATAAAATAGTCATCATACAAAAAAGAGATTTTAAGAAGAAATAAATGTAGAATTAATTGGCATGGCATGCCATTTGCAAGAATTTTTGCTCTTATATCCTACTTTTGCCTGATATATCTTTGAAAAAACAATTCTGATATACTGATTTTTTTTCAGCTTGTAGAATAGCGATCTGCAATTTCTAAGTGGCAATATTTTGATTTTGAATATTTTTTCTGCAATTTACTTCTACTGATTGGAAGTTAAATCCTTTTGAGTGTCATGATTGATTTGTGGTTTTAAGGAGTTCTCTAAACCATGTAGAAATGGGAGCCTTACAATGGCAATATGAGGTGTGTCTTCTTATGGATTACTCTGACTGTTGAGAAAACCAAGGTACAGAAATTATTCTGAGGCCCAGAGAGGGTGAAGTTCTTTATGTGCCTGTTTTGGGGCCATGGCTTTTAAAAAGTTGGTGCAATGGCTTATCCACAATTTTTCAGTTAAAGATGTGTTTCTAAAAATATAGAACTATAATCTCATAGTTAGTTTCAAAGTTGATACAGTGCTTAGAGCCTAGAGGTATTCTGGGGCTTAGGTACTCCTTTTGCCTTAGTTCAAAGGAAAAACTTAGCATATCCAGCACCTCTCTATTGTTCCAGAGACATCTCAAGAGAGGAAGAAGCCAGAGTAAAAGGCATTGCATTAATTTTTTTTTGAAAGAGTGAGCATAGGAGGCTCAGAGGAATGATATTGTGGGAGATCAAAGCTAAACCTTTGACCGTTCCCCAGTTACCCTGCTTTTTCACTGTTGTTGTGAAATAGGAAGACTCTGCTGGAAATGTTATGGTAGCCGACTCCCTGTACTAAACAGAGCGCCCCCTCCTACAGAAGAGAGGATGGGGATGGGAATGCGACATGAGAAAACAGGAGGAAACAGAAAACATTGTCTCAACGAGTCCCCCTTTTTTTCTGCCTGTTTCATCACTGATATGGTTTGGAAACCTCAAATATATTTTGCCTGGATATTCAAGTTGCTGATAAACTGCAGAGTACAACACATGCTTCTTGCCATTTATTTCGTCAGCTTAGCTTAGATCCTTGCTGCTTAAAGCGTGGTAAATGGACCAGCTGCATTGGCATCAGCACCCAGGAACTTGTTAGAAATGCAGAACCTTGTGCCTCACCCCAGACCGCCTGAATTAGAATCTGCATTTTAACAAAATCCAGGTGCTTTATGTATGAGTTAAATTTTGAAAAGTGCTGGCTTAGATAACACTTTCTGTTTTGTTTTTTACCTAAGGTTTCCTGGAGCAGAGACTGCCCCTCCTATTCTGACTATTTTCTGGGATACTGGTCTATTTGGTGCAAGTGATTCAGAACTAGAGCAACTGATCTCATGCACCTAATGACTAGACTGCACAGAAAGATGAAGTCTTCCAGCATACTCTTCAATATTACTTATTTATTTAACATAAATAGAAGGTGCAGTTTGTCGTTCATTAAGCAAACCTGACAAAACTCCAACTTACAAGACATACAATAGGGAAATGATTATTCACATTATAAGAGTCTCTGCTTTACAGAGACATTTTCCAAACTATTTTTTTAAATTGCCTTGAGGTACATTTGAAATAGAATTTGACTCAAATATTACTTCACAGTCCAGTTTTTAAGATGGCACATAACACATAAATTGAGACATGATTGTACAGATAGTAGTTTTGTGCACATTCATTATTAATAAATTTCTGAAAGAGCTCTTAACCAGTCTTCTCATTTCTTTTTCCCATTTCATCCTAATTTCTCTAAGTCTACATTCTGGTATCACTTCTTTTTATTCATCTACCAACCTATGTAACTCTATTGCTTCACATCCTTATGAAGCCAAAGACCTCACTGACATTGAATTAGCAGAGGAGACGCCTAAAGATGAATTCAAGAAAAATAACCCTTCAGCCTGATGAATAGTAATAGTGGTATTAACACTTGATTTAAGCTTGTAAAGTCCTCTCTGGCAGTAAAGCCCTGCCTAGGAAAGCAGATAGATTCCAGCAGAACACTGAGCAACAGCACAAAAATATTTCTTGGGCCCCAAAATATTATCTATAACTGGTAAACCACATTGAAATAGTCACTCTGACCACCAGCTCCTGTAGATTCGCATGGGTCTTGTTCATATCTCTAATATGGTATGTATATTTCTATAGTGCAATCTGTGTTTTTGACCATTTCTTCTAGGGTATTTGGAGGTCAAGGACTTTGTTTTTCTCATTGTTTTGCATCCAGTGTCTAGCATGTAATAGTATTTCACACAAGCTTGTTGGATGAAAGTCTTTGCAATCTATTGCACAATTACTGATACTTTTAGAGAGGAGCAAGAATTTGACCTCTGAGCAAAGCAGCTACAAAAACCTGGTGAAACACTGATCTGTTATCTCTTCCCACAGAGGCAGGAGTAATGCAGTTCATCTAAAATATCAGATCATAAAAATTAGTATTTGGCTTAGAAATTGTGACTATATTTGAATGTTAATAACTATGAAACACTAAAGAGGGAGAAGAAAACGATGCCTGCTTCACTGAAAAGCTTTACTAACCAGTTACATCTCAGACTTGTTTATCTCAGAGGCTGGCTATGCTTATGCATGGAGTCACTTCTCAAGTCAATACAAAGAACTCAGCTCTGCTGGAAACCTTGCTTGTTCACATAGGCAGATAAGGTTCTTAAAAATAGGCCTTCTTTTCTAGGCTTTGCTTAGAAAGAATCACATCTTTGTCATCTAAGTACTGAACTAAATGCAATGAGTTCTCCCAGACAGATTAAAAATCCTGCCAAGGTAACGTACTAGGAGGTGGGTGATTTTCTGGAGTAACATTCTTTTTGCAGTTGGAACAGTTCCCTCCTGGTGCTAGAATCCTAAATGCTATAGTCATTTGGGTCCCCTGTGTTCAGATATCTGTCCCCAATGCAATCTGGAGGTAGCTGTTACTTCAGAAATTTGTGAGGATATATTAGTTCGTAATGATTGAACTCATACTTCGGAATGAAAGTCACACAAGTTTTCTATACACTTAAATATACACAACAAATCAAAAGTGCGGTTCTGGTAGAAAGTTTCTCAGTAAGAAAATGATGAGAGAATGTAAAGAGAAGAGGCCCTGTTCTTGTCTACTCTGGGCATCTCTTTTTCCACTATATAAAATGTGATTATTCTCTGAAGAATTTCTTATGCTTTTTTCCCCCATACTCGTGTATCCAGAGATTTCATTTGCTTCCATCATGAAACCCAGTGGTAGAAAAACAAAAGATTTTGTTTTTAAGAAGAAGCAAGATATTCTTTCACTTATACTGTTTGCCTAATGAAGCTTATTATCTCCAGAAGGCTCTGAAAACTGTTGTTATTATTATCCCAAGAATGGGATGCCAGCTGTTTGTTCTGACAGCTCTTTGATCCTCAATCCAATTGCTTTCAGGGCTTTGGCCATCTTCCCTTGTATTTTCCATGATCTACTCTTAACTGTCATTACTATTGACAGCAAAAGTCACTTTCTGATCAGCGTTAGAACTAAAAATGGATCCTCTGTTAGATAGACATATGGGCACCAGGTGCTTTACATGCACCACTAGTAAATACATCTCTCCCCCATTGCAACAGTCAAGTAGTGCTTCTCTTTAAAAAATTCCACACCCTATATCTCATGGGGTTTCAAAAATACAGTTGGTGGCAAGAATAATTTCGAAGGGCAGATTCAGAATAAGATAAAATATTATGAGGTTAAATCTTTGAGGATAATTGAGCTGGCATAGGCAATGGTCCAGGGGCATCGATTTCTCATGAAAGGGATAGAATAGAAAGTTAAGGCTGTCTCATTAGTGATTCTTGGAATTACATGACAAGCAATCCTTCTTCTTCCACCTTGGGAAATAGCTTACACTTGGAGATGTGAAACTTGTATGGTACATTAACTTTACTCAAGTTTTTAAATTTTTTTTTTAATTAATTTTTTTTTTTTTAAGAGATGGGATTTTGCTACATTGCTCATGCTGGTCTCAAACTCTTGGGCTTACATAGTCCTCCTGCCTCAGCCTCCCAGGCAGCTGGGGTTACAGATGTGTGCCCAACTTAAAAAAAAAATTTATGAACTTATAGCCACATTTAATTGAGCATTTCAGAAGTGAAACTAAATATACTCCTTACTGATTTCTTGCAATGTCAATCTCCTTTGTGCCTGGGTGACACATGGATAGTATATGAAAATGTGTGTGCTTTAGTTTAACACCTGGAAGGGAAGGAGGAGCTTTTGAGACAGTTGCCTCAGTCCTTGGCATTTTCTCTCTGGGGCTTTACAAGCTGCCTGTTTTCTTGGACACGTGCATAATGTAGTACGTCTAGGGACCTTCTTTTGTGGCTGTTGGAAGTGTGTCCAAAATTGTTATGAAATGTAGCTCAAGCAGTTGACAAGTAATAAAAGCAGTTGATCTCTTATCTTTTATGTGCTGTTTTAATGCTCTAAGCACTCTCTTGAAGGAGATAGGAAGCAAAGCTATTGATTTTTGCTCCATTTGGGGTGGGGTAGGCTTTAGTTGTATTGACAGATGCATGTCGCCAGGGAGTTTGTTGGGAGGAAAAAATACATCTCTTCCCTGGGTCAGACAGGCATTTTCTCCAGAGGGTTCCAACTAAAAGTGAGCATGGAAGGATTTCTCAGGCTTGTGTTTTATACTACAAAGGATTACCACCAGTTAACTGAGAATGCTGGTTGTTATGATTTGTTTTACATTAAAGGATTTAGAGTCTTTGGGATTATTCAGTAACTTAGAGTCATCAATCCAAATTATAAAAAGATTAGAACCTCTTTCCATAGGCTAGAGTAATAGGAGAAAGCTGTCTAATAATGCTCCTTGACATCTACCAGCCAATCTAAAATTATTGGATTAGCATATAATTGTTGGTCTAAATGTTCAGATTGTTTTCAGCCCAGAAGCTGTTTGGAGTGCATGATGTACTTCTCAGACACATTTATAAGAGGAAAAATCAAACTGTAGCATATTGAAGGAAGTATACAGCCAGATTTGACCCAAGAAAAAGCAGAGGGGGAGACAAATTTCAACTTCAGCAACTCAAGTTTTCCCACTGGATGTTAAATTTCCCTTTTCCGTACTCCCCGGCTGAGGCAGGAATGCATAGTTGTTTTCTTTTTAACCTTAATAATAAGATTTGGATACTTGTCATATCCATACAATATACATATTCATTAACAATTTAAATGGCTGCTTATTATTCTATTGTGCATTTTCTCTTCCTTGTCTTAGGTATGCCGTGTTCATGGGCTCTCCATATCTTCCTATCAAAATCAGCTTTAAGAAAATTCTCTGATTAATCTATAATCAGAGCTTGTTAATTCATTCAACAGACAATTGAGCAAAGTATACTGGTGTTGAGGAAGGAATAGAGGCAAAAGAGAAAGGTATTAAGAGGAATGGATAGGAATAAGATAAGATATACCCTCAGTGCTTGAGTTATGTGTTACTTTTCCTAGAAAAATGTAATTTTATTGTCAAATATGGCTCCATGGTCTTGTTTTCTCTTAAAGAAATTTCAGTGTCAGTTATAGGGGAATGGTAGACTTGTGGGAGTAGAGGGGCTTTTCCAATCACATGTTATTTTGCAAGTGAGGCTACTACATGAGAATTAGTAGAATAGATAAATAGCTGCATACTTCTTTGTTAAGAAAGGGGCTCTTTTTTCCAAGTGCCATCCATATATTTTAAAAATTGCAAATAGAATGGAAACTCATTGCAGAAAACTAAAAAAAAAAACACAGATATAAAAGAAAAGCATGAAGATCAGCTCTAATTGCGACATCCAGAGATAAATATTTTAACGTTTTGAGATTGATTATGCCTTTTTACAAAATGAGATTATAGATCTTCTCATTTTTATAAAAAGGCAGAATCTCTGAGACACAGCAATAGCAGTATTAAATGAGAAGATTATAGTGCTAAATGCCCACATCAAAAAGAAAGACCTCAAATTAACAAACTGACATCAAACTTGGAGGAACTAGAAAAACAAGAACAAAACAACTCCAAAGCTAGCAGATGAAAAGAAATAATCAAAATTAGAGCTGAATTGAATAAAAGTGAGACATGAAAAACCACACAAAAGATCAACAAAACCAAAAGTTGGTTATTTGAAAGAATAAGATTGATAGACCACTAGCTAGACTAATTAAAAAAATAGAGAAGATCCAAATAGACACACTCAGAAACGACAAAATACCATCGACCCACAGAAATATAAAAAACCCTCAGGAACTATTACAAACACCTCTATGCATACAAACTAGAAAACCTAGAAGAAATGGATAAATTCCTGGAAACATACTACCCCACCAAGATTGAACCAGGAAGAAATAGAAACCCCAAACAGACCAATAACAAGTTTCAAAATGGAATCAGTAATAAATAGCCTACCAACCAGAAAAAGCCCTGGGTCAGACAGATTTACATCTGAATTCTATGAGATATATAAAGAAGAGCTGGTATCAATCCTATGGAAACTATTACGAAAAAATGAGAAGGAGGGACTCCTCCGTAACTCATTCTATTGGGCCAGCATCATCCTGATGCCAAAACTTGGTGGAGACACAACAAAAAAAGAAAACTTCAGGCCAATATCCCTGATGAACATATTTTCAAACATTCTTAAGAAAATCCTAGCAAACTTAATCCAACAGCACATCAAAAAGTGAAGCTATCACAATCAAGTAGGCTTTATCCCTAGGATGTAAGGTTGGTTCACCATATGCAAATCATTAAGTGTGATTCATCACATACACAGAACTAAAAACAAAAAGCACATGATCATCTCAACAGATATAGAGAAAGCTTTGGATAGAATTCAACATCCCTTCATGATAAAACTTCCAACAAGCTAGGCATTGAAGGAATGCACTTCAAAATAATAAGAGCCATCTGTGACAAACTCATAGCCAATATCATACTGAACGGGCAAAAGCTGGAAGCATTCACCTTGAGAACCAGGACAAGATGAAGATGCTCTTATCACTCCTATTTAACAACATGGCACTGAAAGTCCTAGCCAGAGGAATCAGGGGGAGAAAAAAAAAAAAAAAAAAGAAAGACAGACAGAAAGAAAAGGCATTCAAATAGGAAGAGAGGAAGTCAAACTATCTTTCTTCACAAATGATATGATTTTATACCTTGAAAACCCCATAGTCTCTGCCCAAAAGTTCCTAGATCTGATAAGCAACTTTAGCACAGTTTCAGGATACAAAAATCAATGTATAAAAATCAGTAACATTTCTATACACTAATAATGTCCAAGCTGAGTGCCAAATCAAGAATGCAGTGCCACTAACAATAGACACACACACACGCGCACACTACCTTGGAATACAGCTAACCAGGGAGGTGAAAGATCTCTTCAATGAGAGTTACAAAACATTGCTCAAAGAAATCAGAGCTGACACCGACAAATGGAGAAACATTCCATGTTCATGGTTAGGAAGACTCAATATCATTAAAATGACCATGCAGCCCAAAGCAATGTATAGATTCAGTGTTATTCCTATCAAACTACCAAGGACATTTTTCACAGAATTAGAAAAAACAATTCTAAAATTCATATGGAATCAAAATGAGCCTGAATAGCTAAAACAATCCTAAGGAAGAAGAACAAAGCTGGAGGCATCACACTGTCAGACTTCAAACTATACAACAAGGCTACAGTAACCAAAACAGCATGGTGCTGGCACAAAACAGACACATAGACCAATGGAAAAGAAGAGAGAACCCAGAAATAAGGCCACACACTTGCAACCATCTGACCTTTGACAAAGTAGACAAAAACAAACAATGAGGAAAGGACTCCCTATTCAATGAATGGTGCTAGGATAACTGGCTAGCCATATGCAGAAGATTTAAACTGGACCCCCTCCTTTAACCATATACAAAAATCAACTCAAGATGGATTAAGACTTAAACATAAAACTTAAAACTATAAAAACCTCAGAAGAATACCTAGGAAATACCAGTCTGGACTTGGGCCCTGGCAAAGAATTCATGACATACTCCAAAAGCAACTGCAAGAAAAGCAAAAATTCACAAGTAGGATCTAATTAAACTAAAGAGCTTCTACACAGCAAAAGAAGTAATCAACAGAGTAAACAGACAACCTACAGAATGGGAGAAAATATTTGCAAAGTATGCATCTGACAAAAGTCTAATATCTAGACTCTATAGGCAATTTAAATTAATAAACAAAAATAACCCCATTAAAAAATAAGCAAAGGATATGAACAGACACTTTTCAAAAGAAGACATACACATAGCCAATAAGCATATGAAAAAATGCTCAACGTCACTAATCATTAGATAAATGAAATCAAAACCACAATGAGATACCAACTCATACCAGTCAGAATGGCTATTATCAAAAAGTCAAAAAATAACAGATGATGGTGAGGTTGCAGAGAAAAGGAAACACTTACACACTGTTGGTGGGAATGTAAATTAGTTCAGCCACTGTGGAAAGCAGTTTGGAGTTTTCTCAAATAAATTACAGCAGAACTACCATTGAACTAAGCAATCCTATTACTTAGTATATACCCAAAAGAATATAAATCATTCTATCATAAACACACATGCACATGTATGTTCATTGCAGTGCTATTCACAATAGCAAAGACATGGAACCAACCTAAATGCCCATCAACGGTGGACTGGAAAAAGAAAATGTGGTACATATATACCATGGAATACTAGACAGCAACAAAAGGAAATGTCCTTTGCAGCAATATAGATGGAGTTAGAGGCTGTTATCTTAAGCAAATTCACGCAGAAAGAAAACCAAATATGCCATGTTCTCCCTTATAAGTGGGAGGCAGACATTCAGTATACATGGATGTAAAGAAGGGAACGACATAAGCCAGGGCTTAACTTGAGGGTGAAGGGTGGGAGGGGGGTGAGGATCGAAAAGTTACCTATTAGGTATTATGCTTATTACCGGGGTGACAACATAAATTGTATACCAAGCCCCCATGACACAGAGTTTACCCGTATAAAACCTGCACATGTGCATATGTACTCCCTGAACCTAAAATAAAAGTTGGGAAGAAAGAAAAAGAAAAGAAAAAATATATTATTTTGTTGCCTAATTGTTTTACCTTAATAAATTCTCAACATTTTTTCTATGTCAATAAAATATACCTATCAATCAATGATTTTAATGGTTGCTTATTACTTTATTGTATATCTGTTTATAACCAAACCCTGACAAATAAGCATTTATTTTACTCTCAATTTCTTGCTCTTCTTTAAAATACTTAGATGAGCATCCTTGCATGTACAACTTTGTATCCTTACCCAATATGTCTTTAGGATAATCCCTTTTCAATGAAATTGCTGAGTTAAACAGTTTAACACTGATTCAGATTGCCAAGCTGCTTTCCAGAACGGGCCAATACACATAATCATAAAATGTGTATCCATGTTCTGTGTCCTCCAAACTGAACCTGTACTGGCCTTTAGAATTTCTTTCATCAATTGGAGAAATAAAATACAATTTCTTATTTCAATTTGTATTTTTTTGATTATTAGTGATTTTAAACATCTTTTCACGATTTCTAAGAGTTCTATCATTTTAGCTCTTACATTTAAGTCTTTGGTTCATTTTGAGTTAATTTTCATATGTGGCACAAGGGATGGGTCCAACTTCATCCTTTGAGATGGGCACATCCAGTTGTTCCAGCAGTATTTGTTGAAAAGACTGTTCTTTCCCCACTGAGTTGCCTTAGCAACCTTGCAAAAATCAATTGACCATAAAGGTATGAATTTATTTCTTGAACACTCAATCCTATTCCATTGATACATACAGTAGTCCTCACTTATCTGTGGTTTTGCTTTCTGAGGTTTCAGTTACCTGTGGTCAACCACGATCCAAAAATATTAAATGAAAAATTCAACAAATGAATAATTCCTCAGTTTTAAATTACATGCTGTTCTGAGTTGCATAATGAAATCTTGTGCCATCCTGCTCTGTCCTGCCTGGGACGTGAATCATCCCTTTGTCCAGCAGATCCCTGCTGTCTAAGCTCCCCACCCTAAGTTAGTCACTTAGGAGCCATCTAGGTTATCAGATAGACTGTCATGCAGTGCTTGAGTTCAAGTCACTCTTATTTTACTTAATAATGGCCTCAAAGCATAAAAGTAGTGATGGTAGAAATTTGCATACGCCAAGGAGAAGCCTTCGAGTGCTTCCTTTAGGTGAAAATCTGAAAGTTCTCTATTTAATAAGGAAAGAAAAAAATCCCCGTATGCCAAAGTTGCTAAGATCTGTGGTAAGAACAAATATATCTATGAATTGTGAAGACAGAAAAAGAAATCTAGTTTTGCTGTCGCACCTCAAACTGCAAAAGTTACAGCCAAAGTGCATGATACATTTTTAGTTAAGATGGAAAAGGCATTAAATTTGTGGGTAGAAGACATGAGCAGAAGTAGTTGTGATTATGGCAATCTGGTTTGGTTCTATCCATGGTTTCAGGCATCCACTGGGGGATCTTGGAACATATCCCCCAGAGATAAGTGGGGACTGCTGTACATGTATTTTATACCAGTACGACACTGTCTTATGAGTGTAGCTTTGAAATAAGTTTTGAAATTGGGAAGTCTGAGTCTTCCAACTTTGTTATTTTTCAAGATTGTTTTGGCTATTCTTTTCATGATTTGGCTGTTTCTATTTCTCTTTTGAATTGCCTATTTATGCCTGCAGCAAATTACTTATTCATTTGATTTGTGAAAGGAGAAATTTCTCCTAATATCTCATGGCTTTGGGGAATGACATAAAATGAGAATGTGATGTGGGATTCAGTACAGTGTTTTAGCTATTATTTGCCTTTTATTGATTTTTGTGTGGAAAAAATCTAGATTAGGCAAGAGTGTGATCAGAAAAAAATTAAACTTTATTACTGCCATGAGCAAGGCCACCTTAAGACAAAGATGAAATGAATTTAAGAAAAGCAAGCACAGTTGTTAAAAACAGACTGCCTCAGTCAACTTGTCAGTGGTTTCCAAATAGGAAGGTGAATGTATGCCACAATGTGCAATAATTCATTGGTATGTGGAAAAAATATTAAAAAGTTGTTTTTTAAAATGATAATTAAAGGCAAATTAATTAAACTCCATAAGTAAAAGATAGTTGATTACAATAAGAAAACCCATGAACTCAGAATGAGTTGTTCAGCATTTGAATCTTAAAGCCATAATGTACTGATTGTATAACCATAAGTTTCCTCTTCTGTAAAATGACTGTAATCACAAGATCTCTCTCTCTCTCTCTTGATGAAGTCTTACTCTGTCACCTGAGCTGAAGTGCAGTGGTGTGATCATGGCCCACTGCAGCCTGAAACTCCTGGGTCAAGGGTCTGTTTGCCTCAGCCCCCTGAGTAGCTGGGACCACAGGCATATGCATGACCACACTTGGCTAATTTTCAAATTTGTTGTAGAGATAGGGTCTCATTGTATTGCCCAGGCTTGTTTTGAACTCTTGGTCTCAAGAGATCCTCTCACCTTGGCCTCTTAAAGCACTGGGATTATAGGAATGAGCCACCACAACTGGCCTTGATCACAAGATTTTTATATGTAATCTGTAGGAAACACATGCAAATATAATGGAAGAATTATCAAAAGCAAAATGAATGTGATGTTCTCAAGTCAAGCATAGCTCTTTGATGTGGACCAATAAGGTGGCACCATGATACAAGATTACCTTGGGGAATTTGACACTCTTGAAATTTCCATCTTTTTGAAATACGTTACCTTGACCAACAGGACATCATTCCACTGTTTACAGTATTATCTCCTTGAGGAGCCTTTGCTGGGCTTTTAGGACATCCTTCATTCATGTATCAAGGGCTCATCCCCTCCTTTTCCTTCCACAATAAAATCTACTTCTGAGAAAAAAATTATGTGTTATAGGCAAATAGTGACATTTAACTATTTTCTCTCATTAAAAACATCTATTTCGTGCATATGGTTTATAATGTTTATTATATAGTAATACAGTGACACATGTTTTTATGTTAAAAGAAAAATACCTATATTAGAAGTGTACACTTAAAAATATTTTCCTGATACTAGTGAAACATAAGAGGAAATTGGAGGCCACAGGTCTAATTATGTCTCAGGCCATCCTCATGCATTTTCTTTATTTCTGTGCATATCTTGATAATGACTTAATTTCCTGACAACTTGAATCCAGTTATTTGGCCATCCAATTTCTTCTTCTTTTTCTTTTAGAGACAGGGTCTCACTCTGTTACTGAGGCTGAAGTACAGTGGAGTCATCATAGCTCACTACAGCCTCAACCTCCTGGGCTCAAATGATACTCCCACCTTGGCTTCCCAAAGTGCTGGGATTACAGACATGAGTTAAAACATGTTAAGCAATTAGAACAAAAATTGGCACAAGGAATATACTTAATAAATATGAACTATTATTGTTATTATTATTGTTGTTATAGATAGCATTGCATTGTTTTTTAATGTGAGAGTCTAGCTACAAGTAACCACATTAAAAGCAAATATTTGAAAGACAAATGTTGGTAAGTTAGGACTTGCCTTTATTGGAGCTGTGTCAGGGCAATTGCTTTGTGGACTCACAAATGAGGTACAGGATGGAGAGTGAAGTGAATGGGTCTAACAAACTCAGCAGTCTGGGGCATTTCCGTGAAATTCCCACCACTCAGGCCAGTATCATGGGATCTGAATCAAATCTATTCTGTCCACATCCTCTTTCCATACATTTTGAATGGCACCTTTTTCATTTATTATTGCAGCGTATATGTGGAACACCTCAGGGGAGGGAAATCTTGCAAGAAAAATGATGGCTTACAAAGTTGCCCTGGAGGAAAAAACAAAACAAAAATAAAAGTTCTTGCCTTTGAAATACCTGTCAGCATGTATTTTCTCCTGTGCCAGTTATTGTTTTAGAGAATTTCTCTTCAGAAACATGAGCACAGATTTTTTTTTGCAGGCTTGAAGTTCAAATTAAATAGCTTGAAGTTCCTTGTGTAATTATTTGTAAAAGATTTAAAGAAGAAGAAACAAAAACAATATTCATTTTCCTTCTCTTCTTTAGCAACTTTTGCCAGTAAGCAGATTAATTGAAAATGCTATATTTTAGGGTTTTTTTTCCCCTTGACTCAAATCCCTTGAGAGAATTCTTTGCAATTTAAAAGCTACTATAAAGCTAGGATCATGTTGTTATTGTTTATAACCAGCTCTGGTTGATTGGGAGGTAAAAAGACAACACTGCAGCTGAAATCTTTTTTTTTTTTTTTTTGCTTCTTAGAAAAAAAATAAGCTCTGCTGACAAGAAAATTAGATCATAAAGGAGAAAATGAGACTATATGGTTTATTTTGTAAACAGTACCTATTTAAGAGATAACTTCTTTAATAGGTGTTTTATAGTGCTTCCAGCTATATTCCCTTCTGTCATATTTAGTGAGAAAATTTACAAGGCAAAAAATTAAACACCTTTAGGTTTTTCTCAGGCTCCATGCCTATCTGGTATAGATCTCAACAAAGGTCGATATTATTATCTTGTTTAGAGTTTTAAGGCAATGAACAGAGAGTTATTGTAAATACATCTTTAAACAAGTTTTATAGGCAGGAATGTGCTATATTGAAAGGCAGCAATGAGGTGTAATTTTGTTTTTGAATAGCTGGTGTAGTGGTAAGAGCACTGAACAGGGAGTCCCAGGAGCTAGATTCTAATAATGGCTTTGTCACTAACTAGCTCTGGGTCTTTTTTTTTTTCTTTTTTTTTTGAGATGGGGTTTCACTCTTGTTGCCCAGGCTGGAGTGCAACGGCACAATCTTGGCTCACCACAACCTCTGCCTCCTGGGTTCAAGAGATTCTCCTGCCTCAGCCTCTCGAGTAGCTGGGATTACAGGCATGCACCACCACACCTGGCTAATTTTGTATTTTTAGTAGAGATGGGGTTTCTCCATGTTGGTCAGGCTGGTCTTGAACTCCTGACCTCAGGTGATCCGCCCACCGTGGCCTCCCAAAGTGCCGGGATTACAAGCATGAGCCAACGCGTCTGGCCTGTAGCTCTGTGTCTTTAGGCAACTGACTCTACTTCTCTTCAGTATCTTCATATATAAAATGAGGCTGTTAAGTTGTAACACGGGCATTTAAACATTTTGGTTACAACTCACAGTAAGAAATAAATTTTATATTATAACCTAGTATACTATACGCACATAATATATATGTGTGTATATACATACACACATATATGAATAGACACATAAACATAACGTTTCATGAAAAAATAGTGTTACTCTTTCTGTGTATGGTGCTCTGATATTTTCTAATACATTCAATTCCATTCTATCTATCCTTTTTTTTTTTTTTTGAGACAGTCTCACTCTGTTGCCCAGGCTGGAGTGCAGTGGCACAATCTTGGCTCACTGAAACCTCCACCTCTCAGGTTCAAGCAATTCTTGTGCCTCAGCCTCCCGAGTAGCTGGTATTACAGGTGTGTACCACCACAACCAGCTAAATTTTGTATTTTCAGTAGAGATGGGGTTTCTCCATGTTGGCCAGGCTGTTCTCAAATTCCTGACCTTAAGTGATCCTCCTGCTTTGGCCTCCCAAAGTGGTGGGATAACAGGCGTGAGCTACTATGCCTGGCCTCCATTCGATCTTATTGAAAGAAAAATGCTGACTGAATTGGATTTCACTCATAGGTTACAATCACAGCTTTAGAAACTCTGGGCTAGATAGTTTTAAGGTCCTTTGTAGGTAGAAAAACTCCTTTGCAAGGCCTCAAGATTCTGTTTCATTCTAGAAAGGTCAAGTGACAGACATGGCCAGGCTACCAAGCAAGTGGCCTCACATCAAGTGTGTCCTTGGGGAACCAGCTAAATGCTAAGCTTGTTTACATTGGGTGTTTTTGTAGAACAGAGGCTGAAACTCATCCTTAATTCCTGAGGGCATACTGTCTTAAAACAAGAATCAAGCTATCCACGGCCAGCCTCATTTCCTCTATTTAAGCCTTTCTGATGACTCCATTCTTTATTGCTCTCTTATTTTCCTGAATTCTTGGAGCGATTTTAATCTATATCACTGTTTCTTCAGATTCTAGAATTAATGGGTGTTCTGTGATGAAAGCATTAGTTGAGATTGAAACATGGTGGTAAAGAGAGTTCAGTTCATTTACTTCAAATGAATATTGTGACTCCTTGCTGAGGGAACCTCGTATGCAATATTGACTATACCTGCCTGACCGTGAAAGCCTTCTACAGCCTCCGCTAGACTATAAGCCCGGTGGGAGCAGGAGCTTATTGGTCTTCCCAAACAGTGTCCTCAGCACCTGACACATATTCATAATAATTTGTAGAATGAATCATGTTGAATGTAAACTATTTGCCTGTATTGACATCATTAAAAAGAATGAGTTCATCTGAAGTTGTCTGTGGCAATTGACCTAAGAAAAAAGGAACAAGATATTGGCCCCCACACATCCAGTCTATAGTGGTGGAGCAACTGATCTTCTAGAGCTGAAAATCTCCCTTTCCTTTATTCCTCCACCCAGCATCCTGCTTCCTTAATGAGTGGCTGGAAAATTTCGTAATTTAAGAAAAGGTTGAGAATGGTCCACTGGATTCTGTCTTTCAAATTGTGTATTCTTCTCTATTGTCAATCAAAGGAATCCCTTGTGTTTGAATTTTAGGTTATGGTTTGAGGAAAAGGCCTGGAAGAGTCCTGTGCAAGGGGCTGCTAACTCATCCTGGTAAAAGGCTGGCCCTGCCTGTGACTGTCATGAACAAGGGGATTTCAAGACTCATTGACATGGCAAAATATTGGCCTCTAGTTAGTTTAATCCTTTTATTATTTCAGGGCCAATCTAAATAGTAATTTTAGAGTCAACACATTAACCTCTCTGCTTAGGCGCGGTCAGGAAGAGTAGATGCACATTTGTTGAAATTAAGGATTATAGGCCGGTGTGATGGCTCACGCCTGTAATCCTAGCACTTTGAGAGGCTGAGACAGGCAGATTGCCTGAGCACAGGCGTTCGAGACCAGCTGGGGCAACATGGCAAAACCCCAGTAAACTACAAAAAGTTAGCTGGGCATGGTGGTGCGCGCCTGTAGACCCAGCTACTCTGGAGGCTGAGCAATTTTGGAGAATTGCTTGAGACTGGGAGGTGGAGGTTGCAGTGAGCCGAGATCGTGCCACAGCACTCCAGCCTGGGCGATAGAGTGAGGCCCTGTTTCAAAAAACAAGAAAAGAAATTAAGGATTATATAATAATTATAACAATAATAGTAGCGTAATACTGAATTTTCATAGCAAGTTACAAACTGGCAGATAGTAATATACATATAAACATATA
Organism: Homo sapiens; assembly: GCF_000001405.40. Lineage (NCBI taxonomy): Eukaryota > Metazoa > Chordata > Mammalia > Primates > Hominidae > Homo > Homo sapiens. The sequence continues at coordinate 54,102,972 of NC_000018.10, read as the reverse complement.
TAAAAATTTTTATAGTCATTTTTCATCCACTTATGAAGGGGCATTGTTCTTATTTTACAAGTGAGCAAACTGAGGTTCATTTAATGTGATTTGCCTATCTAGTAATTACATCCAGGAGTTGGAGGAGTTTAACTGAAGTATTGTCTTCAGTTAAGCCTCTGACTGTGTGGTGCTGCTGGAGTATGAATTATTGCTTTTTTCCCCCTTAATTTTTGGTAAACATTTAATTGAAATATGACATAAATAAAGAAAAGTCTGCATATGATGAATTTTCACAATGTGAACACACTCATCAAACCAGCACCCAGAGCCTGTCCAATCCCTCAGAGGCCCCTCTCATGCCCTACCCCAGGGATTAGGTCTTCCCAGCCTCTGCTGCCAAGGAAAACCCTTGTCCTGCCTTCTGACAGCATCATTACATTTGTGTGTTTTTGAACATACATGATTGAAATAAAGTGTGTACTCCTTTGTATATTTTTAGAAAAGAAAATATTAAGAGCTTATACATATTTCTTTAGTAGAATATCCATATTATTTCAGATGATTTTAATTGGTTCCCTTAGATGAGCTCTTTTGTTCTCCCCTGATGAGTCAAGAAGACTGGCTTTGAGATGAAGATGAATACACTTCTGTCAAAGGGAAGTTATGCTTGATTCGGAGCTCTGTTTGAACAGGTCAATTAATCAGATCATAGTGGTAAAATACTGCCACTTTCAGGAATCATTGCAGGTGGTATTAAATTATAAAGTCTAGTCTTGATGTTTATGAATAACTCATAATAAATAAATAGACTTAGCATTTCTACAGAGTTACTAATAGAGTTTGACTTATTCCTGTGGGCTGATTTAATGTGTTCAATCAGCTGTCAGGAATGGGTGCCCAGGAAGCCTTGCCGGGGAACGAAGTCTAGAAGGGGCATTTCTGCTAAGGGAGGATGGTGCTTTGCTCTTAATGGATAAAACCCCCAGATCTTACAGGTGAATCACATGGAGCTTATTGGCTTGGAGACTCTCCTCATTCTATGGACAGTTGATTTTAGCAACCAAACAATTTCATTTTCTAATATATCTAGAGAGCTATCATTATAGTTTAAGAGGGAGTCACAATAGGCTGTATCTCAGGCCCTTAGTTTCCATGTCTGTGAAATGGGGATGATAAGAACTGCCTGACAGTATTGTGAGGATTAAATGAGAGAATCCATGTGAAGCATTTAGAATAGCACCTGTCACATGATAAGCACTCAGTCAGTATTATCTACTAGAGATAGACTAATGGACAGGTAGTAGTGCAATGAACTAAATGTGTCCCCACAAAATATATATGTTGAAATCCCAACTTCCAATGTGATGGTTTTAGGAGGTGGGACCTTTGGAAGGTAATTAGGTGATGAAGGTTGAACCTCTCATGAATGGGATCAGTATCCTTCTACAGAGAACCCCAGGAAGCTCTCTTGCCCTCTTTTCGTCATGCGAGGGCACAAGATGGCAGTTTGCAATCTGGAAGCATGGCCTTAGCAGAACCTGACCATGTTGGTACCCGGCTCTTGAACTTCTAGCTTCCAGAACTGTGAAAAATAAACTTCTGTTGTTTGTAAGCCACTCAGTCTGTGGTACAGATGCTCCTACCTTACAGTAGGGTTATGCAAAGTCAAAAAATTCTAAGTCCAACCATCATAAGTCGGGGACCATCTGTACTTTGTTACAGCAGCTGGAACTAAGAGAGATGGACTAGTTCACCATATGGCTGCCCACATGGTGTTTTCTGAGGAGTTCCAAGAAAGTTCCATCTATAAAAAGAATTTCTGAAAACTGTCATCATCCATAAGAGATTTACTATCGGTTTTGTTAAATAGCAGGGCAATACCTCAGAGCACAGAGACGTCAGCCAACCTACTGTGACTCACTCACTCAACCTCTTCTCATATTGCTGCTTCTTTCCAGGTCTCTTCATTGTTCTGTTATCTTATAGAGGCTGCTAATGCTGACTGTCTATTTTTAGACCAAACCTACTCTCTTGAGCTCTATATACCTGTTTCCAGTTGTCTGTGAGGTAATTTCATTTGAATATTTTACAGATACCTTAATCTGATCATGTTCAAACCTGGACTCCCTATCTTCTCCCCTTCATCTGGATTAATTAATTAATGAAATTATTCACTCACTTGTGCACTCATGATAAATATATGAAACTCCAGTGCCAAGCTAGGCACTGGGAACACAGTGATGAATACCGTGGACTTGGCCCTTTCCTCATGAAGCTTGCGGTCCAGGGAGGGGCTCAGTTTGGATATGGAAAGAATTATAGGGTCATGAAGTCAATGCTGCAATGGGGCAGTGCATGGGGCTCATAGAACAATTAATTAATCCAGACTTAAGCAATCAGGAGGATTTAGCTCCTTCCCTAGCCCACAGCCCTTCTGTATTAGCCAGGGTTCTCCAGAGGGACTGACCAATAAAATGTATGTGAATATGAAAGGGAGTTTATCATAGACAACTGGCTCATGTGGTTATAAGATGAAGTTCCATGATGGGCCATCTGCAAGCTGAGGAGAGAGAGAAGCCAGTAGTGGCTCAGTCTGAGTGTGAAAACCTCAAAACCAGGGAAACTAACAGTGCAGCCCTCAGTCTGAGGCCAAAGGCCCAAGAACCCCAGGGAAGCCACCAGTACAAGTCCCCAAGTCCAAAGGCAGAAGAACCTGGAGTCTGAGGTACAAGGCAGGAAGAGAGGAAGCGAAGCGTCCAGCAGTGGGAGAAAAAGCAGGAGCGGACTCTGCAGGCTGCTTGTCCCCCTTCTTCTGCTTCCTTCTCCCAGCCACACTGGCAGCCAGTTAGATGGTGCACACCCACACTGAGGGTGGGGTTCCTCTCCCAGTCCACCCAATCAAATGTCAATCTCCTCTGGTGACAGCCTCACAGACAAACCCAGGAACAATGCTTCCTCTGCCATCTAGGCATCCCTCTGCCCAGTCAAGTTGACACCTAATATTAACCACCACATCCTTCAAATCTGGTGAGAGGCTTCATTCCACGCCCCCCAGTACCCTCTCCCCTGACTCCAGCAAGACTCTCCATATTGAGTCACTTACAAACCACTAATACAGGGCTCCCTAACCCCGGGGCTGGCAGACCAGTATCAGTCTGTGACCTGTTAGGGACTGGGCCACACAGCAGGAGGTGACTGGTGGGCAAGCGAGCATTACCGCCTGAGCTCTGTCTCCTGTCAGATCAGCAGTGGCTTTAGATTCTCGTAGGAGTGTGAACCCTATTGTGAACTGTGCATGCAGGGGATCTAGGTTGCACGCTCCTCATGAGAATCCAATGCAGAGAGCAGGGCTCTGGGGTGACAGTACTGAGAAGTGAAATGGAGAGGGCTTAGGAGCAGCAGCAGAGGGGCACTTTGCTAGTATTTGGAGGAACTTAGCAGATGGTATGACAATAGTTACTTATCAGCAAATGGAGTGACCAAGGGATATAGAGAGAGGCCCCCAGGAACTGTGCTGCTGGCATCTCAGGGCTCCTGTCAGCTGTGATTTTTTTTTTTAGATGGAGTCTTGCTCTGTTGCCAGGCTGGAGTGCAGTGGCATGAGCTCGGCTCACCGCAACCTCCGCCTCCCGGGTTCAAGCGATTCTCCTGCCTCAGCCTCCTGAGTAGCTGGGACTACAGGTGTGTGCCACCATGCCCAGCTAATTTTTGTATTTTTAGTAGAGATGGGATATCACCATGTTGGGCAGCATGGTCTCGATCTCTTGACCTCATGATCTGCCCACCTCAGCCTCCCAAAGTGCTGGTATTACAGGCGTAAGCCACCATGCCTAGCCAGATGAGATTTTTATTATTCCTTTATTAAATACCTCCTGTGGGATCATCTAAAGTGGTTCACTTAACAATAAGAGAATTTATTCTCACCATCTTTTCTTCCTTTCTTCATTCTTTTTTCTTTCCTTCTTTCCCTCTCTTCTTTCTTTTTTATTCTAATGACCTTTTCAAAATTACAAAATTACTATATATGCATTAGCATATACGCAAAATTAGTATATGTGCGTTGACAGTAGAAACTTACAGACAAGCAAAATTTTGAAAATAATGATTGTATTCTTTTATCAGGATTTCCATAACAAAGTGCTACAAACTGGGTGGCTTAAAACCACAGACATCTCTTTTCTCACAGCCTGGAGGCCAGGAATCCCACACTGAGGCCTCGACAGGGTAGCTCTCTGGAACATGCAAGGGAGAATCCTTCCTTGCCTCTTTCTAGATTCTCCTGGGGCCAACAAGACTTGGAGTTCCTTGGCTGGCAGCTGCATCACCCCAATCCCTGCCTGTCAGCACGTGGCCCTCTCCTTGTGTGTCTGCCATCATATGGTCCCTTCCCCTGAATGACTTCCTCCTCTTCTTATAAGGATAGCATTCATCTTGGCTTAAGGGACGATTCCAGTGTGACCTCATCTTAGCTAATCACATGTGCATTGAACCTGTTTTCAATAAGGTGACATTCCGAGGTACTAGGGATTAGAATTTCAACATATCTTTTTGGGAGACATAGTTCAAACCATAACAAATAGTTTCCTGCCACTCAGAGATAATCACTGGCAACACTTTATTGAATATTTTTCTAGATCTTTTAAAAAATGCATGTGTATATATATGTGTATTTTTTTAACCAACATGAACTATATATACTGTTGTGTAAGGCTACTGTGCTTTTTCTTTTTTAGTTAGCGATCTAAGGTGATTAACTTTTGTTATCTGATTTCTTTTGTTTCACTTTGTAAGCCTTGTTTTCTGGCTTATTTGCTGTGATTTTTAGCCATTATATCAGAAATGTGAACCTGTAGTACTTTTTTGAATTGCGAAGCATATTTTCTGATTATTAAGGAACTTGCTGGGTTCCCTGTGGGGATAAGAAAGAAAAAAAAACAGATTTAAAGTCCCAATTTCATTATGCATAATCCATGTGAGCATGTCCTATGGACATTTCCTCTCTAATTGACATTCAGAAATCGAGGGCCAAGCTGAACACCTACTATCTACCCCAGCGGAAGAGGGCTGAGGTCAAGTGTGACCCTCCTTGGAATCTCTCTGATTAGATTCAACGAACTGTATGCCTAATGAAAGTTCCCATCTAAAGGCTCATTTGTTCAGAGGAACTTTTTCTTAACCTTTCTTTTCTCTACCTAATGCAAATGTCTGCAAGGGGCTGCAAAAGAAGAAAGCTTTGCTGTTTAAGCATAATCTAGATACTTGCACAAGTGAACTAAAATAAAATGCGACATATTAGAAAAGAGAGGATATTAGCTCATTTTTGTTTTCCATTTTTCTTTCTCTCTCTTTTCCCCTATTTGTAAGGAAGATGCTAAAACTGACCCTGGTGCTTTTCAGAAATAAAAACATGTTTTCTGCCTTAAAAGAGAGGAATACATATGTTTATGATGGCAGGGATCACTGAAAGAGAGATGTCCAGCTGAGCTAATGGAAAATTGATCCTCCAGTGTTCAGGTGTGTAATCCCTCTGAGACAGAGGTTTGGTTAGGAATGTTTTGCAGAGAGAAAGTGGTAATCACCAATGTGAAAGGATTTGTGAAATATTGGGAATAAACACCCTGGCAACAAATATGTATTTTTTCTACTGACCCACCAAAATGCCTGAAATTATGACAGTATATGCACTTCTTGGGGAGATGTCATTGAAGGACAAGTTTAAAACACAAAGGTTATCTGTGCACATACAATCATTGTCTTCAGTCATGTGATACCTGTGCAAGCTTGGGATCATTAGGGTCAACTAATGCAGAATGGGACATAGGGGTTAGAACCCAGGGGTAAGTTCTGTTGGGAGATAGAGACCAAGAGCATGTGGGCGTTTAATTGTCAAGTGCTACAAATAAGTGGGCATCTTAAGGGAAGCAAGAGTTTAGGGGCTTAGAATGAAAGTAAGAGGGAAGATGTGGCTCTGAGAAAGCAGATGTAATGCTACTGAGCACAAAATGCAGCACCAACTGCCTGGCTTCACATCTGAGCTCTACCACTTACTAAATATGAGACTTTAGTCAAGTTATAGTCTCAGTCTCTTTGACTTTAAAGTGGGAGTAATAGTAGAACCTACCTCAAGGGGCTGATGTGAGGATTAAATCCAATAACGAATGTAACATGCTTAATGCAGATCTTGGAACATAGTAGATGCCCAAGGAACATTAGCTACTACTATTACTAACGTTGACATATCAGAGGAAATGTGTTTAGCACCAGCCTAGAAACTTTTAGCAGCATTACAACTTTTAATTCTCACAATAATTTTCTTTTCTTTTTTCTTTCTTTCTTTCTTTCTTTCTTTTTTTTTTTTGAGATGGGGTCTCGCTCTGTCACCAGGCTGGAGTGTAATGGTGCAATCTTGGCTCACTGCAACCTCTGCCTCCTGGGTTCAAGTGATTCTCCTGCCTCAGCCTGCCAAGTAGCTGGGATTACAGGTGCATGCCACCACACTTGGTTAATTTTTGTATTTTTAGTAGAGACAGAGTTTGTCCAGGCTGGTCTTGAACTCCTGACCTCAGGTTATCTGCCCACCTTGACCTCCCAAAGTGCTGGGATTACAGGCATGAGCCCCTTCACCTGGCCTAATTTTCTACTAATATCTAATTTTAGATATGAAGAAATCGAAGCTTACAAAGGTTAAATAATGTGACCAATTTCAAGCAGCTAATAAATCCCAGAATTTGAATTTGAATTAAAATCCCTCCAAGGCTCTGTAGGTCGAGGTGTTGACCCTGACAGCAGCTAGTGTCTTCAATGAGTGGCCGCAGCTAACCTCCAAGGCCAGATATCTTATGTAGAGTTCTCTAGATGCAAAATGCAAGATTTGGCTGCAAGTGAGGGAGAACCTTCAGGAAAACCTGTAAGAGAGTGAGGAGAGCAGGAGAGGAAGGGGAAGGAACTGAGTGAGGGTGTGGTCTCAGGGAAAGTCTAGTCTTGGCATGGTCCATGGGAGAAGAAAGGGTCAAGAAAATAAATCAAACACACACCACTGCTGTCTCTCCTTCAGGTAAACAACTGGCCTTGTGTGCTCATTCAATCAGTCATTGGCTTTGGGCTGTCTCCCTCTCCTTTCCCCTTCTCCTCCTGGGTGAGGTGGCTCCTGATCATAGGCAATTATCTGGAGAAGTGGGCAATTTCCAATTCTCCAAGCAGCTGGAATGGGTATATCAGCCCAGATGATCTGGGTAGGGTACTGTCTTACTCCATTTGGTCTACTATAACAAAATGCTATAGATTGGGTGGCTTATAAACAACAGAAATTTATTTTTCATGGTCCCAGAGTCTGGGAAGTCCAAGATCAAGAATCCAGAAGATGCTGTGTCTGGTAAGGGCCTGCTTTCTGGTTCATGAACCATTGTCTTTTTGCTGTGTCTTCACATGGTAGAAAGGGCAAGGGAGGCCAGGCACAGTGGCTCCTGCCTGTAATCCCAGAACTTTGAGAGGCCAAGGTGGGTGGATTGCTTTAGGCCAGGAGTTCCAGAGCAGCCTGGATAACATGGTGCTATAGATTAGTAGAAACCCCATCTCTATTAAAAATATAAAAGTTAGTTGGGCGTTGTGGTGCACACCTGTAATCCCAGCTACTCAGGAGACTGAGGCATGAGAATCACTTGAACTTGGGAGGTGGAGGTTGCAGTGAGCTGAGATTGCACCACTGCTCTTCAGCCTGGATAACAGAGTGAGACTCTGACTCACAAAAAAAAAAGGGGGTAGAAAGGGAGAGCTCTCTTGGGTCTCTTTTATAAGCACATTAATCCCATTCATGAGGGCTCTGAGAATTTTGGGAGGACACAAACATTTAGATGGTGGCAAGTGCCAATGCCAACTGTTACACCAGGACAATCAGGCAGACAAAGTGAAATAGGGTCAGTCTGGGAGGAGTGTTACTTGAGGCAGCCTGCAGAAATACTGCCATTATGGAATATGAGCCCTAATAGGAGGAGTATTCATATTCATTGAGTTTCAGAGTCAAGAGAAAATATAATAAAATAATAATACATGATGCTACTGCTAAATCACAAAGTTGTGAAAAATCTGGTGAGGCCAGATGAGGTGTGAGGGCTGAGATCAAGGATGCCCCTTCTTGAAACTCTCAGCTCAGAGGCTCATCTATAGTCTTAAGGAAACATGACTAAGTGAAATGGAGAGAGAGAGAGCGACCCTAGTCTGTGGCTCTCAGCATGCGCTTCAGGGTACGTGGAGTTGCTTAAGAGGCTGAGCAACATCTCCACTAGCAGGTGGTGGGCCTAACCTGAGAACAGGTGGAGCCAGCCTGTAATGGTGTCAGAGGCTTGTGGGTAAGTGGAGCATAAACCAAAGTTTCATTTCTAGTTCTGTACCACACTCCTTGCCTGAGCTCCTTTACCCTGTGGATAGTGGCTTTCTCATCTGTAAAATGAGGATGTTCCCTCCGCTCTAAAATGTCATTGTATTTTGTTTGCACTCATACCAAACACCACTAAAGTGCAGCTTTCACCGAAATTGGATATGACAGTTTAAATATGCTTTGCCAATAATAAACGATGGGTTTACTGCTTATTCTTTGTGTTTCACTTTGAAAAATCAATGAAAAGCTTTGAAAAATTAATTTTAAATAACACAGAGAGCACATGTTTTGGTAGAGATGGATGGTCATAGCAATGGAAGCAGTCTAAGGTGGTGAGAGAGCCCATGAGGCTGACTGGTCCCTTGTCTTTGGGGCAGGCCCAACCATCACCACTCCAGACAGGCAAGAATCACATCGCTCAAACAGGGTAGGTGGAGGGCCATCTGATGAGGTTGTTGCTTCATTCAGAGCAAAATGGTAGGCCAGGCACTGTGGCTCATGCCTATAATCCTAGCACTTTGGGAGGCCAAGGTGGGTGGATCACCTGAGGTCAGAAGGTTGAGGCCAGAGCAAAACCGTAATCTCTAAGTGAGGGCTACTGCCTTAGTGATCTATTAGCAGAGTCCCAGAAACAATAATTTGCCGTTAATGAACATCGGTAGCTACAATGATTTTTAGAATCTCTGCTGGTGCCTTTGCTCATTTAAAAGATAGCCTTTACAAGAACAGTATCCCTTTGGTCTTCTCTGGCTTCACAGTGTCCTTTCTTTCTGCTTGTCTGTCTCCCTGATTCCCAACTGCTTAGACTGACTTACTGATATGGTTTGGATCTGTGTCCCCAACAAATCTCATGTTGAATTGTAATTCCCAGTGAGGGAGGTGAGACCTGGTGGGAAGTGATTGGATCATGGGGGTTGAGTTCTCATGAATGGGTTAGCACCATCCCCTTGGTGCTGCTCTTGTGATAGTGAGTTGTTAAGCTGTTTAAAAGTATGCAGCACCTCCCTGCTTGCTCTCTGTCCCTCCTGCTCCGGCCATGTAAGATGGGTCTGCTTCCTCTTTGCCTTCCACCATGATTGTAAGTTTCCTGAGACCTCCCCAGAAGCTGAGCAGATGCCAGCATCATGCTTCTTGTACAGCCTGCAGAACTGTGAGCCAATTAAACCTCTTTTAATGATAAATTATCCAGTCTTAGGTATTTCTTTATAGCAATTTCTTTATAGCAATGTGAGGATGGTCTAATAGACTTATGCTAATTGAAAAGTAGCACTTGAATATCGTGGTCTAAATGATGTGCTAATACTTGTCTGGTGTCTCTTGAGTGTGACTTAGGGATGCTCAAAAAAAGAAAAATTCAGAGGAGAACCTTGAGCTGACATCCTCTGGTATCGAATGAAAATATATCCTTTGAGCTTATAGCACTAAGTGGCAAGTAATGTATGGATTGGAATGCTTTTTAAACCCCTACTCTGCCTGATCTCTTCTTCAATAAGGAACATAGAACCATGCTTATGTCATTTTTTGAGTATTTTATCTATCATAGTTATATGTTTGGAATTTGCTTGTAACTCACTGACCCATATAGATTTCTTAATTATGTTGACCTTTGATGGTTAAGATAATTCTTCCCTGAGAGTGCTGGGGTTAAGCCTCTGTCTTAGTCTGTTTGTTGCTATAACAGAATACCACAGTCTGGGTAATTTATAAGAAACAGAAATTTATTTAGCTCATGTTTCTGGAGGAAGGAAAGTCCAAAATCAAGGGGCTGGTATATGGCGAAGGCCTTTGGACAGTGTCATCAAATGGTGGAAAGTGAGACAACAAGTGAGCACATGCCAAAAAGAGAGACACCAGGGGCTGGACATGCTTTTCTAATATATAAAATTTTGATATTTTAGAAAAATTGGAAGAAACAGACGTGCTTTAAAACAACCCACTCTATCAATAACTAACCCATTTCCATGATAATGAATGACATTAATCCATTTATGAGGGCTCTGTCCTCATTAGGCCCCACCTTCCAACACTGTTGTGTTGAAGGTTAAACTTCCAACACATGAACTTTTGCGGGACACATTCAAGCCACACCAGCCCCTGTGAGCCCAGTTCTCAGCAGCGGCAGTAGGTGAGAAGCAGATATTTTCTTTCACAGTTACTATTATATAAGCATTTGGGCCCAGAGTTTAGGGCTGGGCAAACTGCTCATTCAGTAAAAATATAATAATGTTATCCGGATATGGTGGTGTGTGCCTGTGGTCCCAGCTACTTGGGAGGCTGAGGTGGGAGGATTGCTTGAGCCTGGGAGGTTGAGGCTGCCGTGAGCCATGATTGTGCCACTGCACTCCAGCCTGGCAGACAGAGTGAGAGCAAGGGTCTATCTGTTATCACCTGCTTAAATGGTAGAAATTAAACCAGGGTCCACTTATATAACAAGTATTATTTAGATTTGAATTTTAGAGAAGGAAAACTTAGATCATCCTATAAGCTGGATTGTTTTACACTATATAATAGACAACCTGCCAATAGCTGAGTAAAAACAATGGCCCATTTATCCCCATATTCTATGGGATCCCCCTTGACATGATTCCCAGTGCTCTGATACCTCCCCTGTATATAAGGCTGATCTATTAGGTCACTTGTGCCATGAGGCCATCCCCTTCAATGGTCCTACACCATAAGGCCATCCCTTTCAATTACCGTTTGCTCACAGGCGGGTCTGCTAACAAAGGCCTCTGCCTACCAAACTACCATGAGCTCCTTATCAGTCCTTAGGTTGCAGGCCTGGGGAAACAAATACAATCCAGGCTCATCCTCTCAGTGTGCTCTGTTCCATCTGCCCCAGAGCCCAGGGGAGATGCCTGCTTCCAGAACAATCCCTTCTGCAGTGGAGGTGCTGGTATTTCTTAGCTCCACCTATAATAACAAAACATTTAAAATGTCAGCTGAACTTAATTTTTTTGCCAGTCTAATAAATAGGAAATAGAATTTACAGGAAAGAAAATAAACCAGAGATGGCTTACTTCATAAAATAATTTTATATAGAATTCCTTTTAATCACAAATATGAATATATGTTCTTGATTCATTGGTAAATTTGCTTGACTTTTACGAAAAAGCTGTACACTCTTACCAGCGAAAGGATCCCATTAGAACTCAGAACAAAGTTTCTGCTGTCACTGTTTAATAAAGGCAGAAATAGTCCTAAGGGAAATGATCAAGTGATTTGTTAATTATTAAGGGGAGACCAATGGTTCATTACTGCCTTCTATGAAAAATTGAAATCACCCCCAAAAGAAAAACTCAAGAAGCATTATTACTGTGTAACATAACATTGTGAACTTTCACTACATCTGTTAAACAACTGTCAGAAGCCTGACTGCATATATTGGGTTGAAGAGCTAGAGAAACTAAGAAAATTTATTCTGAAGCAGAACTAAAGCTAATCATGTTTTGACACCTGGACTAATGTCTCCCACTCCAAGGGGGCGAGGTCCATGATGATGATGTCAACACTGGTGAATGTTCATTACTCATTTCTGATGGTTTTGAATACTAATTTTGGTGGTTTTGTTTACTGTAGCAGAACCTGAAATTGAAGATGGAATGTGGCAATTTTACACGCTGTGTACAGCATTAGAACTGTATTAGAATTAGAATTCAGTTGTCACATAAAAAATCCAGTCATGTAGGTAAAGAGCTTGGCTCTTAGGGAATGTTAAAACTGGAAGGATTCCAATTTTCAAAGGAGAAAATTTAGACCTAGATAAAGAGTCACAGACTTATGGAGAGTCTGATTTAGGAATCGTGTTATTTTTCTCCAATCATTGCCTTCTACCACACTCTGCTGAATCTCTTTTTTCTATTTCTCCATAACATCTCAGGTTTATCCCATGGCTTTCCAGTCACATTCAGTTATTAGCAACTCCAGTCGAGCCTAGGCCAATTTAAAATGTCAGTCTTAATGTAGGTTATCGTCTCCCCTCCTCCTAGCATGGGCCAGGCCTGGCTGTGAAGGGCTTGGAATGGGGAAAGAACATAGTCTGCTGTTCCATGCTTTCTCTCTCTTCCCTCTACTGTGCCTCTAGATTTTCTGGGGTTGGGTATGGTAGGAGAAAAACTGATACATATTTTTAACTTAACTGGGTATGGAATTGCAATCCAGTGTTGGGTGTTGCTGTTCAATGCTCTCTCTGTAGCAGGTGTCCAAATGCTGGCCCCTTTGGGGCAAATGTGTGAATCCCTAGGAGGATTTAGTGGGATTTTGTGAGATCCACCTGCAGACTGTTCCTTGCTATGCACAGTCAGCGTGTTTAGTTCTCAAGGTGGGTGGTCTTTGCTGAAGGCTCTTTCAGTGAGGTCTTGTCCTGATGAACAGCTCTCTAGGGTGGGTACTGACAAGATTGCTCAAGCTGATTAGCATCTGAAGTGTCTACTTTGCCCATGGCACAGTCACCATCCTTGTTTGGCTAAATCTGGCAAGGGCTTGCTGCTCTGCTGCAGACCTATCTCTATCTTGCTATTTAAAGTGCAGGGCATAGTAACAAGCCTGTTGCCTAAGCTGATGACCAAGCAGGGAACCAGTGTTAGAATCTCTTTCTTGAAAATCCTTCCACCCCCTTCCTTGCTTTTGCCCTCCCTACAAGGCAAGTAATGCATGACTCTTGGGATTTTCCTCTCTTCCCACCTCCCTCGCCTGTTGCTAGGTAGACCAGAGGAATATAACACAAACTAAGTGATAGTATCACAGTGAGGAGCTATGAGAAACAAAAAGGTGGAAAGGAAATTGAAGTGTACTGTTGCCAAAAGTGAGCTACAGTTTCTTAATTGTGTGGGGATTATCTTGATCAAGTCTTGTGCTGAATCTTGCCACTGCATCTGTTTCAGAGGCCAGATTTTCCATAGCTCTCAATGATTTATTGCTCTTCGTGGTAAATGCACTGCAGTAATGAACAAAATGTAATGGACCATGTTGGCAAATGGCATAGCTTGTGACTGTCCTGCTTATGGTTTTCTAAATTCAGTGCAATGGTGTTCTGACCACTTAAGAAGCTTTAATTTCATTTTAAAAGATACATTATAATACTTTCTTGAATTTGTACATGTAAAAGCATACTAGGTAGCACATTCTCTCAGGTGCTTTTTGTCACTTGTTTAGCATGTAACACTCAAATATTCCCTAGTGTCCAGGCCAGAAGACAATTGGTGTTAATTTAGGTTTACCATAATTTTTGTGAATCCTACTGAAGAGTTTTGCAAATAAGGTAATGTGCTTATATCTAATATAAGTGTTCAATGGCTTGACTCATTTGTCAAATATTATTAAAGAATTGCTATAAAATATCTTTTTAGAAACTATAGAGCTTATGATTGGAATTTTGATAAAATGTCATGTTTTTCAAACTAGATTTTAAATTTTAAATCATCCCTTTTAACATTATTTAAAATAATTTTCTCTGAAGTCCAAGTTGAAACAAAAAGTCATTGGAGTCAGACATGACAGTGTTTAAATTAGGCTCTGCCATTTACAGACAGAGGCTACATGGTCAACCTCTGTGTACTTCGGTTCCCTCATCTATAAAATGGGGATAGTAATCACTGTCACGTAGAAAAGCTTTGAGAATTATTTAAAGACTATGTGAGATGCTCAGAAGAGCACCCTGCCCACTGCACTCAGACCTTCTGTTACAGCCACCATTGGCTCTTGCGGGACTTGGATGGCACTGCTGACCTCAATTCTTCATCCTCCCTGGGTCTCTGCTCTTTGCCACGTGACTTGCAGTTTTTTTTTCCTTTCTTTCTTTTCTTTTTCTTTTTCTTTTTCTTTTTCTTTTTTTTTTTTTTTACTACAGAGCTAGAGCTCATTGCCCTCTCTTCCATCCTAGTTCAGTCACATGACTGGCATCAGCAAATGGGACATATAGAGGCCTGAAAAAGCATGTATGTGTTTTCATTTTCTGTATTGATTCTCTCCTTTCCCTACCCCCTATGAGAAAGATTGGAGGATGGAATGAAGAGGGGCCAGGCTGTCCCAGCCATTCCAGGAGAGGCCATCCTAGAACAGCTGGACTTCGGCCTACTGCTAGGCATGGGTTGTTAGTCCAGCTGGGACCAGTCTAAATCACTGCTCAGCACAATTGGAAGCTATTGCATGCTGATTGTCTTAAGCCACTGCATTTTGTGGTGGTTTGTTCGGCAGCCTATTGTGCCAATAAATAATAGATACAGCCATGAGCAATTCTTGGTTTGAATTTGTGGCACCAATCTTCTTATGGGTGTATGGTTTATCTTCCCAGCTAGATTTATATCTCTTTGTTTTTTCTACAAGACAAGCTTCTTTTTATCATACTTTGTGATTGTAGGTACTCAACAAATGTTTCTCAGCAAATGATAATATATTTGTCTATTAATGGAATCAGCTGTGGCCTTCTGCCAAACATACTTAGACTTAATTTTCAGCTCTGTTATTATTATTATAATTATTAATTATTTTGAGACAGAGTCTTGCTCTGTTGCCCAGGCTGGAGTGTAGTGATGTGGTCTTGGCACACTACAGCCTCAACCTCCTGGGCTCAAGCGATCCTCCTACCTCAGCCCTGCACTTCCACCCCCAGTAGCTGGAACTACAGGCATGTGCCACCACACCTGGCTAATTAAATTTTTTCTTTTTTTGTAGAGACGAGATTTCACTACGTGACCCAGGCTGGTCTCAAACCCCTGGGCTCAAGCGATCTTCCCACCTTGGCCTCCCAAAGTGCTAGGATTACAGGTGTGAGCCACCATCCCCAGCCTGTTGTTTGAGTGATATTGAAGAGATTTTTCTAATATCTCTGATATTGTTTCCTTACCTACATATGCAAATAATAATAATAATGATAATAGTGTTTTTTAAATTAAGTGAGCTAATGTGTACAAAAAACCAGAGTAGGCACTTATAAAAGCAAAAATGTGAGTGGCTTCTATGGATTCCAACAAATGGGCTTGAGAGCTTATTTGGAAGTCCAAGCAGGGGATTGCTATTCCTTTATCTTTCATCAAAGACTGATGTTCCAACATTAGAAAATTAGTCTTTACAGCCTTGGTAAAGACATACTCAGATAGGTCAATTGGATCAACAGGGTGACAGATGCCCTGATCTATTCACCCCCACCATTTCTTAGCCACTCTCCTTCAATTTCCTTTCCATCCTCTCCACTTTCTCATCCCCAACACACCCAGTACCCTGCTATGGTCTGCTGGCTGCCTAGGTCCCTCCATGGAAGTTTTCTTCTGGGTGGAAAATGACCCATGCTTCTACTCTCTTACTCTTTCCCACCAAATTTCCTTCTTTTCAAATGCAGGTTACATATTCTGCTCATTCTGGAACATGCCAGAAGATGCTTGCGAGTCAACTTCTTTTTTTATGGTGGTAAAAGACACAAAACAGAAAACTTACTATTTTAACCTTTTTGAAGTGTACATTACAGTAGTGTTAACTACATGTACCTTGTTGGGCAACTTATCTCTAGAACTTTTTCATCTTGCAAAACTGACACTCTATACCCCTTGAACAACTCTCACTTCCCCCTCCCTTGTGGATTACCTTTTAAAGAACAGTTGCAATGCTGAGCAGGCATTAAATGTAGAGTGGCAGGTTCCTGGGGTTTCCTGCTTTGTTGGGCGGGCCTTTCCTCATTCCCTCTTGTTATAGTTCGGATATTTGTCCCCATCCAAATCTCATGTTGAATTGTAATCCCCAGTGCTGGAAGTGGGGCCTGGTGGGAGGTGTTTGGATCATGGGGGTAGAAATTTCATGGCTTGGCTTGGTGCTGTTTTTGTGATAGTGAGTTCTCCAGAGATCTGGTCAATTAAAAGTGTGTGGCACCTCCCCCCGCCACTCTCTCTCTCTCTCTCTCTCTCACTCTTGCTCCTGCTTCCACCACGTGTTTCACTTGTCCCCCTTTGCCTTCCACCATGAGTATATTAGGTTGGTGCAAAAGTAATTGTGGTTTTAGTTTCAATAGCAAAACCCGCAATTACTCTTGCGTCAACGTTATAGCTTCCTGAGGCTTCCCCAGAAGCAGTTGCTGATGTTACGCTTCCTGTACAGCCTGCAGAACAATGAGCCAATTAAACCTCTTTTCTTACAAATTACCTAGTCTCAGGCATTTTTTTGTAGCAATGCAAGAATGGCCTAATACACCCCGCAACTCATGTTTGATAGATAGCCACTGACTACAGCTTTATATTCAACAGGCTTTGCTTAGAAAAGTTGTCGAATTCTAGAATTATAATCTCCACAACTATCTGAAAAAAAGCATGCCCAAACCTTTGATCTGAATAAGGAGTTTCCAAGGGTGAAGATACTCATATTGCAGGCAGTGTAGCTTCCTGGCCCTGCTGTGAGGAAGTGGGTTTGGGTCTAGGCATGGGACAGCATTGGCTGCTGTTCCTTTTCCCTTTCCACTTATCTTGCATGTTTGTGTTAGTGTTTTTTTCCTCTTGTATGCATGTGCACTCTCTTTTTCATCTTTCTGGTTCCTCAGTGTTGACTTTTTCAGTGAGGCTCCAAATGCATTAGCTCATTTAAGGATCAATATGTATATGAAGTAGGCATTATTATCCCAATATTTTTGGATGAGGAAATAATGTGTTATATAAGTTTTATAAAATTTGCTATACATTTTGACTTATATTTTGGAAAATAACTTACCAAAAATTCAGAATTTGATTATGGTTCATCTCTGTTCCTTAGAAGCTCTTCACCAAAGAGTGTTGCATGGAATGGTTGGCCCTGTGAGATGCTCTGTGAAATGGTCAAATCACCAAATAAGCATCCTAGTACTATGGGAAGAGCCACAGGTGCATCACCATATAAAAGACCAGGAAAAGAATGCCAGGAAAGAGAATTTACTTAACTCATTATTTCCCAAACTACTATGCCCACAGAAATATTATTTTTTGCCCCCTGTCAATGGAGCTAATACTCTGTAGTATGCATGCTGGGCAAAGCCCCTAATGCAATTGATTTTTAAGCAAACACATTGAAATGTGTATCCAAGTATACTCTATCTTATTTGGAAGAAGTCACCTTGGGGGAGGTGGGAGAGGCTGTTCATTCATCTCAGTAATGCCGTTCTAAACCTTAAGATGTTTAAATGTTTTTAAAAACTATTCTTTTGGGATTCCCTTTACAGCCAGAGCTACAGAGGAAAATCAATCTTATTACTTCATGATCATACCTTGTTTCTGACCAAAAGTGTTTCTGTGAATTTGGTCACCCATCTCATTCACTAGAATTGGTATTGAATAACCTTATACTTACAAAAACCAAGTCTTTGAAGCATGAAGAGTTTTCAAAGGTGAAGATGCTCATATTGAAGGTAATTTAGCTCCCTGATTGCATGAAGGTGAAGTGCTTTTATATTTTTTATTTTTTTTAGAGACAGGGTCTTGCTCTGTTGCCCAAGCTGGAGCGCAGTGGTACAATCATAGCTCACTGTAACCTTGATCTCCTGGGCTCAAACCATCCTCCTGCTTCAGCCTACTGTGTAGCTGAGACTACAGGCACATACTGCCACTCCTGGCTAAGTTTTAATTTTTTTGTAGAGATAAGGGTCTTGCTATGTTGCCTAGGCTAGTCTCAAACTCCTGGCCTCAAGTGATCCTCCAGTCTTTGCCTCCCAAAGTGCTGGGATTACAGGCATGTACCACTGCACCTGGCCAAGGTGAAATATGTTTGAGTCAAGGCATTGGGCGGCGTTGACTGCTTTGCACCACCACCCAAAAAGGAGCTTTTTTCCTTAAGCTTTCTGTTCTTTTGGATGCCTCTGGCCAGCTCCTCCCATCAATTTCCTGGTTCTTGACTTCATAGAGTTCCCAGCTCTGTTCCATGCTTGGTCTGTGTCCTGTATGTTCCAAATTCTTCTTTGTCCAGGCAATACTTCCAGATTGGTGTGATCTTTTGGCCTTTGTCTTTTGCATGTATCTTACTTTCTAGTTTCATTTGCTTTCTCATTAGTTTTATTGCCTGGTAAAATCCTTTCTAAATTTCTGTCCCTGAGTTAAAATTTCTCAACTGTTTTCCTGAGTGTCCTGACTCCTGGCTGAAGTGTCTTGTTATTTCCTTGACTGGACATCTCTAGTATCCTAACATGGCCACTATATATTTTCCACTGGGATTGGTGTCATGTAGAAAGCATCTAGTTTGGACTTTTAAATACAGAATTTAGTAATTTGGCATCTATGTGTTGAATGACTAATGTATGCCAGGTACTGTTGTGGGTATTAGGGATTTAAAAGTGGTGGTAAGACAATTACTACCTTATAGGTGCAGTAAAATAAAATAGATACTGAGAACTACATAAGTGGACTGAGTTTGTGATAAGGAATAAAGATATTGCAAAGAGATTAATGTAAGCATAGAACTAGAACATATTCAAGAAAAGGTAAGGTGTTCATTATTACTGAAGTCAAGGGTATAGGGTCTAAGATTACATACAGCAAGAACCAGGACTGGAGAGGAAGATGGAAATAAAATTAGATCAGGTAAGGAGTGTATGTAGTTTGTAGGGAAAGGGAATCCTTTAAAGGTTTAAGTAAAAGAGAGATGTGATTGTCAGACTGTTATAAATCTGATTGCTGTGTGGGTGGGTGGGGGCTGTGCAGGGAGCTGGAGGGGAGAGGAGACATGTGACTAAGGCAGGAGTGAAAGGTTGCATGTCTGAAACAAGTCAGGGCAATGGGAATACAGAGGGGTGGATAAGAGAGCTGTTGTGAAGGCAGGTGTATTAGTCCGTTCTCATGCTGCTATAAAGAACTGCCCAAGACTGGGTAATTTATAAAGAAAAAAAGTTTAATTGACTTACAGTTCTGCATGGCTGGGGAGGCCTCAGGTAACTTACAATCATGGCGGAAGGCACCTCTTCCCAGGGCTGCAGGAGACAGAAGAATGAGAGCTGAATGAAGGGGGAAGCCCCTTATAAAACCACCAGACCTTATGAGAACTTACTATTACGAAAATAGTTTGCGGGAAACCAACCCATGATTCAATTACCTCCCATAAGGTCTCCCATGACATGCGGGGATTATGAGAACTACAATTCAAGATGAGATTTGGGTGAGGACACCCATATCATTCCACCCCTGGCCCCTCACAAATCTCATGTCCTCGCATTTCAAAACACAATCATGTCCTTCCAACAGACCCCCAAAGTCTTAACTCATTCCAGCATTAACTCAAAAGTCCAAGTTCAAAGTCTTACCTGACAGAAGACAAGTTCTTTCTGCCTATGAGCCTGTAGAATCAGAAGCAAGTTAGTTACTTCCTAGATACAATGGGGGTATAGGCATGGGTCACACCTGTTCCAAATGGGAAAAATTAGCCAAAAAAAGGGGCTACAGGCCTCATGCAAGTCCAGAATTCAATAGGGCAGTCACTAAACCTTAAAGTTCCAAAATGCTCACATGGAGTCATGCAGATGCAAGAGGTGGGCTCCCATGGCCTTGGGCAGCTCCACCCCTGTTGCTTTGCAGGGTACATCCCACCTCCTGTTTGCTTTCATGGGCTGGCATTGAGTGTGTGTGGCTTTTTCCAGGCACAAAAATGGTGCAAGCTGCTGGTGGATCTACCATTCTGGGGTCTGGAGTATGGTGGCCCTCTTCTCACAGCTCCACTAGGCAGTGTCCCAGTGGGGACTCTGTGTGGAGGCTCCAATCCCACATTTCCCTTCTGCACTGCACTGGTAGAGATTCTCAATGAGGGCTCCACCCCTGCAGAAAACTTCTGCCTGAACATCCAGGCATGCCCATATGTCCTCTGAAATCTAGGTGGAACTTCCCAAACCCCAATTCTTGACTTCTGTGCACCTGCAGGCCCAACACCACATGTAAACCACCAAAGCTTGGGGCTTACACCATCTGAAGCAATAGCCTGAGCTCTATGTTGGCCCCTTTTGCCCATGGCTGGGACACAGGGTACCAAGTCCCAAGACTGCACAAAGTAGCAAGGCCCCAGGCAGTCCACGAAACCATTTTTTCCTTCAAGGCCTCTGAACCCGTGATGGGAAGGGCTGCTGTGAAGACCTCTGACATGCCCTGGAGACATTTTTCCTATTGTCATGATGAATAACATTTGGCTCCTCACTTTGTATGCAAATATCTGCAGCCAGCTTGAATTTCTCCTCAGAAAATGGGTTTTTCTTTTCTATCACATCATCAGGCTGCAAATTTTCTGAACTTTTATGCTCTGCTTCTCTTTTAAACATAAGCTCCAATTCCAAACTATATCTTTGTGAATACATAAAACTGAATGATTTTAACAGCACCCAAGTAATTTCTTGAACACTTTGCTCCTTAGAAATTTCTTCAACCAGATACCCTAAATCATCTCTCTCAAGTTCAAATTTCCACAGATCTCTAGGGTGGGGGCAAAATGCCACTGGTTTCTTTGCATAGCAAGAGTGACTTTTACTCCAGTTCCCAACAATTTCCTCATCTCCAACAGAGACCATCTCAGCCTGGACTTCATTGTCCATATCACTATCAGCATTTTGGTCAAAGCCATTCAAGAAGTCTCTAGGAAGTTCCAAACTTTCCCACGTCTTCCTGTCTTCTGAGCCCTCCAAGTCTCTAGGAAGTTCCAGACTTTCTTACATTTTCCTGTTTTCTTCTGAGCTGTCGAAACTGTTCCAACCTCTGTCTGGTACCCAGTTCCAAAGTTGCTCCCACATTTTTGGGTATGTTTAGAGCAGCAACCTATCCTCTGTGGTACAAATTTACTATATTAGTGCTGACTGGGTAATTTATAAAGGAAAGAGGTTTAGTTGACTCACAGTTCCACAGGGCTGGGGAGTCCTCAGGAAACTTACAATTATGGCAGAAGGGGAAGCAAAGAGGTCCTGCTTCACATGGCAGCATGCAAGAGAAACATGAGAGCCAAGCAAAGGGGGAAGCCCCTTATAAACCATCAGATCTCATGAGAACTTACTATCACAAGAATAGCATGGGGGAAACCATCCCCATGTTTCAATTACCTCCCATTTCGTCCCTCCCATGACATGTGGAGATTATAGGAACTACAATTCAAGATGCGATATGGGTGGGGACACAGCCAAACCATATCATCAGGATCAACCCAAGTTAACGTTTATTACATGGGGATGGAAAGGGAGGAAGGAAATGTATATGACTCTCAAGTTTCTTTATGGATAATTGTCTAGAAAGTCTTGCTGAGACTGGGGACACAGGAGAAGGAGGATGTCTTGGGGATAAAGACGGTTCGGCATGTTTTAAATACCATGTAAGTGTTAAATGGTATTAGCTTAAGGATAGTAATAACAACAACCACAAAAGAATACTCCCAGCTGAGATGCTATTCCAGTAAACTACAATTATACATCTGCACATTTTATTTCTGAAAATATGCTATGATGTGAAATTTATAGAAATGTGATCTACAGACACAAGGGCACAAGAAAGAGAGGAGGATTTAAAAGGCAGATCAAAGAAACGTTTAAGTCAATTTTATCTGTGACCCAGTATGTTAACATCTCTATTTATGCAGTGACTCCCTAGACAGTGATTCATGTTGTTGCTCGGTACATAAAGATGTATGGTTGGGTAAGGCTGTAAAAATTTTTTTTTGAGGAAAGTTACTACATTACAAGTCATAATAAACCTGTATTTTGGCAAAGGAAAGAACAAATTTGTCTACATGATTAGGAAAAAACTCTAGCAAATCATCAGAATACATAGGAGTTGGCAGCATATGCATTTTTTGGTTGTTTTTCAGCAACATATTTATTTCTCCTCAAAGGATGAAAGAAAAGGAAAAGGGAAAGAAAAATCTAAATGAAAACATTGCCAAAAATGAGAGAAGATTAGGTATTTCTCTGTTTATAGTGGAAATGATATCTGCATGTAACATGTTTCACGTTCTGCTACGAAACTAAACTGTTAATAAGGAAAAAACTGTCCAAAAATTCTTCCAAATTATGATTCAGAGTTGAAAAGGGTAAGCATTTAAATGTTAATGACAATAACACCATTACGGTTTTGCCTGAAAATAAATCTAGGTATGAAGAGATCAGCCCATGATTAAAAGAAATTAAGTTTTCATTAGGATTCTGCTTAAAACTCACACCTATGAAATGTCAAGGTCACACACCAACCCTATTCTGCCTCTTAAAGTGTCTTTCAATACAATCTGGTCAAGAACAGAACTGTAAGTTTGGAATTAACTGGAAGTTAACATTTCTATTCATATCAATTTGGTAGGCTGTTTTAATTTTGGTTTTTAAAAATAATTTTAAACTGCAGAAAGGTCGTAAAGAACTCTGGTATGCCCCTCATTCAGATTCACAACTCTTGTCATTTTTGCATTTGATTTATCATTCTGGTTCTCTGTAAATGCATATACACTACATATTATTACTATTTTTTTTTCCTTGAACTATTTGAGAGTAAGCCCCTGTGATGGTTAATATTAGGTGTCAACTTGATTGGATTGGAGGATGCCTGGATAGCTGGTAAAGTATTGTTTCTGGGTGTGTCTGTGAGGGTGTTGCCAGAGGAGATTAACATTTGAGTCAGTGGACTGGGAGAGGAAGACCCACCTTCAATATGGGTGGACAGCATCCAATCAGCTGCCAGCACGGCTACAATAAAGCAGGTGGAAGAAGGTGAGATAAGCTGGCCTGCTCAGTCTTCTGGCTTTCATCTTTCTCCCACACTGGATGCTCAGACTCCAGATTCTTTGGCCTTTGTACTCTTGAACTTACATGAGGGGGTTTGCAGGGGGCTCTTGGGCCTTCAGCCACAGACTGAGGGCTGCACTGTTGACTTCCCTACTTCTGAGGCTTTTGGACTTGGACTGAACCACTGCTGGCTTCCTACCTCCTGAGCTTGCAGACGGTCTATTGTGGGACTTTACCTTGTGATCATGTGAGTTAATTCTCCCTAATAATCTCCCTTTCCTATATACTTATATCCTATTAGTTCTGTCTCTCTGGAGAGCCCTGAGTGATATAACTGCAGACATGCTGCCTGTTACCTCTAAATACTTTAGAACATATTTCATTCAAAGACAATTCTATATAACCACAGTACAGCCATCAAAATCGGAAGTTACATTGATACGTTGTTACTAATTCACAGAATTCATTGAACTTTTTCCAGTTGTCCTAATGATGTCCAGGATATACTCCAGATTTATAAATTTCATTCAGTTATAATGTCTCTTTAAGTCTTCTTCAATTTGGAACAGTCCAGCAGTCTTTCCTTATCATGGTTTTGACTTTTCTGAAGAGTATAGGTCAGTTACATTATAGAATGTTTTTCAACTTGGGTTTATCTGATATTTCCTCATGAATGAGATCATGCATGTTTGTCAGGAACACTTCAAATATGATGCTGTATTCTGCACCATTTCAGGAGACACACATCACATTTCTGGTGATGTTAACTTTTATCTTTTGGTTGAGATGGTTTCCATACCTACACCCATATATTTATAGCAGCACTATTCACAATAGCAAAGATATGGAATCAACCTAAGTGTTCATCAACAGATGATTGGATAAAGAAAATGTGATATACAGATATACACACAATAAAATACTACTCAGCCACAAAAAGGAATGAAATCATGTCTTTTGCAGGAATATGGATGGAACTGGAGGCTATTATCTTAAGTGAAATAACTCAGAAAGAGAAAGTCAAATACGTGTGTTCTTACTTTTAAGTGAGAGCTAAAGAATGTGTACACAATGACATAGAATGTGGAAGAATAGACATTGGGGACTTAGAAGGGTAGGAGGGTGGGAGGGGGTGAGGGATAAGAAATTACAGAATGGGTACAAAACATACAATATTTGAGTGATGGTTACACTAAAAGCCTAGACTTTACACTATAAAATATATCCATGTAAAAAAACTGCATTTGTACCCCCCAAATTTACACACACAAGATGGTATTTTTGGGGTCTCTTCATTATAAAGTGAATTAATACTTATTTATTATTTGTTAATAAATAAGCAATATTAACTTGGATTCTACTATGAGCCTACACTATATCAGTATATATTCATGGGTTCCTACTTTATTGAATATGTTTTCAATAGGTTATGACCAGTTGCTTCCATTATTTATTTTAATTAATTAATATATTTATTTATTTTGAGATGGAGTCTTGCTCCATCACCCAGGCTGGAGGGCAGTGGTGTGATCTTGGCTCACTGCAACCTCCACCTCCTGGTTCAAGAAATTCTCCTGCCTCAGCCTCCTGAGTAGCTGGGAGTATAGGTGCACACTACCATGCTCAGCTATTTTTTTTTTTGTATTTTTAGTAGAGACAGGGTTTCACCATGTTGGCCAGGCTGGTCTTGAACTGATTTCAGCTTGATCTGCCCACCTTGGCCTCCCAAAGTGCTGGGATTACAGGCATGAGCCACTGCACCTGGCCAAGTTACTACCATTATTTATTTTGATGTTCAAATTGTCCCAGATTTGGCCAGCAGGAGCTCCTTTAAGCTGGCTTGTGTGTGATTTTGCCATGTTCCGTCATTCTTAGAGCACTTCCTTACTTTTTCCAGAAAAGGATGTTCCAGGTTCAGTTCTTGCTTTTCTTGCTCCAGCTCCAGAATCAGCCATTTCTTAAAGGAGCCTTCATTCCTTTCAGTAGTGAATGGTTTTTAAAAACCATGATACAGGTGCCAGACATGCTATTGCCACTGGGCTATCACTGCTTCTTGACCTCTTCCAGGATAGAGCTTGGGAATACACACACACACACACACACACACACACACACACACACACACTGTGTGTTTGCCTTTATTCAGTGGTTTGTGTTGTCCCTTGATCAGCTAAATCCACATTACCTAGGAACTTATTAGAAATGAAAGTCCTTGGACTCCACCCCAGACACACTGAATCAGAAACTCTGGCGGCTGGGGGAGGGTGGGGGGCAGTAATTTAATTTGTGTTTTAAAAAGCTCTCCAAGTGATTCTGGCGATGCACATTTATCTTTAAAAACTCCCAATCCACTGATAAATGTGTGTGTGTGTATGTGTGTATGTGTGAGTGTGTGTATGAGGGAATCAGCAGTTTTTAAATTTAGGCACACATTAGAATATGTATATACATAATATGTATTTATATCTATATTTATTTTGATATCTTTCTATGTGTATTAAAAACTGTGAGTACACTTTTGTTCCTCCAATTCCAATGCAACATCAGAGGGATTATTCTAGACTATCCCTTTCCATATTTGTAATTCGCTTCTTTGACAATGAAATACTTTGCTCCTAGTATTCCTGATACACTCATTTGTTAGATAAATTTTCCTGCATGTACACAAACTCTTGATACTGGAAGGAATACCCCTTTTCCTGGCTGCCTTCTTGGCTTGGCCCATAACCATACTGGTCACTTTCAACAGATATTAGAGACAGGGAAGGGGGAAGGAGGAAGCTGTACTAATTTTTAAGAAGACGCTACATGAGGTAAATGGTTTTTAATCAATATATAGAATGCCGGTATTAATTAATTGACATTAATTCGATATTCACTCTTGATTATTAACAGATGAATGTCAGTAAGTTGTTCCATCTTCAGTTGGGGACTGTTACTTTGTCCAGGTTCAGTCTCTTTTTTAGTCATTCAATACCCCTTTTCCTCACCTCCATTATTTTTATCATCAGTTTATTGTTTTCATTAAAATTGAGGTTTGTATCTACTCAATTTAGTCTGTAGACTCTCTTCTGTACACAGATATTTGCTGCTTTCACAACTGATTTTTCCAAAATGCTGTCTCTCTTCTGGATTTAGTTTTCCTACACTGATAGAATTTTTGTGTTGGTATTGCCATTTCTGTGCATTTATTCCACAAACATTACTGAGAACGTATCATGAACTTAACTTGGAACAAGCTGAGTCTGAGTTGCTTTGGGGATGTCTAGTTGATAGTCGACATACAGTCTGGGACTCAGAAGAAAGATTTTTGGGAGTGGAGAAATAAGATAATGAATCTGTATGCATGTAGTTGTAATTAAAGCCACACACTTGAATGAGATCGCCTAAAGAGAAAATGTCAAGTAAAAAGAGAAAGGGCCTGAGATGTATCCTTGAGCAACTCTGATATTTTATGGTTAGGAAGAGAAGGGTGAATCTGAAAAGAAAATAGAAAAGAGATGGTCAGAGTGTTAGGAGAAAAACTAAAAAGCTATGTGTCTTATTAGTCAAAGGGACAGTGTTTTGATAAGGAGGAAGTTTAATGATGCTTGAAGGCCTAGAAAATAAGAACATGTGGTTATATGACCTTTGTGAGGGATGTTTCTATGTAGCAATGGGAGTAGAAGCCAGATTGGAGTAGTTTGAGCAGTAAGTGGAAGAAGAGAAAATAGGGACAGCAAATACTAACAATTATTTTGAGAGCCTGACTTTCCAACTCTCCAAGGAGAGTAGAAGGATAAGATTAAAAGTGAGTCTTCTTTAATGGGAGCTCTGTCTCAAAAAAAAAAAAAAGATTGGGAAAAAATCCAGTGGGAAGGCAGAAAAGACAAAACAGATTATTGTATTCTGTAGTATCCCTGAGAAAGAGGGAGGAGATGGCATCCAGAGGTGGGAGTGTAATCTTTAACTGGAGCATGAATGCAGGCTGGAGGCGAGAATGATAAAATAAGGGCAGGTGTGGCCAATTTGCATATTTGCTATGAGGAGGATGAGTGAGTCCTTGACCAATGGCTTCTAATTTCTCTGTAAAGTAGGAGGTGAGTCATATGCTGAAAGCAAGGAGGGAGCTTGAGTTGGGAGCGTTCAGTGATTTGAGGTGAGCAAAAAAATTCCTAAATAGGCATATGAAATGCAGTGTTGTAAGACTGATGTGCAGAGTTGAGACTGCTTTTGAGTTTGGTGATCATGAATTTGTAGAGGAATTAATTCGCCTTGTTGGGAAAGTTTATTCACTGGTGTTCAGTTGGGTAAAATGGACAATTGTGAATTAGTACAGCCACTGTGAAGAACAGTTTGGAGGTTCCTCAAAAAAACAAAAATAGAGCTACTGTATAATCTAGCAACCCCACTGATGTGTATATATCCAAAAGAAAGAAAAATCAGTCTATCAAAGAGATATCTGCACTCTCATGTTTGTTGCAGCACCGTTCACACTAGCCAAGATTTGGAAGCCGACTAAGTGTCCATCAACAGATGAATGGCTAAAGAAAATGTAGCACTTATACACAATGGAGTACTATTTAGCTATTTTAAAAAAATGACATCCTGTCATTTGCAACAACATGGATGGAACTGGAAATCATTATGTTAAGTAAATAAGCCAGGCACAGAAAGACGAACGTTGAATGTTCTCACTTATTTGTGGGATGTAAAAATCAAGCAGTTGAACTCATGCAGAAAGACAATGGAAGGATAGTTACCGAAGGCTGGGAGGAGTAGTGGGATGGGGTGGAGTGGGAGGGAGGTGGGGATGTTTAATGGTACAAGATAATGGTTAAAATAATGAATAAGGCCTACTATTTGATACAACAACAGGGTGACATAGTCAATAATAATTTAATTGTACATTTAAAAATAACTAAAAGAGTATAATTGTATTGTTTGTAACACAAAGGATAAACTCTTGAGGGGATGGATATGCCATTCTCCATGATGTGATTATTATGCATTGCATGCCTGTATCAAAACATCTCATGTACTCCATGAATATATACACCTACTATGTAACCATAAAAATTAAAAATTAAAAAACAGATTTATTTATTCAGGGTTGGATTTTTGCCAAATGAATGTAATAAAAAAATCTCAAGATATTATTGAAGTGATGTAAAATGTAATCTTAGCTAGGTAAGAGAGTTATGAAAATAGAGGGCTTATAGATTGAGGGAAGGCAGAGAAATCAATGCTCTGGAGGTTGAAGTAGGAGCACTTACATGGAGAAGAGGTGAGGTCAGAGAACAGTATGTCTGAGTTAGCACTTTTGGAGATGGAGCTGTTATGGATATAATTGTGGGAAAGGATGGCTGAAGACCAATGGTGGGGGAGGTCACTGGGAACCAAGAGACTGAGTTAACAAATAAGCCATGGGGCCTTCCAGATAGACAGACAATATACCTATCCATGAGGCCAGTCATATGGTTGATGCCTGGGCATTAGCTAAGTACTTTAACAAGGTCCAATAAATGAGAAAGAATAGACATACTTTATTTCACATTTGAATGTTTGTTAGGTATAGATGCAGCTTTTAATTGTTGATGGGTCTTTGTATTGTGGTAATTTTTCTTGACTTCCATCTCTTCTTCCCAAGCGATTAAACAATTCTTATAATTATTGGCATCTCTAAATTGAATAAATATAGTATTTTTTAAAAACCAGAGTTAAAAATTGGTATAGCATAATTTGAAGTAAAATTTGAAACCTAATTATACCACTTGCCAACTTTGTGACTAACTGGGGTTACTTAAACCATCAGAGGTTCAGTGTCCTCATCTATAAAAAGAAGCATTCACTTTCTTCTAGCGACATGGCAAGGATTAAGTTAGTTAAATCAAATAAAGCTCTTATTATTGTATTTGGCAAGTAGTAAGTGCCTGATAAATGGTAGCTGTTTTTATTTTTCTTATTAGAAACTTCAGTGTTGCCCATAGCAAGTGAACTGCTAGTAGATATTACTGTTGTGGCTTACTCGCTAATGACAGGTCCTTCGCATGCATGATAAGGCTCTGTTGACACCTGTTTCAAGGCACATTCAACTTCAATAGAAAAAAACACAAAAAGCTTGCTCCATTGACTGAGATTCTTATTGTCTCTCTGATGTTATATTCTTGGTTAAGTCATTTGCCAGACCAGAGAGTTACAGTGTTATTGTGATAAAGACTTAATTAGTAAGGGCGCTTTAAAAAATCCCTTCTCTTGTAAAATTATCTATGAGATACAAGGGCTGAGAATTCAACCTTAGATGTCAGGAAGTTCAGATTTACAGTCCTTGCTTCCTACCAGCCTAAGCTTCTCCTGAATTTATGCTTTACTTTGGCAATCATTCACAATTACCTGCAGGGAATATATGGTATCTCCCTATGTACAAAGCACAGATATTTCCAAAACTACCTACAGTAGGAA
The DNA here is from genome assembly GCF_000001405.40 of Homo sapiens. Taxonomy (NCBI): domain Eukaryota; kingdom Metazoa; phylum Chordata; class Mammalia; order Primates; family Hominidae; genus Homo; species Homo sapiens. Next base: position 54,073,504 of record NC_000018.10, on the reverse strand, counting down.
CGAAATATTTGAGTTCCAGGCATCACTGGGGCTATTGTCTAATGCTGCTTTTCTTAACTGATTTGCGCTTTTCTTTTCTCTGATAATTTTACAGTAATATAAGGTTTGGTGAAGAATCTTTTCGGGTCATTTTTATTAGTTGCAGAACATGAGTAGTGCTATAAATATTGTCATGTTTGGAGGACAATAAGGCAGATTCAGTTTTCTTCATAAATAAATCTTACTTGCAAACTGTCTTGGCCACAAATTTGGTCCCCATGTTTATCCATATTTTTCTTCAAAAACAAGGAGCTTTCTTAGAATTCTAGGATATATGGCATTCAAATCTAATTTAAGGAGCCAAACTGTTATAAATTCTGGGGTTTTATTTGCTGAGCCTTATGTTTTGGTACCAGACCGTTTGATACTTGAAATGTCTCGGTTTTCAAATTTGAAAGGAAGGGGTGATATGAGAGACAGTGTCTGAGCATTAAGAGTCAGCCACTTGGTTAATTTACTGAAAGTGATGGTTTCCAAGAACAGAAAACCAAACACTGCGTGTTCTCACTCATAAGTGGGAGCTGAACAATAAGAACACATTGACACAGGGAGGGGAATATCACACACCAAGGCCTGTCAAGGGGTGCGGGGCTAGGGGAGGGATAGCATTAGGAGAAATACCTAATGTAGATGACGGGTTGATGGGTGCAGCAAACCACCATAGCACATGTATACCTATGTAACAAACCTGCATGTTCTACACATGTACCCCAGAACTTTAAGTATATAAAAAAATTAAAATCAAACAAACAAACAAACGAACCAGCTGGAACACAATGACGGGAGATAGACAAGAGCCTCCTCTTCATTGCTTTGGTCTTTAGCTCCTCTAGTTTTCTTCTCTCTTGCATACTCTCTCTCCTTCCTTCCTCTCTACCTCTTTTCAATTAAAAATAAAAAGAGTCGGCCACTTGGGAAGAAAATCAGTATATCAAAGAGATACTTGCAACCCCATTTATTGCAGATCTATTCACAATAGCAAAGATGTAGAATCAACCTAATTGTTCATCAAAAAATGAATGAATAAAGAAAATGTGGTATATATAGATAAGGGAATACTATTAGGCTGTAAAAATAATGAATCATGTCATTTGTAGAATATGAATGGAACTGGAGAAAATTATATTAAGTGAAGCAAGCCAGGTACAGAAAGACAAATATCACACGTTCTCACTCATATTTGGGAGCTAAAAATAGTTGATCTCATGGAGGTAGAGAGTAGAATGATAGATACCAGAAGCTGGGAAGAGTGTGTGGGTGGGTGAGGGGAAGGATAAAGAGAGTTTGTTTAATGGGTACAAATATACAGTTAGATAGAAGGAACAAGTTTTAATGTTTGATAGCAGAGCAGGGTGACTATAGTTAACAACAAAGTATTGCATATTTAAAAATAGCTAGAGGAGCAGACTTGAAATGTTCCCATCATTGGTTGGTAGGGCAGCAAATTACCAAGACACATGTTTACCTATGTAACAAACCTGCACATTCTGCAAATGTACCCCGGAACTTAAAAAAAATAAAAAAATATATATATACACACACACATATGTATATACACATATATATACACACACATACACACACATGCACACACATATATATATAAAGAAATGTTCCCATCATTAATATAGAAATGATACTCAAGGTGATGCTTAACCTAAATATCCTGACTTAATCATTACACATTTTCTGCATCTAACAAATATCACACATACTCCATAAATTTGTCCAAATGTTATGTTATGTATCAATAAAAAAATTAAAAAAAGAGCCACTGGAATTTTGACATAGTCTCTATTTTTAGGTGTAGCAAGCACTAGGCAAGTTTATGAAACAAGTGAAATTTGTCTTATTTATTCCTCCAGTCTCCTAATTCTTATTGTTGTCTGTTCTTACTGACTCCATTACTCCCCTCCCTGGAGGAACCCAGAGGATCCATGCTCACTCTACTTATTTTCCCATCCAAACTATTAACAATGGATCCATTATAAAATTATACTATAGCTGGTTTTTCAAAGTGCAGTTGGAGTTATTTCAGAGGCATGCTAAAAATGTAGATTCCCAGCCTTACTCTATTGGGATATCAGGAGATAGAGCTTGGAAATCTGCATGTTATAAAACTTTCCAGGTAAATATTAGGCTTGATAAATTTGAAACTACTAATTCAAAGAATTATCTCCCCAAAGACATTTGCCTTTTAATAGTATTTTTTTTTTAAACTAAAGAATAAAACTGTAGTTATGCAATTTTAGGCATTTTTGTGTTATTGGTTTGTCTTAGTCTTTTTGTGCTGCTATAACAAAATACCTGAGACTGGGTAATTTATAAAGAATGGAAAATTATTTCCTCAGAGTTCTGGAGGCTGGGAGTCCAAGCTCAAAACAAGGTCATGTGGTGAGGGCCTTCTTGCCATGTCATTATGTGGCAGAAGGCAGAAGGGCAAAGCAAGCAAGAGAGCAAACCTGTTACAGCAAAGGGGTCCAGATCCATACCCCAAGAGAGGGTTCTTCAATCTTGCACAAGAAAGAATTCAGGGGAAGTCTGTAGAGTGAGGTGAAAGCAAATTTATTAAGAAAGTAAAGGAACAAAAGAATGGCTACTCCATAGACAGAGCAGCCCTGAGGGCTGCTGTTTGCCCATTTTTATGGTTGTTTCTTGATGATATGCTAAACAAGGGGTAGATTATTCATGCCTCCTCCTCCTTTTAGACCATATTATGTAACTTCCTGATGTTGCCATGGCATTTGTAAACTGTCATGGCGCTGGTGGGAGTGTAGCAGTGAGGACGAGAGAGGTCACTCTCATCACCACCATCTTGGTTTTGGTGGGTTTTGGCCAGTTTTTTTACTACAGCCTGTTTTACCAGAAAGGTCTTTATGACCTGTATCTTGTTCTGACTTTCTATTTCATCCTGTAGCTTACAATGTCTTTAACCATCTGGGAATGCAGCCCAGCAGATCTCAGCCTCATTTTACCCAGCTCCTATTTAAGATGGAGTTGCTCTGGTTCAAATGCCTCTGACAAACCCACATCTGCCAGCCCTTTTAATAAATACATTAATCAATTTATAAGAGTGGAATCCTCATTACTGTGGACAAAAAAGAGTCAAACTATGTAAAATACTTGAAGAGGTTTATTCTGAGCCAAATGTGAGCGCCATTACCCATGACATAGCCCCAAGACATCCTGAAAAGTGTGCCCAAGGTGGTCTGGTTACAGCTTGATTTTATACATTTTAGGGGAAAAGAAGTTACAGGCAGAGACATAAATCAATAGATGTTAGGTGTACATTGGTTCAGCCTGGAAAACGGGACATCTTGAAGCCAGGTAGCTGCGTGTGGGTTAGGGTGGGAGGGGTGGAGGGGGGTGAGGGTTGGAGATAACTTTCAGGTCATAGGTGGATTTAAAGATTTCCTGATTGAAAATTTTTTGAAAGGGCTAAACTCTGCCTGAAGAGTTGAAGTCAGCGGAAAAAAAATCTAGTTAAGATAAGGGTGGTTGTGGAAGCCTAGGCCTAGGTTTTTGTTATGTAGATGAAGCCTCCAGGTAGCAGGCTTCAAAGAAAAACAGATGGTAAATGTCTCTGATCAGACCCTAAAAGACTGTTAGTTAATCTCTCCTGGATCAGGAAAGGACCCAAAAAGGGAAGAGGATTTTCTTTTCCTTTGAAAACCCATTAAAACTTTGGAGGGAACAAAAATACTGAAACCCCAGCATGGTTTTTTTTTTTTTTTTTTTTTTTTTTTTAAATACTATAGAAATCAGACCATGGTAGCTAGCATGGACATATGGACATTCCTGGTTAAATAATTCTAGGAAAAAAATCATTGATTTTAGGATCTGAAGAATTCTACCTAAATAAATACTCCATGTGTTACAAGTAACAAGAAATTTAATTGATTGGCTAGTTTCTTGGAAATCTTAGATCATATACAAAGTTATATCTCCAGCTAAATATGTTAGAAAATAGCATTTCTTTAGTTTTCTAAAGAGAAGAAAAAACAGGCAAATATCAATAGATTGAATTTAAGCTACATGCTAGGATGAACTTCTGTATCTTTTTGAAAAGCAAAATGTGTCTTTGAGGCAATTATCAGGATAATTTAAGCTTAAAAATCATTCACTTGAAATATCCACAGTCATGAAAATGATAATTTTTAGGAAACATATTATTCTGATAGCTTCTTCAATACATTCAATCACTTTATGGGGGATTAATGTAGACTAGAAACACAAGAACTTGACATGTTTTCCAAGGAATTTATGGATTTTCTATTTCTTTCCTTGAAGTTCCCAGATAAGTTTACCAAGAGTGATTCTAAATGCAAAATTAGTGCATCCAATTAATTCATTAAAAGGTGGTTGAATTCAGTTAAGTGATTATTTATTTTGGACGTTGGAGGGTAGAAGGAGTATGCCCTTAATTACACCAAATTACCAATTTGGTCGATTTCTTCATTTTTAGTGAGTTGTTTTGGCAAGGTGGGATAATGGCTCGGTTTATGTGATCTATCATTTGAAAAGTATATAATTTTTCTGAATGCTAGTCAGAGCACTTCATAATGCTGCTAATGGCTAACTGGAGGTTCAATATGCTGATGCATCTGCTTCCTAATGAGACTTTTACCTTGACAAAGTGAGAAATGTCACCTTGGGTCAGTCCCAGTTTTAGCCGACTCAGAACTCTGCCTCAGGTAATGGAAATAAGGAATTGATTTAGGGAGAGCATAGGGAATATTTTCCTTGGTGTTTACCCAGGACTGTTTTGTTTGAAACAAAAAATGAGTTATATTTTATGTAAATAAAGTATCAGGCCATGATAAAGATGTTAAATGTCTGTATCAATAACAATAAAAAGCCAAGAAATTGAATTTTTCAGTTCTATTAAAAAAAATTAGAACCAAAAATAAGTCTTCTGGACTTTCCCCCTTCTTCTTGCCCCAGCTTTTGTTCTCAGGCCTTCATCTTCTAATGACCATTACCTTAAAGCAAATTAGTTTTCTAGATCAATGTCTTTGTTGTCTCTCCTTTTCCATTTATTTCTCCCCTGGAATTTATTTCATGCTAATTGTGGTCTTGGCAACTTTACAGGTTCTAAGGGAGTATTTAAAGAAGGCTAAGACTGAGATATTTAAAGATGACTAAGAAGACCAATATATAATTATTGTTTTTAACCTACATTATAGTTGGTGAAGCTAAATAAATGAAAAGAATATTGGAAATGATTATTTATTAAGAACCTACTATAAACCAGACCATTAGTTAGACACTTCACATGTATAACTTTATGTCATCCTTGGAACAACTTTGGAAGTTTGGGATTATTATTCTTGTTTTATAATATGACAATGTAGGTTTGTCAGAATTGGGCTTCAAACCCAGGTCTGGCTGACTCTGCAGTTTATACTTCTTCCACAACATCAAAACTGAACAAAGAGAAGGCACAGAAAATTATCTTAATGGTTACTGAGTGGCATAAATCTGAGTTATATTACTATGACCTTAAACTTTTCATGTAATAGAATTTTATAATAATTTCTTTTGCCATGTAATACAATTTTTACATTCTATGATCTTTTCCTCTTGAGTAAGCAGTTAACTCTTGTTAGCTTCAATCAAGCACGGGTGAATTAGCTCAGATATTACCATTTTACAAATGATGGGTTGAAGAACCTGTCATAGTCAAATAGCTGACACAGAGTTGAGGAACTGGACTTTACCTCTCTGTGGATGTGTTGGAATGTGCTAGGTACAAACTCTTTATAAAGGGAAAATTTTGATCAGGAAGTGCAGCCATTCTCTAGATCCTCTACCCGGAATGGAAAACTGATGCTCTCTGTACCACCAGAACTCAGCCTACAGAATATTGCTTTTTCTCTTCTCTGGCTGACATGTACTTCATTAAACAACAATGACTGTGGAGGAACTTGGGATTTTGAGGGAAAGAATGAGTGTAGCAGGAGTGTCAAAAATGGGAAAAAAAGGTTAGAAAGATGAGTCTGAAGACAGTTTCGCCTTGGGATGTCTTGGTTGCTATCTGTCAGAACATTGTCTGCATAATGGTCCTTTCAGCTTTGGAGAGACTCAGAAATATTTAATGATACTGAAAAGTAGAACACATGAATCAATTTCATAAATTTATTCTTTTACTTATTGTTAATCATCTCCGTTAATACATCTAAAAGTAATTACACATGAAGAAAAAGAATTGGTGACTTTAAATAATAACTAACTTGGGGGGGCTTAGGAACATTAATTTTATGTTAAGCCATTTGCCTCTCATAATTAGTTTGATGATACTGATGTTCTTAACAAATTAGATAAAGTAAATAGGGTTGAAAGATACGTTATTCCAAATTAAAAACAAGATATAATATGCTAGTATAAAACAGTGGTAATTGTGTGTTAGATTCTGGAAAGGAGGGGAAAAAAGGCTGATTTAAAAGATGTTTTATGTAGACTCTGATTCAAATAGTTATGATGCTTGTATATTTAAGAATTGCTAAAAAATGACATCGGTTTATCCTAAGAACTAAAAAAAACTGGAGGTATTTCATTAAACTTGATTTTTAAGATGTTTAAGCTCTTAGAGGTTGTATCTGTATGAGATAGAGACTTTTTACAGAGAAAGGTATCACCTCTGCCCAAGCAATTAGTAGGATATATACTTTAGTTCTATTTTCATATTCTCTCTCTACTTTAAATGCTGTAGTATTTTACTTACATGGTAAGGAGCTATGGAAACTTTGGCATCAGAACCTCATAGAAGGTGGCCAACCTTATCAGTAAGCATATAGATAGTTAAGCTTTTAGTAGGCTAATTAAGTAATCATCTATGTAAATGGATTCATGTATTTCCCACTTTTAGTTTTGTTAAATTTTGCTTAGTGTCATTTGAAACTCTGTTGTATGATACATATACATTTTGGAATGATGTCTTCCTCTTAAATCTCTGTTAATACTCCTTACCATGAAGTTCACTTCGTTTAATCTTAACGGAGTCACAACAGATTTCTTTTTTTTTCTATTTCTTTATTTTATTTTATTTTATTATTATTATATTTTAAGTTTTAGGGTACATGTGCACAATGTGCAGGTTAGTTACATATGTATACATGTGCCATGCTGGTGTGCTGCACCCATTAACTCGTCATTTAGCATTAGGTATATCTCCTAAAGCTATCCCTCCCCACTCCTCCCACCCCACAACAGTCCCCAGAGTGTGATGTTCCCCTTCCTGTGTCCATGTGTTCTCATTGTTCAATTCCCACCTATGAGTGAGAATATGTGGTGTTTGGTTTTTGTTCTTGCGATAGTTTACTGAGAATGATGATTTCCAATTTCATCCATGTCCCTACAAAGGACATGAACTCATCATTTTTTATGGCTGCATAGAATTCCATGGTGTATATGTGCCACATTTTCTTAATCCAGTCTATCATTGTTGGACATTTGGGTTGGTTCCAAGTCTTTGCTATTGTGAATAGTGCCTCAATAAACATACATGTGCATGTGTCTTTATAGCAGCATGATTTATAGTCCTTTGGGTATATCCCCAGTAATGGGATGGCTGGGTCAAATGGTATTTCTAGTTCTAGATCCCTGAGGAATCACCACACTGACTTCCACAATGGTTGAACTAGTTTACAGTCCCACCAACAGTGTCAAAGTGTTCCTATTTCTCCACATCCTCTCCAGCACCTGTTGTTTCCTGACTTTTTAATGATTGCCATTCTAACTGGTGTGAGATGGTATCTCATTGTGGTTTTGATTTGCATTTCTATGATGGCCAGTGATGGTGAGCATTTTTTCATGTGTTTTTTGGCTGCATAAATGTCTTCTTTTGAGAAGTGTCTTTTCATGTCCTTCACCCACTTTTTGATGGGGTTGTTTGTTTTTTTCTTGTAAATTTGTTTGAGTTCATTGTAGATTCTGGATATTAGCCCTTTGTCAGATGAGTAGGTTGTGAAAATTTTCTCCCATTTTGTAGGTTGCCTGTTCACTCTGATGGTAGTTTCTCTTGCTGTGCAGAAGCTCTTGAGTTTAATTAGATCCCATTTGTCAATTTTGGCTTTTACAACAGATTTCTTATGCTTAGTGTTTACATGGTGTGTTTTTTCATTATTTTACTTTAAACCTGTCCATTTCTTTACATTTAAAGTACATCTTTTGTAAACAGCATATAGTTAAGTGTTATTTTATAAAAATCCAATATAATATCACTTTTTAATTGCAGTGTCTAGCGGAGTGTTCAGTGCATTTATATTTAATACACTTATTGATATATTTGAATTTGTCTCGTATTCTATTTGGTCTATGTGTTCTTTGTTCTTTGTTTTGGGTTGAGTCTTTTTTAGTATTTCATTTTAATCCCTCTCTTAACTTTTTGGCTATGTATCTGTTTGTATTATGCTTTGGTGATTACTCTACAGATTACAATAGGTGTCTTTAACTTATAGTTTACCTTGAATAGATATTATACCAATTATATAAGAAATTTATGAGACAATAATCAATTAACTCCTCTCTTGAACTTTGTGATTGTCATATCCTATTTGTTCATATATTACAAACCTCATCTTACAATGCTGTTTCATTTGCTTTAAAAGCTCTTTGTCTCTGAAAGAAATTAAGAAAATATATTTAACTAATGTTATTATAATTTTAGTCCCCTTGAAATATTCTATCCTGTATATTTGAATTTCTGTATGGTATTATTTTACTTTGTCTTGGATAACTTTTTTTTTCACTTCTCATAGTGCACATTTGCTGGCAATTAATTCTCTTTGCTTTCAATTGAACTGAAAATGCCTTTATTTCACCTTCAGTTTTGAAGGATATTTTTGTTAAATATGGAGTTCTAGGTTGATAGTTTATTTTCTTTCATCACATTAAAAATATTGTACAATTGCCTTCTAGCTTCTATTATTTTTGGTGAGAAGTTGTTTGTGATTTATATTATTATTATTCTGTATATATGTGATTTCTTTCTGACTTCTTTTAGGATTTTATCTTTATTTTTATTTCAAACAGTTTCACTATGCTATTTCTAGGTGTGATTTATGCGTGTGTGTATTTACTCTCCTTGGGTTTTACTGAGTTTATTATACATGTGAGTTTGTATTTTTAATAAAAGTTGGAAACAGTTAAATCCACATTCCTTTAAATTTTTATTTTCTATTTCATTCTCCTTCTCCTCTCTTTCTGGGACTATATTTTATATATATGTTATATATATGACATATATAACATATATATATGACATATATGATATATATGTGTGTTTTGTTCCACAGACCACTGAAGCTCTGTTCATATTTTCTCCAATCTCTTTTTCTCTTTATGTTTTAGTTTTGATAATTTCTATTGTCTCCTTATCAGGTTCACTGAACATTTCTCTTGCAGTGTGTAAATTTCTCTTAATTCTATCATATATATATATATATATATATTAGTTTTAGGATTTCATTTCATGCACATTTAGTGTTTCTGTGTCTATCCTGAAATTTCTCATTTTTAAACTTAGTATATCTATTTTTTTCTATAAACTTCAAAACATATATATATATATATATATATATATATATTTTTTTTTTTTTTTTTTTTTTTTTTTGAGAAGGAGTCTCTGTCACCCAGGCTGGAGTGCAGTGGCGTGATCTCGGCTTACTGCAACCTCTGCCTCCCAGGTTCAAGCAATTCTCCTGTCTCAGCCTCCCAAGTAGCTGGGATTATAGGTGTCCGCCACCATACCTGGCTAATTTTTTGTATTTTTAGTAGAGATGGGGTTTCACCATGTTGGCCAGGCTGGTCTTGAACTCCTGACCTCAAGTGATCAACCCACCTCGGCCTCCCATATGCTAGGATTTGGGCATGAGCCACTGCACCCAGCCCTAAAACATATTTGAAATAATGATTTTTAAAACCTTTGTCTACTAATTCAAACATCTGGGACATCTGCGAGTCTGCTTCTATTCACTATTTATCTTTTGATTATAGGTCCCATTTTCCGCTTCTTCACATGTCTCATAATTTTTGATTGTATACCATACACTGTGGATGGTATTATATAGAAATTCTGGATTCTATTACTTTTCTCTGAAAAGTGTTGACTTGTTTTAGTATGCAGTTAAATTATAGGGTGGATCATGTTGATCCTTTCTAGTCTTTGTTTTAGGCTTTGTTATTGTGAGTCTATTTTGGCTTTGCCCTTAGTCTTAGGACATAGCCAGTAACCTGGCATGTGGTTATTTTAATACATGGCCTTTCTAGGGTTTCATTGGAAATTCTGAGTGAAAATCGATGAAACAAAATATGATGAAGTCCACAACAAGGGCAGTGGCAGTGGGGAGAAAGGTAGCAGGAAAATGTTTGATAGGTCTTGGGGGTTACTGTATGTGATGGGTAAAAACAGGGAAGGATATGAGACAGAAAATTAAAAAGTGGAAGCAGGTTTTTTAAGGAAAATAGGAGAAGAAGGTCAGTTTTATTCTGAGAGATCAATGGGAAGCTAGGTGGCAATGTCTAATAGAGAATATATATGAATGTGCATATCAAAAGAGTAGTTTGAGTTAAAAATATAGATTTGGAAGTTATTAGTAAATTAAAGATCATTAAAGGCACAGAAATGCATAAAGTCATCCATTGAGGATATAGCTTCTTAAAGTGTGACCTAGAGACCACTAGCAACAGAATTACCCCCTTGTTAAGAACAGATTCCTTGGATCCAGCACAATGCAAGGCAATTAGAATTTTGGGGTATGAGGCCAGGGAACTGCATTTTAAAAACTCCTCAAGTGATTATTTTGTACAGTAAAATTTGAGATCCCTTGGTAAAGAGTGATAAGAGAAAAGAGTAATGTGCAGAACACTGAAGAAAACCAAATGGCTTAAATATATCAAATAGGTTGGTGACTGAGAAGTGCTCATCCAACTCTGTAAATTCTGGTGACCACAGAGAGTTGAAAATGAAATTTTACATTGTATTTTAAGAGTGAGTCCATTAGAACTACTAATTTATTTTTCTGGACAAAATAACTTAGAAGAGGGAGGTTTAGAAACTTTTAAACTTACCAAATGTTTTACAGTTAATATATGAGTTAGGTCAACTATAACTAGATTAGTAAGATCACAGCCAACAGGTCAATTTTTACAAGATTGGTGAGCAAATGCATTGTCCCATGACACATTTATACTTTCCCCATGTAGGCATGTTAAGAGATGCTGTTTCCATAATCTTAAAGATATAGATTATATAGTCCTCTGCTGTTCTGAACAAAACCAGTTAATATAAATACAAATTTAATTTAAACAATAATATCAGCCTTTATGGTAACTGAATTATAATTATTCTTCAACCTTCTCCCTTATTTAAAAAATACTATGAAGTGGTTAGAACATAAAATAATGTGTAAATAATGTTTCCATATCACATTAAACAAAGGGTAATTATCTGGAAGTTGTTTATATACTATTGTGTCTAGGGACTTGGGGTCTCCCTCTGTCCAATTTTAACTAAAGTTGAGTTGATGTATTTGGGGACTTAAAATAATTTTATTCCCTAAAAAGAGTTTCAGTGGAGTATGAATGTCAGAATCCAAATAATAAAGGGTTTAGCAACAAATAGTAACTAATATTTACTACATAGTTGCTGAGATTCAGGTACTGTTCTAAGTAGTTGACATGGGTTAACTTTTTAAATCCTCACAACTGTATGAAGTCACTATTATTACCCCCATTCTACACATGAAGAAATTGAAACTTAGAGAGATTTAGAAACTTTCTCTCCTCCAGTCCTAGGCTTTTATTTATTTTTTTTATATCTTATTTTAGAGACAGAGTCTTTGTTGCCCAGGTAGGAGTGCAATGGCGCGATCTTGGCTCACTGCAACCTCCGCCTTCTGGGCTCAAGTGATCTTTCCATCTCAGTCTCTTGAGTGGCTGGGACTACAGGCACGCATCACCACACCTGCCTAAGTTTTGAATTTTTTGTAGAGGTGGGGTTTCACCATGTTGCGCAGGCTGGTCTTGAACTCCTTGGCTCAAGAGATCCACCTGCCTTGGCCTCCCAAAGTGCTGGGATTACAGGTGTGAGCCACTCTGCCCAGCCAGGCTTAGACTTTTAAATCCAGGCATCTAGTTCCAGAGTCCACACGCTTAAGGTGAACTGTTGCTTCTCATGTAAGTGAATGGGAGTGAGTGGAGTGACTCTAAAAAGGTAGAGTTGTAGATAGTTCCAGCGGTGGGTTTCATAGAGTTAAAAGAGGAATAGTTTTCTTTTCATGATCTTTAATCATATATACATGTGGACAAGGGTTAATTAATAGGTTCCAAGTGGTTGAACACACAATAGGGAGAATAACAAGTGAAAAAAAATTGCCTGAGGATGTGTGAGATTGCAGCATTGGCTTTGGGTAAACTAACCTTGGATAGAGGGAGGGATTTGTTTTATTATGGATAGAGGTATGAAAGTTGATGGGTGGAAGGTGAGAAGGGAAACTGGAGGAATTTTATAGGAATCAGGGTGATCAATTGAGAGAGGGAGAAATGGCACTTGTGGGATTAGAATTTAAGGTAGTGATGATTTGAAGTAGCTACTAGATGAGTGGGAGGAGTGTCGGTAGAAAGCTGTAATAGTGCTTCTGAGAAGTGCTGAGCATGCATCTGGGATTGAAACTCACACACATAGAGAGTAGCAAGGCCAATAGTTGCGTTATTTCTTAGGCTCACTTTATCATTGGGGAGTGTGGTGGTTAAATTTTATGTGACAACCTGGTGAGGCAATGGGGTCCAGTTATTTAGTCAAATACTAGACTAGATGTTGCTGTGAGGGTATTGTGTAAATGTGTTTAACATCTACAATCAGTTGATTTTTAAGTAAAGGAGATTACCTTCATCAATGTGGGTGGGTCTTACCCAATCAGTGGAAGACATTAAAAACAAACACTGTTTCCCAGAGATGGAATGTTGCCTCAAGACTGTAACATACAAATCTTACCTGAGTTTTCAACCTTCTGTCCTAAGCCACAAATTTGAAACTCAACACTAGTGCAACATCAGCTGTTGCTTGAGTTTCCAACTGCTTACCTGAACTATGGATTTCGGACAGAAGATTGCAACATCAAAGCTTGTCTCAGGTTCCAGCTTGCTGGCTCCCTATAAATTTCAGATTTGCCAGGCTCCACAATCTCATGAGCAAATTAAAAAAAAACCCTATCTATGTAGCTATCATCTATTTATCATCTTCCATTATTTATGTTTCTCTGGAGAACCCTGATTGATATAGGAAACAGAGCATTCAATTTTTCTACTTAACATTTTTTTTCTACCCACTGCTTTGCAAGTACCCACCCCTCTCTAAGAGAGGAGGAGCACCCCATGTGGTTGGCCAGATCCCAGTGTGGCATTGTCAGGGCCCTATTCTTCAACGGGTAGAGTTACTGTGCCTTAGAGGAGGAGTTTACCTATTCACTCCTCTTCTTGATTTCTATACTTTGTCCATCAAGAAAGCACATGCAGGCAGGGATAAGTATAAGTGGTCATTACCAAATCCACCTGATCAGGCTGGATATTACCTTTTCTACCTGATACCTCTGACCTAGACAGATCTCACCTGCTTGGTCAGTACTGGCCAAATCTCTAGGTCTTTTCATCTATTCATTTACTCTGCCCTTGAAACTATAGATTTTGTCATCTCAGATTCAGGGAGGAGAAAGAAGAAGGCATCACTAAGACTTTTGCAGTACTACAAAAGGATGGATTATCAAAGCAAAGTCCTGCTAATTATATGTCTTATCCAAAAACAAGCTTTGCTAGTTAAAATTTAAAGCTATTTTCTCTCAGAGGGACCCTGAACCCAACATACGCAGCTTCCTAAAGCTACTTTCCCTGTACAGGGACATTTTTAGTGTTGAAAGAAAAGGTGAGGACTAACAATTTTAGCAGTATATGTCAGCTCAGATGAAGCCACTTTTATTTATAGCTCCTTAGTTTTTATGCTTGGTTTGTCACTCGTGTAGAAAGATTCCTTGACTAACTTCTGTTCTACAGCCAGGAGCATCCTGTAAATCTATATATTCCACTTTTATTTGCAACAAGCAATCCATGTAGACTAGGTATATCCTGCAGAAGCATCCTGCAATAGTAACTCTCTTTGTTTTCTTTTAGTAAGTTAGAGTGTTGACCAAGAAGCCTGGTGGAGGCCACTGCTTCGGCATCCCTGAGGAGACGGTAACCCCAACATTAACTTCCCCTCTTAGCTTCCATGTTCAAATCTTCTTCTTTAAGCTTTTAACAAGGAGCCCTTTAGTGGAAGTCACCAAGTATTTGCTTACTAACAAAAGATATTTTTGACTCCCATTCTGCTGTGGCTGTTTCTGTGCAGGGGTTGGGGAAGGGATCAACAGTAAAGGAAGATTCAGACATACTTGAGTCCCAGCCTGAAATCAACCCAACATTGCCTCCAACTCTCCTGAGGGAGCCAAAGAGATTGATAACTGGATTAATCCATGCCCATATTCTGTTAGAAGAGTATAGTGGAAAGACAATAAGACAAGAGAGCAAGTGAGCATGTTGTTCAGAGTGGATACGTGAATTGTACAAGGTCCTGCCTTGTAAGGAGGAAAATGATGCATGGAAGTTCCAAGTTACTTGAAAACAGGGAAGAGTTAAGAGACTGCAGCTTATGATAAGTTCAGAGAGTAAATGCAGTAGGAGAAGGCAAGTGAGAAAATTGACTTGATTAGAGGTAAGTGTCATACTGAATAGCTAGAGTTTAAGGTTAATGCAATAGAGCAATCCTGGTGCTGATGGATTGCTCATCCTGGTGCTGAGGAAGAGTGACGATAAACTCATTGGAGTAGAAAAGTTCCAGGAAGTGTGAGGTCTCAGAAACTCACCTATATACATATCTTATGTCCCTCATGTTGGTGTTGGGGTTAGAGTGGAAAAACAGATGGATGATGAAAGGTCCAGGAACTAACCAATCAATCTGAGAGGGTGCTGGTGATGATAGAAGATATTGGAGATGAGACAAATCTGTAGTGACAGGTATATCAAATGATGAGAGGGTTTTTCAGAAAGTGGGTGGGTAATGGCTTTAAACTGGGGATAAGCAACTAGGAGAATGCTGGCTCTGCCATGTGGGCATAGAAGAGAGAACTGACTCCACTTCAGAAGTCTTCAAAATGATGCATAGAAGTTCCAAGTTACTTGAAAACAGGGAAAAGGTGGAGATCCTGGAGAAAATGTCAGAATTCAATTGTGCCAAAAAGTGGAGTGAATGCCTTTCACAGAGATTGAGGGCATACAAAATTATTGATAATGGAATAGAGCTTCTAAAGGATACGGTGAAAGTGTAGGAAGGGAAGATGGCAATTGGAGGCTTGAACCACAGGTCAGTATTAGGATGAGCCTATGAAGGATGAATCAATAGTTGGAATTTTACTGGAGCAATGGCCAATGCCAAGGAAGAAAAATTAAAGGCCTATGATATCTAAATAGAGCTACAACATAATAAAAGTTGTTTGATTGCCAAAATGATGTTAGCAGTCCAGGGCTGAGGAGGCTCTGAAAATGACCTACAGTTGATGCCAGGTGTTGCCGAGAGAAGAGAAGATGAAACAGGACCTCATGACTCATTCCCAGTGATAGTGGGAGAACTTAGCACAAGTAAGAATTTGGATCCTTGTAAATAAAGAATATTTTTATCTGACAGATTTTGCTTGAGGATAGGATTTTTAAAAAGAAGGGAAGTGATACTAAATTTATTGTTTTAAATACCAAAGGAGATCTAGGTGTCATGAAAGAGGGAACAAGGAATAGAAGGAGGAGAAAATGCATGGAATGAAATCTTGAAATCAGAGCATTCCTTACACATCGTGCTTTTCATTCTGAGCTCCTCTACTGCTAATAGCCTGGTCTGTCCGCAGTGTTGGAACACTCAGCCTCGCCCCTGCTACTGTTCCTTAAATGTGGGCACTTCATGTTGTAGCTATGACTATGATACTAACCACAGGTCCCAGAATCAGGACTCATGTATTTCAAGTCTTATTGTCATTGACTGACATCAATTAAGCTCATTAATTAAGCTTCAGTTTCTTCATTTGAAAACAGAGTTAAAGCTTTCTCTCATAAACATTTTACTTTGCAAAGGTAAAGTGTTATGAGACTGCTTCATAGAATCGTTACATCTGAGTCTCTTAGCATGACTTCAAAGTGACCTACTCAAGTTGGCTTGGGGAAGTTGATGCCAAGAATGTGGAACTAACAAGAACCAGGAGACTTGGTAACTTTTAGCCAGGTATCTTAGGGCAAGCCAATTCACTTGTTTGGGCCTCAGTCTCCTTAGCATAAAATGAGGGGGTTGGAATAGATCAAACCTCTCCAGCTCTAAAAGTGAACAATTCTCTCATTTTTTATAAATGTCATAGAAAGACAGAAGGATGGTGACCTGAAACATCATGCATTTCACTTGTGCTTCCAGTCCCAGCTCCACCTAAATCACTTTAGACAGATGCTTTATCTAACTTGTTCTAAAAGGTCTCTGGGACCATCCTCAATCATCCTTTCTGCCACCTAACTCTATCAAGAGTCTCACAGTGTCTATCACTACACTGTATCTTGAATGCTTTAAGTGCTCAGTAACCATTGGCTGATGATGGTGATAATATTTTACCTGTCGGCCCTCATGCTGCAGTCAGACTCTATGTTGTCAGGTTTAGTTCTCAGCAGATTCAGAAAGTAAAGGTGGTTACTTATCACAGGTGGGCCTGTTTCACAAACAGGAAGGAAATGGTTTACTTTCCTCCCGCCTCTTTCCGTGGTCCTCTAAGAGGTTTTGGTTGTATATGTACATCTCAGAAACATACAGGTGAAGAAGGTAATCAAGTAATATGATGATGAATGTTCTGTGATGTACTATTAAGAAGAATATAAAAAATCCTGTTTTCTGCCGGGCGCAGTGGCTCACGCCTGTAATCCCAGCACTTTGGGAGGCCGAGGCGGGAGGATCACGAGGTCAGGAGATCGAGACTGTTCCTGGCCAATATGATGAAACCCCGTGTTTACTAAAAATACAAAAGTTAGCTAGGTTTGGTGGTGGCTGCCTGTAGTTCCAGCTATTCAAGAGACTGAGGCAGGAGAATTGCTTGAACCAGGGAGTTGGAGGTTGCAGTGAGCCGAGATCATGCCACTGCACTCTAGCCTGGTGACAAAGTAAGACTCTATCTCAAAAAAAAGAAAAGAAAAAAAAATTCTGTTTTACTCATTTAGAATTTTTTTTTTCTTTTTTTGGCTCTGTCAACCAGGCTGGAGTGCAGTGGTGCGATCTTGGCTCACTGAAACCACCTTCTGGGTTCAAGCAATTTTCCTGTCTCAGCCTCCTGAGTAGCTGGGAGTACAGGCACCCATCACCATGCCCAGATAATTTTTGTATTCTTTGTAGAGAGGTGGTTTCGCCATGTTGGCCAGGCTGGTCTGGCCAACAACAGATCCTGGCCCCAAGCGATCCACCCACATCAGCCTCCCAAGGTGCTGGGATTACAGGGATGAACCACCATGCCTGGCCAAAAATTTGTTCTTAATATCTTGGTTACTTAATGAATGAATGCATGTAAAATCTTATTGTAATTTCTTAAGTGCTGTCAAATATAAATCATTATTATATTTCTATGAGTGTTAATAAATTTAGGCTGATTACGTCTGTACTCTTATCCATCTCCCCACCCTTTAACCAACAATTTGGTTGTGGTTAGGGGGACCGTTTTTCACCCTAGGTGCAAAAAGATCTAATCAATTACTTCCATCAATTCTAATATTAGCTGAGCATTTAGCATAGGACAGCAAAAGGAATGTACATATTGTCCTGTCTTCAGGGAGTTTGTAGTCTTTTGGGGTCAGCAGAACTATGGCCCACTCATGAAAACAATGACATACGAGGTAGTGTCCAGAAAGATTGGTCTGTGTCTGCTTCCTTGACTCCTCCAGGTCTAGTTAGCAATATTTTCATGCAAGTTGTAATTATTTACTCTCATTTTCTTCCACTGGGTTGTAAATTCCTGAAGAGGAACGTTCATGTTTATTCATTTGTTCAGCAGTGTGTAATATGTCTTTTGCATGTAAGGTGCTCTCTTTATATATTTGCTGAATTAAGGACTAGAGATGCAGGAAGGTAGAGCAGTAGACTCCATAGTGGAAGTGTGTTCACCTTAGGCGATGTACAAAATGATTCAAAGGCCATGGGAAGAAAATGTTAGCATATTTATTTATGTGTTTGTTTCTTCCCTAATCATTTTCTATTTTGTGTGTGTTTGCAATTGTTCATGCAATGTTCTGTAGTATAAGCATATATTTATAATGTGGTATGGCAGATTAAAGTTGGTTTCAAAGTTTTTGAAACTCCTCTCACTGAGAGGTGGGGAATCTGTATTGCCTCCCCTTGAATCTCTGCCAGCTCTGTGACTACTTTGGCCAACAGAATATAGTGGAAGTGATGGTATGTCAGTGTCTGTGGCCAGTCCTTATAAGACTGGCAGCTTCCACTTCAGCTTTTAGAGAACACTCATTCATGAAGTCTTGAGTCACATGATGGAGTGTGATGACTCTGCTGGGGAGACCATGTGGAAAGGGCCTCAGATCTCATGGATGGACAGAAGGGCCCAGATGAACCCCACATTCCAGCTGTCCCCTATAAGGCACCAGGCATGTGACTGAAGTGGTCTTGAACCCCCTCAGCAGTCTGGCTGAGTCATTAGGTGAATGCCACTGAGAGACCCTATCTAAGGAGTAGAAGAGTCACCCAGCTGAGCCATTTCCTAATTCAAGCAGGGCCAACAAAATTGTGAGCTATGATAATACAGTGGTTGTTTGAAAGCACTAAATTTTGCAGTAGTTTGCTATGTAACAATAGATAACCAGCAAATAGAGGCTGTTTTTTTTTTCTTTGACCAAAAGTGGTGTATGATCAAAAGTGTTTCGTGAATACTGTTTAATGAAACAGAAGATGAGTGTGGTCAACACATTTGAGAATGACTTAGTGGTTCTCAATTTTCTATTTACTGCTAGGTTTAGTAAGGATAGACCTAGATAGATAGTAAACTAATCAATTGTAGAACTGTTCTGGCTGCTACTTCTGGCACTGTTAATTGTTTAAAACTTTTCCGTTTTCAACATCTAAGTGCCTAGATGTTTTATAGATGTAACCAAAGAATGTTAGAAATTATTTCAAGTTTACTGGTTCTAATCCATTATGCATGATTCCAAGGGTTTTGACTTCCTTATAAGCAGGGCTGAGAAATGGAAAGGGGACAGGCTTTGAAGTTGGGCAGATCTAGCTTTCAAGTTAGGATCTATTGCCTTCAGGCTGTGTGACTTGATTAAGTTACTTAATCCCTCTGAGCCTCAGTTTCCTCCTGTGAAATAGGATAAATCTTAACTTGAAGGATTATTGTGAGGCTTAGTAAGTGGCTAGTAAGTTTTATCTTCTAATATTATTTTTAAAATATTTCATTGACATGTTAAGGTTTTTAAAGCAAAGGGTTTAAATTTAGCAAATGGTAGAATATAACTAGCATAGAAGCATGGGTTATTACTATATTCTTATTTCAAATATTAGTATTTTTGGTTTAGTGCTTAAACATATTTGAAACATAGCCATGAATATTTTTCAACCCAGACATCTGTTTCAAGTGGGAATAACGTGGTTGAGAGAGTTTATTAGAGTGGCTTCTTATTTCAGGCTAACTTAAAACCACTTGCTCAGGATGAGTTATCATTTTAGCCAGACAAATGGCAAAAAATGATTTTAAAAATTATGATCTTTTAAGTGTTTTCCAGGACGGACGATTATCTATCAAAATATTATACAATTGACAGCCCTCAATGTGTGGTCACACCTCTGCGGAAGCTCAGTGTAATTGTGGATGATGAGAATAAATGTATTTTTCTGAGTGTTTACCCCTGCCAGGTAACAGTGATATAAAATTACCTATTTGTTCAAGCTATAATATGAATTTAAGATCAATCTGTTGAATATCAGTATGAAGAAGAGCTATAAGATGTTGCCCACCATAGGCCACTGTGCCTAAGTCAATCTACACAAGCCCATTATTTTTATTGTTGTATTTATTATTGTGGTAAAAACACAAAATTGACCATGGTAACCATTTTTAAATATACAGTATAGCAGTGTTAATGATAGTTACATTGTTGTGCAACAGATCTCTAGAACTTTTGCATCTTGCACAACTGAAACTCTACACCCATTGAATAAAAACTTCCCTTTTCCTCCCATCTTCCTCCCCTCAGCCTCTGGCAAACACCATTGTATTTTCTGTTTCTGAACAAGCTTATTACTTTTCTAACCCAAGCCTTCATCCTCTGCTTACTTCCTTGTGTTTATAGATGATGCCTCTATTCACTCAGTTCTTCAACTCACATCTCTGAGGTTTAGCTTTGGCTCCTACATTGACTTTATCGTGCATGTCAAGTAACTCTGTCCAGTTACATGCTTTGAATAGCCTCATCATTGTGCTTTCCAGAGCAATATTTTCCACTTTGCCTACAGCTCTGCCTTCAGTGGCACCCTGCCCCAGAGTTTCCAAATATTTTCCCAGGTTACCCTTGAAAACTTTCTATTTGGAGCCCTGGGCTACCAGCCACCCTCAGATATAGACTGAGGCTATTTCTCGTAGCCACACATCTACAGATAAATAGATCTCCCCAGCAGTTAGAGGTAGTTAAGCCTAGTGGGAGGTTAAACATATGAAATCCTGTCAGTCTATATGCTTGATGGAGAATAATATGGTCTCAGCACTATTTCAGGGTTTTCAATCACTTAAAATAGATGCTAGGTTTAATATAGTAGTCAATCTCCATCAAGCATATTCAGAAAACCTTGAGTCATTCAATTCAGCAAATCTTTGCTTATGATCATTCAATTCAACAAATCACTGCTCATGTGGCACTCATGATAGCAATTTGAGTGATGAGAAAGCTTTAGAATGTCTTTGTTCCTACCAAGAACATTTCCCTTGAATGTTTGGAGGATGATGAACTTGACCAAAATCATGCAGGGGCATATTGGGTGTCTGTGGTCATGTTGCTGATGATTTATGTTGCACTTTTATTTTACAGGCTTTTATACTTTTCATGATTCCTCATAAACTCTTCATGAAATAGAAAATATGTATAGGAAGCTCTTTTCATGAAAGGCTTTTAAAATAGGGGCTTGTAGAGAATTAATATTTCTAGGCATTAGAGGTAAGTCGTTTTTTGAGGGGGGCCTTACTTGGCTTCCTGAGCATTGTGTATAATCAAAATGTAGATCAAAGTTCTCAATAATTAATCACATAAGGCCAGGCATGGTGGCTCACACCTGTAATCCCAGCACTTTGGAAGGCCAAAGCAGGAGGATCGCTTGAGACCAGGAGTTAGAGAAAAGCCTGGGCAACATAGACAGACCCTGTATCTACAAAAACAAAATGAAACAAAACAAAACAAAAAACAAAAACAAAAACAAAACGGTAGCCTGGCATGATAGTGCACACCTGTAGCCCAAGATACTCAGGAGGCTGAGGTAGAAGAATTGCCTGAACCTGGGAAGTTGAGGGTGAAATGAGTCATAATTGCACCACTGCAATCCAGCCTGGGTGTCAGAGAGAGACCCTGTCTCCAATCAATCAATCAATCAGTCAATCAACAATCAATCAATCAGTCATTCATGCAAACCACAGGTATTTACTGGCTATCTAATGTGATGGTTTTTCAGACCAGGTTGCATAAGAAATACTTGGAGAACTGTGGAAATGTAGGTTCCCAGGCACCATTCCTGCAGGTCCTTATTCATCAATTCACTGGGCTTAATAATGTGCTTTAAAATTCATTTTTTATTGTGGTAAAATATGCTTAACCCAAAGGTTACCATTTTAACCAGTTGAATAAAGCACATTTGCATTATTATGCAACCATCACCACTATCCCTCACCAGAACTTAATAATATGCTTTTTAAAAACCCTTGGTTAATTTGAGGCAGGGAATTATAAACATATTTTGTGAAACATTGATATATTGTGAGTTTAGAGTTTTGCTCAGCATGATATGAAAAGCAAGATATGTGAAACATGATTCCTGGGTTCCTGCAGTTTACTCTTTGACAGAGGAACGAAGAATAGTACATATGGGATAATTAGGGAGTAAACCTAGACAGAAGGGATACATATATACATAACAAAATATACAGATAGATGGGTGCTAGAAGTCAGACAATCACATAAATATGTTTGAAAAATAATAAATGCCATGGAGGGGTGGGTCTTGTTGCAGAGAAGTATAGAATATTGCTAAGTATAAAGACAACGGTGGAATGGTTCAGGCGAAGGAATTTGTATGACCCGATAAGAAACCTAAATCTGTTTCTTCAAAGATTGCATATTAACTGATACAAGTCAAAGTTTACACTTACATTAAAGGTATTTCTCACTTGAAGTTAAGAGATAAATTAAACTTCATAAGTATTTTAGCAAGGAGCCAAATAGATAAGTAATCACAATAGTATTTGTGGTTTGAGTCACATTGTCACAGCAAAAATTCATAGATTGTTTCAAGTGAAGATTAACCAGATTAGAGTTATTAACTTGCTCTTCCTTGCAGCTAAAACATTAAACAGAATTTCTTCTTTAATGGTCCAAAGTACCTGCACCTGGCATTCTCAAGATTGCAGACCACAATTTAGAGTTTACATCTCTGGATCTCCTCTAGGATAGGTGAGGGCCAGTTTCCTAGCACTGTGAAGCATGGAAGGATCGAGGGTTCTCAAATAATTTCTCAAATAGTGTTTTTCCCAATAGTTCTTCTTCCCACTCTCTTCCTCTTATCACTTCCAGGAACAGAGCTGTTTGAAAAATCTGTAGCATATGTCAGTTTGTTTATCTTTCCCTTTACTGGTTTATGATTCAGATTTCACATTTTTGTTACTATTATCTCCTCCCTGTTCGCTGTGTTCTTCTGTGTTTCCATCTCTTAAAAAACCTTTTGCTGTGGAGAGAGTGTCTCAGAGTTGAGGACACTGCTGTGGTTTGAAAGTGTTGCCTCCAAAATTCAGGTGTTGCCAATGTGATAGGATTAAGAGGTGGGGCCCTTAAGAGGTGATTGGGCCATGGGGGCTCCTCCCTAGTGAATGGAATTAAGGCCCTTATAAAAGAGCCTTCAGGGCCGGGCGCGGTGGCTCACGCCTGTAATCCCAGCACTTTGGGAGGCCGAGGCGGGCGGATCACGAGGTCAGGAGATCGAGACCATCCCGGCTAAAAACGGTGAAACCCCGTCTCTACTAAAAATACAAAAAATTAGCCGGGCGTAGTGGCGGGCGCCTGTAGCCCCAGCTACTTGGGAGGCTGAGGCAGGAGAATAGCGTGAACCCGGGAGGCGGAGCTTGCAGTGAGCCGAGATCCCGCCACTGCACTCCAGCCTGGGCGACAGAGCGAGACTCCGTCTCAAAAAAAAAAAAAAAAAAAAAAAAAAAAAAGAGCCTTCATCCAGCTTTCAGCTTGCTTGTCCTGGCCTGTGAGGACTTGGCGTTTCTATATTTTGGAGCATGTAGCAATAAGGTGCCATCTTGAAAGCAGAGCAATCAGCTCTCTCCAGACAACTGAACCTGCTGGCACCTGGGACTCCCCAGCCTCCAGAACTGTAAGACATTTTGTTTTTTAAAATAAATTAATCTCAGGTATTTTGTTATAGCAGAACAAACTAAGATACTAATAAGACATGGCAACTAAATGCAATATAGTGTACAGGATTGGATCCTGGGACAGAAAAAGTGCACTAGCAGAATAACTGGTGAAATCCAAACAACATGTATAGTTTTTTTGGCCATATTGTACCAATGTTAATTTCTTAGGTTTGACAAATGTGTGATATGTAAGATATTATCATTAGAGGAAGCTGAGTGAAGGGTATACAGGAACTCTGTACCATCTTTGCAAATTTTCTGCAAATCTAAAATTATTTCAAAATAAGTTTGTTTAAAAAATCATGGCCGGGCGTGGTGGCTCACACCTGTAATCCCAGCACTTTGGGAGGCCGAGGTGGGTGGATCACCTGAGGTCAGGAGTTTGAGACCAGTCTGGCCAAGATGGCAAACTCCGTCTCTACTAAAAATACAAAAAAATTAGCCGGGCGTGGTGGTGTTGCCTGTAATCCCAGCTACTCAGGCGGCTGAGGCAGGAGAATTGCTTGAACCCAAGAGGCGCAGGTTGCAGTGAGCCGAGATCGCACCACTGCACTCCAACTCCAGCCTAGGTAACAAGTGTGAAACTCTGTCTCAAAAAAAAAAAAAATTTTTTTTTTTTGGGTGTAGTGTTGGCTGGGTTCCAGGAAGGTAATAAAGATGCACGTGTTTAATCTTTCATTTTAGCCCAGAATTTAAAGTTCAGATATTAACCCCCTTTGTAAGATGAAAGTTTAAATCTGTTCAAAGTTGCACTCTTTTGCCCTTGTGAGTTAAATATCAAAGGTTTTGGAGTTTTCCCTTGTTTCTCACCGATTGTCTCATGAAGCTGGTTGGAGACAGCTGGGTGGAATTGGCATTCTTCTCACAGTTGCAGCCTAGAATGAGTGAAACTTCTTCAGGACTTCAGCATATGTATTAGTTCAGTGTTAAGTTTTTAAAACCAGGCTCTCTTTTAAAGCACACAAAGTAGTAATGGGGCACATAAGGCTTTTACATCACTAGGCCCATAATTTAGAAAATAAGTCATTTCTAAGCCTGTAGACCAGTTTTCTCTGATGAAATTATTCTTAGAATCCAGGTTGCATTGCTGTCAAAAATTATGCCAGTGAGAGGGCAAATTTTACTTTTAGCTTCATTGGGATGCTGACCAATGGATGCCCGTTTAAGTTCTATTGGGAATAATTGTCCAGTAATTCTGGCTCTACCATGTTATGGGAAAAGCCCACTTAGGCATATGGCCTTGTATCACAGACATGGTGTTTGAGTAAATTAAATTTTCGGTGGTGGTTGTCACAATTCCCTGATAGTATTTGAGAGCCCTTTCCTTCTGCTTCAGCAAATTCAAAAAAAAAAAAAACTTCAAATAAAAAAACTTTATTTTCCCCTTCCTTTTTTGTTTTGCTTGCTACAGTACTAAATCATGTGTAGGTTCTGATTAGTGATGAGGCTTCCATCTTCTCTGCTGGGCAGGCATCTTTAGCTTTGTATTATGGAATTTCTTAGGCCTAAATAACCTGTCTCCTAAGGAAGGTTTCTTCTCATATGTGATTAAGCCAATCAGACTGAACTAGACTACGTGGTGGAGAAATGACTTGGCCTTGTAAATTCACCTTGTGAGTTATAGGTTACCCTTGTAACTTGGGCTGGATAGTTCTTTTTATGTTTGTTTGTTTTTGGTTGGAAGCTGCCCTGTGTACTGAGGGATATTTAGTTGCACTGCTGACCTCCATCCTCTAGATGCCCACGGCACCCACCCACCCCAAGTGTGACAACAAAAATGTCTAAAGACATCCCCAAATATCCCTAGGGAGGCAAAATCATCTTGGCTGAGATCTACTGTTGCAGGACATGCAGAACTGATTTCTTTCAGTTTTAAAAGCACAAAAGTTGTTCTGCCCATCTAGGCCCTAAAATGTCTAATCCCTGTTTAGCTAATCTGGAATGCCAGGCCAGCCTGTGGCCACATCATTCTACGTTAAACCACTGTGACCTCCAGCTCTCCTTGATGCCATGCTTTCCAAGTAGCAGTCATTCTTTGAATGGTCGCCTGCAAGAATAAAAATATCTTGAGGCTTAAAACTTGGAACTTATTTCCCAGGCCACAGCAGTTAAAGGCTGTTTATGATTGAGTTATTTTACAGCTGGGTTTATACAGCTCTATTTATTTCTGAGGATGTCTGGAAGTCTGGAACTGACCAAGTAAGCCTGGAACTGACTTCTTGGCCAAGATAAGGATTAGTGGGCAAGTTAGTAATTTAAAATATACCACTGCTAAGTTGTTTGCATTGTCTAGAGATTTAGGTTGATGGCTTACACCTGACTTAACTGGATAACCAGCTTGGGCTATATGACTAGTGGGACATAAAACAACCACTGGAAACTTCTGCCTGAGCTCTAACAAAACCAAGGCTCCTCACCAATATCCTGGCGATTCATAATCCGGAGATAAAGTAGATTCTGTGACTAAGAAAGGACCCTTGGGAGTTGCACCTGGAGCTCTCTCAGACCCTGAGGCTTGCTAGTGCTTATTTTCTCCATGTGCTTTGACTCCATCAAGCCTTATGACAGTAAGCTCGCAGAGTCTTAGTCCCTTCAATTCTCCAAGTTGTGTAATCTTTGCAAAGATCATCTGCACAGCTGTTCATACCCACGTGACCTAGTGTAGGGGTACTAAAACCATCAGGGTGGACTCTCCCTGCCTCTCACTGAAGTCTATGGGCCATGAGAAACCACTTTAAATTTCATTTTGTTCCCTTCAATTCTTCAAATATGTCCTTTTTTTTTAAAAAAACAGCTTATTGGCATATAATTCACATGCCATAAATTTACTTTGTGAATGTATACAGTTCAGTGGTTTTTACTATATTCATAAGGTTGTACAATTGCCTTGACCTAATTTCACAATATTTTCGTCATCCCCTAAAAAACCCTGAACTCATTAGCAATTATGTCCCATTCCCTCTTCCCTACCTCTGGCAACAACTTTGTCTCTATGGCTATGTCTATTCTAAACTGTCGTAGTCTGCTTAGATTACTATAACAAAAATACCGTAGACTGGGTAACTTAACAGAAATTTCTCAGTTTTGGAGGCTAGAAGGTCCAAGATCAAGGTGCTGGCAGATGTGGTATCTGAGGGCTTTCTTCTTGTTTGCAGATAGCTGCCTTCTCCTTGTATACTCAAATGTAGAGAGCAGGGAGTGAGAAAGCAAGCTCTCCCATGTTTTTTTTTTTTTTCTTTTTTTTTTTTTTTCTCTCCAGTCTGTCCTGCTCAATCGCATGTCTTTTTCTAATGGGCACTAATACTACTCGTGAGGACGATACCCTTATGACCTAATCACCTCCTACAGGCCCCATCTCTTAATATCACATTAGGGTTAGTATTAAAACATGTGAATTTTGGGGATCACATTAGGGGTTAGTATTAAAACGTGAATTTTGGGGCATGATACAACCATTCTGTTCATAGCATGGACATTAAATAAAAGAATGGGTGAAATTTCTTCAGGACATCAGCATATGTATTAGTTCAGTGTTAAAGTTTTTAAAACAAGGCTCTTTTAAAGCACACAACATAATAATGGGGCACATAAGGTTTAATATGTTCGCATATAGTATGGGACACATACAGTATGGGGGATCTTGTGATTGGCTTCTTTCACTTAGCATAGAGTTTTCAAGGTTTGTCTATTTGTAGCATATGAATGTAGCCCTTCATTTTTTGTGGTTGACTGCCATTCAGTTGTGTGGATATACTACGTTTTAGTTATGTGTTGATATACCTTTGGGTATTGTGAATAATGCTGCTATGAACAACTGGAAACATGTTTTCATATGGGCATGTTTTATTCTTTTACTCCCAAATGTTCACAGCAGCATAATGAGTGGATATGCATGCCCATTTTCTGATTTTTAAATTCCTCCTCTTGGGGTAGGGGAATGAGTTAGGGGATAGAGAGAAGCCAGGGCTGGCTTCAGTTTGTGGAACTTCCTTCACTTCAAGAGAAATAATGGGAATAGGAAAAAATTTTCCCTCTTAAGATATTATAATACCTCCTTTTGCAAATTTGCCTCTCTGCTTCCATTCTCAGATTCCCTGTTTCTCCTAGTTAATCTTTCAGTGAAAGTGGAAAAATAAACTCATTATTAACACTGCCTGGTCCAAAATCATTCAGTGGCACCCCATTGCCTACAGGATAATGTCTATGCCCTTGGGGCATAGTTTTCTTTGTACAGTTCTCTGTTTGTTTAATCTGTTACTTTTTTTGTTGGGCATTTGGTTGGTCTTTTTTTTTTTTTTTCCTGTTACGTTACTCATTTCAATAATGGTTTCCAAAACAGCTAAACTTCCACATTCTTTACCAATAAAGACTGTTTACATCTTTTAACTATGTCTGTCTCAATCATATCACCAGATTGGGATAATTGTGCATCAAAGTGAGTATGAAAAGAAAGCTATAGTTTTTATAAAACCAAATTTAATCCTTCTTAAAGTGATTTGCTAGAAAAAGGAGCTTTCTAATTAACTTTGAATGTGGATTGAGAATTAGATGATACTGTGGCATTAGAGTTAATCTTGTTGGTTGTGATAAAGGCATGGTGGTTATTTAGAGGGAAGGTCTTATGATTCTGGGGATGTTCCACAAGTATGGGTGGCAAAATGTGATAGGGATTTGCTTTAAAATATTTAAGAAAGTATATATCGAAATCAGAAAAATATTGTTTAAAAGTGGAAGCCAAGTAATGGGTACGTGAACATTTATTTTGCTGGACTCCCTTTTTTGTGTATTCATTACATAAAATTTATTACAAATTTTAATTAAAGTAAACTCATTGAATATAACATTAGCTGTAAAGGATTGGAAAAATATTAACTCTAAAATGACAGTGGCATCAGAAGGCTTTTCAATTCCTTCAAATCACTACTTAAACTAAAATTGAAAATTATAGATGCCTAATTCTGTGGTTACAATTTTTTAGGAAAAATGAAGTTCAGTCAGCGGATCCATATTTGAAGAAATCACCTTAGTGTCATTTCTAACAATAGATAATGAATGTACATTTACATACTTAAGAGGAAATACATTTAAGAATGTATTTTTGAAGACTTTTCACCTCAACTTTAAAAAAAACTATATTTTAGAAAAATTTTAGATATATAGCAAAGTTGCCAAGATAAAACATTCCAGTATACTTCTCAGTTTCCCCCACAGTTACCAACTTATGTTACCATGGTATATTTGCCAAATCGAAGAAACCAACATTGTTATGTTATTATTAAATTCTAGACTTTTTTCATATTTCAGTTTTTCCATTAATGTTCCTTTTCTGTTCCAGTATCCAATCCAGGTTACCATGTTACATTTAGTCTAGCAGTTTCTCAGTCTTAATTTTCATAACTTTAATAAGTTGGAGTATTAGTCATGTGCTTTGTAGAATGTTGCCCAATTTGTGTTTATCTGATTTTCCGCCACCACTCCCCATGTTTAGGCTGACACAAGTTTTGTTTTGTTTTGTTTTGTTTTGTTTTTTTGGAAAAAATACCACAGAGGTGAAGTCCCTTCTCATAATATCAGGTACTTGCTATCCACATGGTCTCACTGGGAATGGTGGACTCCACTAGTTGCTTAAGGTGGTGTCTGTCAAGTTTCTCCACTGTAAGGTTACAATCCTGTTCCATACTCTATTCTCTGAAAGTGAGTCACTAAGTCCAGCTGGTACTCAAGCCTGGGAGAGGAAGGGAGAGTATCTACTCATGTTGTTTTATTCTTTACATAAAAGGAAGACTTGTTCCTCCTCCACTTGCCCCACAATTTATTCAATCATTTATATCAATATAAACTCATATTTATCCCATACTTTGGGTTGTGATCCAATACTATGTTACTAATTTTTTGTTGTTGTGATTGTTCAAATTATTCTAGTTTTGGGCATTGAGAGATCTTTCAAATTAGCTGTGTCCCTTTAACATGACCTGATTTTTTGACACTTTTTTGACTACTGCTTTGCTTTCTCTTACAGTAAATCCTCTGGACTCATGTTGTATTTCCCTGCCTCAGCCCTAGAGGTAGCCATTTGTCCAAGAAGCTGTTTCCTTTTACTGGAAAATAGAAATTCTCCATTTCATGTTTAAAAATTCAGATCTGGGTATAGTCACTGCTACCGGGTGGCACTGCTTTGAGGCCGTTTCATTGTGTGACCAGATATATTATTAACTACTGATTGTAACCATGTCACTCAAGAGTGCTTCTACTTTATTTAAAAACATAAATCTCATCTGTAAAATGAGGCTAATACTTTCCTAATAGGAATGATTTGAGTATTACATGGAATAATGTTTGTGTAATAGAAAGTCTAGTGGTGTTTTTCATGTTTTCCTAGAAGTGTGGCAAAGCCCTGAACTGAGTACAGATGCTTTTAGTTAGTTATATTCTAAATTCAGGAAGGTGTTAGTACTAGGACCAGCTGCTGGTTTACAGAGTTTACCCTTATGTCCCACCTCTGCCACTGCCAGACTTTGGATATTGGAGAAGCCCTACCCTTTGGGTAGTGAGGCCTTTCCTGTCCTTTACCACATTCCTGGTGGGAGACCCCAGAATTGCTGTCAATTTTGAAGTTGCCCGAAGTTCAACTGTACTGAGTTGGGGACTGGAGGCTGATGGCTTCCAGTGCTGTGGGGCAGGACAAAGGGGCAGGAAGGAATGAGGGAGCTCAGTCTTCCCAAGACACTTGAGCCTTCCTGCCTGAGTGTCCCAGGGGCTGCCCCTCGCAGGGAGGTGTCTGAGGGAGAGCAAGAGAAGTGGTATCCACAGCAGATCTTCCAGGTTAGAAGCTGTGCAGTGGGAGGCTCCAGTACCTCCCCGAACCCTAAAAGAGCTGGCATGGGATGTCTATAACACAGAGGCAACCCCCAGAGAAGCAGGAGGACCCCACCATGCTGTGGGGACATTACAGGGGGAAACCTACCCATTTTCTTCCTCCCTTCACCCCAACTTGTAGGGCAAAGCATAGAAGAGCAAGTGGGTGCGAACGGGCCAGGGCCCCCATGCTCAGCTGCTTGAACCTCAAAGTCTACTCTGTAGAAAAGAGAACTTTGGTTTTAAAGTGAGTCTACAAGTTTAAAATGAAAAGGGATGGGTCTCTGAGAATCAGTATGAGACTGATCACTGTTAAGGAAGTTAAGGGGTCAGAAATCTTGGTAAGATTCTTTACTCCATCCTGTAAGGATGACAGAATCCCATAAAGCATAATGGGGACAATTATTAACAGAAAAAAATAGTCTCCATGCCCTCCAAAAGCCCCAGTAAGCCGAGACTCCTCCAAATCTTATTACTTACACAGATCTAGCATGGAACCTGGCTCATGTTGAGTATACAAGAGATGTTGGCCTTTATTATGAGTGATGTTTTTAATTAGTTTTGTTCTATTATCATTATATGATTAGCAAATCCAGAATTTGTCCTTCTAGCTTGCCTTTTGTTTACATATTATGTGCTAAGGAAAACAATATAAACAGGCTCCCTCGGTGCTCCCCCCAACCCCTACTGCACTACCCAATTCAAGGACTTGCCTAGGATAGTGTCTGAGGGGAGGGGGCCAAAGACAATTCGAGATAGTGTGTACTTTAGGAAGTCTCATAGTAGGACTTCCTATAGTATAGGGTTTTGGGCAATTTCTCTGGGGAGAGATGAGCTCCTAACTTTAGTAGCAAACTTGCAACCTCATATTGCATCAAGCCTGGAAGATGGTGAAGCTTGAAGCTGGCTTTCCATTTAAAGTAGAATGCTCTAATGCAAGCCCAAAGAAAATATGATACCGTGGAGAGAAACTACAAAAGGTCAAGACATGCATTTGGTTAATATGTTGTAAGAAGCTAGTGTTCAGTTGAATAGGTCATTAGTCCTCTGTGATACAAGGGATGAGTATTATCACCTTACAGCTAAGCAGAATGGAAACAAAAAACTGTTAGAATCTGTCCTTGTTAAAAAGGAGATCATGCGAGGGCTGTGTCCTCCCAAGGATGGTTTTTGTTAAATTGTATTTTCCAAGCATCTTAAAATGTTAATAGTTTCTGGCAATACTGACAAGAAACAAAACATAAAATAATAGACAAAATGATTCTTAGAGTAAGCTAGGATGTAAATCTAAATTGTCTAAGATAATATTGAACTTAATTCCAGGGATTAAAAACATGACAATTGATGTTACATTACATCCAATGTTATAAGTCCTAATTCTGGGTCCCCTAGAGAAACATTTTAGAGTACCTCTTTCCTCCCCATTAATAATTATCAGTCTCCATCAGCATATAACTATGAGCATCTATGGAACCACAAGTCCTACACTCTGCTGGATGCTGTGGTAAATAACTAAGAAAAGTTCAACACATTGCCCTTAGCCTCAAGGGGCTCCCAAGAACCTGCTTGGGAAGGAAAAAATGACTGAAAGTAATTTTAAGAGTGGAACTTTTAGATGTTAGCTAAAAGAACTTAGAGATTTAGAAATGGAAAATATCAGCACAACAAGTCAAAGCAAAGTGGAAATAGACTGAATGGGCAGGTGACAAGCAGATTTGTCTGAATGCCAGGTAAGAAGATCGGAGTTAATTGGATATGTTCATAAAAAGGAGGTCTCAAAGTTTGGGGTTGGAATAAGTTCTATAGAGGATTCTGAGCAACTGGTATAGCTGCTGGGAATGGGAAGAACTTACTCATCATCAACTGAATATGTCTTTCTCTCTCCTGGGACCTCTCCTGTAAGTGCATTCCCCTATGCCATTTTCAGTCATTAACATTTTAGCTGAAATTACTCCCTCAATCCATCTAATGGGCTCCTTAGGGCTCACTTACAGATTTCTGATCTTCTTTAACCCTGAGTCAGGAAGACCTGAGCTCTCCTGTCTAAGCCTTTCAGGCTGAGTTTTTACATTATTTTTCAACATGGGTCTTACTTGAACTGCAGCTGGCACTTCTCACGGCTCTTCAACCCTCTAGATCCCTGTTATTTTCAATAAAGCTTCAAGAATGTCACTATAAACCAACTAAATGAGACAGCATAGATATAGGCCTTGTGCAGAGTAGTTCCTTAACAAATCTTAATTTTATGAGTTCCTTCCCCCCGCCCCCCACTAGAATTTCTGATTTTTCTCCTTCCTTAGGTTGCTATTAACAGGTCTATTACAAGTTATAGGCTTGCTTCGTGGCCATTGGTGACATGGCGTGAAGAGGCTGCATTCACTCCAGGGAAACCAGCCCCCTTTTTGACAAAAGAGAAAGTCCAGTGACTATGGAGTACATAAATAATACAAAAAATGATGTGGATTAATAATCAGACATAGGGGATATAGTGATACATCTGGATCAAGAAAGTAGCTTATTTTCTATTTATTTAGTTTAATTTTCTCCACGGGAACAGCACTTTATTTTGGAAGCAAGCAAAATGCTCAAATTTGGAAGAGTTTTTTTTTTTTTTTAATAAAGATCATTAATGTTCTAGACACAAAGGTGTGGTTAAATGGAAGTCACAGGAGTATCAGGGTCATAGACAAAGTTGAGTCCATTTCCACCATTTGTTAGCTGCTAGGACTTGGTCAAATTATTTGGTTTCCTCATGCCTTGCTTTCTCCATCCATAAGATGCGGGATATTAATCCTTGCTTCAGAGTTATTATTAGACTTAACTACATAATGCTTATAGAGTGACTAATTAATGTTTAGTACTGAAGAATTGTATGGTGGAGCTTTCATGGTATTATGATGGAATTGTGGCTAGAAATTTGGGAATCTGTTTGCGCTGTTTCACCTATAATTCTCTCTCAATGAATCCCTAAATAGAGTAAATGTACAAAGAATAGTAAATTCCATGAGGGCAGGGATTATTATCACTACTTTTATAGATACTAGGTAAATATGAGTGAATGGTTGGGTCATTTAATCACAAATGGATTCCCAAACCTCTAACACAAGGCACTTACTCCTTCAGTTGTGTTATAGCTTTTCATTTGGATTCAAGGATCATATTGGCATCTCTTTATACTGCCATTCCTTCTCCAGTTATTGTCAATCTCATCACTACACTCCACCAATCTAAAGTGAGAGGAAGAAATGAAAGCACACAGGAGGGCCGACCTGCAAGGAGGTCCTTGTTCAGCCTAACAGTCCCCTAGTGTGGAGGGAGCATGAAATGGGTGAGAGCCTGCTGCCTGGGACCTTTCCTGCTCAGTGAGGGTCCCACTCGAAATCTGGACCCATCAGCTTGTGTCATTCACTCTTGTGAGGAGCAGTGTCATAAGAAGGGAACAATGACCTTCAACCACACTGCCTGTCTACCAAATATAGTTGGTGCTTAATAAATGATACTCTTTGACCTCTTTTATACTGTTAGAAAGTTGAGCATTTTACATGAATGGCCACCAATATGTTCTTTTCACTCTATTCTACCCCCTCTATTCTTTTCCTCCAAAAACTGAGAAAACACCTCACTGTTAATGATCTTGTCCATGAAATTGGCAGTGGAGCTGGTTCCAGCTAGGGGTTGATGAGAACAGTGTCTTTTTGTAACCTGCCTGTTTATGATGGGCTTGCTCCCTTCTCGGACTAGATATACATGAGCTGAGAGCCAGGAGGTCTGCAGTTTCAGTTTTGTCCCAGGGAGGAAAACTGCTTCACCTCTGTAGTTCTTGGCTCCCTCCTGTTTAATGTATGGCATTGAATGAGAGTAGGGAGAATGTCAAACTTTGTTCTTGGAGCCAGGCAGCTTCAGAGAGAGGCCATTGTGACAGTTAAGGGATCCATGCGGGAAGGGGTCCCAGACTTCCACTCCAACTAAAGCCATCCTTCTTTTATCTTTTATATGTTGATGTCCTGCATAGACTTTGTAGGCTTCTGTTCTTTAACAATCTAAAATCTTCTGATGTGGATGAGTTCTCAAGCTATGCTGTCCAAAACTTTGGCCACTAGGCCCATGGGGCTATTTAGCACTTGAGAAGTGGCTAGTCTGAAATGAGACGTGCTGTCAATCTAAACTGTGCAGAGTTTCAAAGACTTAGTTTGACAAATGTATAAAGAGTTTACGAATAACTTAAATAAATGCAATGCTGAAATAATAGCATTTTGGATATATCGAGCTAAAATGTTTAAACATTTTACCTACTTTTTTAAATGCAGCCTCTAGACAATGTAAAGCTTATGTGTGGCTTGCATTACATTTCTATTGAACTCATTGGCCTTGAGTTTCAACTCTGAAGTTCTATGGCCCTGAGCATGAACAAATGGGCCCTATAGAGTGTGCGTGTGCATGTGTGTGTGTGGGGGAGGGGAGGGTGATGGTGTCCCAGGCTTGCTGGAGACTTGTAGGGGTGGCAGGTGGAGACGAAACCTTCTTTGAGAAGCTCAAAGCAAGATGAGTCATGAATTTCCACATGGCTATGAGTTCAAGGAGAAAAGACACTCCACCCATATGATGGTGACCAAGGGCACCCTTGCTGTTTCCAGCCCTGCCTTTGCCTTGCTTTCTGGTGTCCCTCCTCACCTGCTCATGTTGCTAGCAGTGTGATAGTCACATGTCCTGGAGTTTCTGGAACAGCCCTGAATTTTTGTCTATTGATTCCCATAAATACTGTTTGGCAGCCTGGCTTCTGGTTCAAAATTATGGTCATGCTGAGTACTGGCAGGTTATAAGAAGTTCTCCCATTAGGATTTACAGTATAAAAACATAATCTTCTGTGGTTTTCAGGAATTGGCTGGGGGAAAGGGATAAATAGGTAGAGCACAGAAGATTTTTAGGGCAGTGAAACTATTTTGTATGATACTATAATTGTGAATACTTGTCATTATACATTTATCAAAACCCATAGAATATACAACACAAAGACTGAACCTTGAGGTAAACTATAGGTTTTGTTGATTATGCATTAAATGTTGGTTTACCTCTTGTACCAAATATACCGCTGTGGGAGATGTTGGTGGAGGAGGCTGTGTGTATGGGGGATTAGGGAAGGAGTATGTTGGAACTCTCTGTATCTTCTGCTCAATCTTGCTGTGAACCTAAAACTGCTGTAAAAAACAGTCTTAATTAAAAAATAACACACAAACTTATGTGTGTGTGTGTGTGTATATATATATATATATATATATTTATTTATTTATTTATTTATTTTATTTTTTATATTTTTTTGAGATGGAGTTTCAATCTAGTAGCCCAGGCTGGAGTGCAATGGCGCTACCTCGGCTCACAGCAACCTCTGCCTCCTGAGTAGCTGGGATTACAGGTGCCAGCCACGATACTCGGCTAATTTTGTATTTTTCTTTTAGTAGAGATGGGGTTTCACCATGTTGGTCAGGCTGGTCTTGAACTCTTGACCTCAGGTGATCTGCCTGCCTCAGCCTCCCAAAGTGCTGGGATTACAGGCATGAGCCACTACACCTGGCCATTTATGTCCATATTGAGAGTGAAAAAGTATATAGAAAACTTCTGTGTTCACTTCTCAAAAGAAGACATTTATGTGGCCAAGAAACATGGAAAAAAAGCTCATCATCACCAGTCATTAGAGAAATGCAAGTCAAAACCACGATGAGGTACCATGTCACAGGAGTTAGAATAACGATTATTGTAAGAGTCAGGAAACAACTGATGCTGGCGAGGGTGTGGAGAAATAGGAACACTTTTACACTGTTGATGAGAGTGTAAACTAGTTCAACCATTGTGGAAGACAGAGTGGTGATTCCTCAAGGATTAGAACCAGAAATACCATTTAACCCAGCAATCGCATTACTGGGTATATACCCAAAGGATTATAAATCATTCTGTGATAAAGATACATGCACCTGTATGTTTACTGCTGCATTATTCACAATAGCAAAGACTTGGAACCAATTCACATGCCCATCAATGACAGACTGGATAAAGAATATGTGGCACATATATACCATGGGATACTATGCAGCCATAAAAAGAATGAGTTCATGTCTTTGCAGGGACATGATGAACCTGGAAGCCATCATTCTCAGCAAACTAACACAGGGACAGAAAACCAAACACCGCGTGTTCTCATAAGTAGGAGTTGAACAATGAGAACACATGGACATAGGGAGGGGAACATCACACACTGGGGCCTCATGGCAGGGTGAGGGGCAAAGGGAGGGAGAGCATTAGGACAAATGTCTAAAACATGCGGGGCTTAAAGCCTAGATGATGGGTTGATAGGTGCAGCAAACTACAATGGCACATGTATACCTATGTAACAAACCTGCACGTTCTGCAGATGTATCCCAGAACTTAAAGTAAAATAAAAGAATGGGGTGTGGGGAACTTCTCTGTGAAAATTTTCTCCCCTGATTAGAGTAACAGCTCTGAGAGTTTGCTGGTTTCCCAGCTGTTCTCTGCTACTTCACATGAGAAAATGGCAATCAGCACCTTGCCAAGGTGTCATGTTTCTCTACTTTAACATGAGAGGCAGGAAAATGATAAATTTACTTGTCCTCTTGCCTTTGGAGGAAGGCCTGATTGATAGAAATAGCCACTAAATGACTTTGCTAAGCTGTAGGAACCACTTCTCTTTTCCTTGAGACCTTGTGAGGTCAAACTGTCTTTGAAGGCTGCTTGTAAAGTAACCTGGTGGCCTCTGTGTGTAATGGGGCCTTAGTCTTATTATTTAATCAGACTTCTTTGGATGACAAATTGCTGTCTTTGACATGGTTAGTGATACAGAGCTGTTATAATGAGACTTGTGAGCAAATCAAGGCTTAATAAGCATTCTTTTCCTCTTCTTGCCTTATAACCTATAAATAACTCTTCTTTTTCTAATTCCCAATGCCTTGTGTAGAATCTCTCCTTCAAGGTTCATTAACTTTTTTGAGGAAAAGATAAAGCTAGCGTAGGATAATGTCCTGTTTTTGAAGTGCTTTAATTTTGTACTGTAGTTGAATAAGCTTTGACCAGGAGTGTGCTGGTCTTAGTTACAGTTGGTTCTGCTGCTGGATAGCTACATGGCTTCAGGGGAATCTGTCCTTTTGGACATTCGTTTACTCATCTGTAAAATGGACAGAATATTTACCTTGCTCCTACCTATTTATATTAAAGTATTAAGTGAAGTAGGGAGAAGGCACAATGATTGATTTATTTGTTAGAACTTGAAGTTCTGAAAGCGTTTTCTGCCTCCTCCTGCAGTATGCCTGTGATCTAAACCTGGTTCTGACACTTTCCAGCAGTGTGACTCTGCGAAAGGCATCGATTCTTTCTGGGCCTCTTAAAATTCTTTCTCTATCAAGGTTCTAAGAATTTACAAATATGATGTAAGCTCTTTGCTTCATATTTTCTGGGTCTGAAGCACACCTCTGTGTGTGTGTGTGTGTGTGTATTTTAAAGAATCTTAAACTGCAAAGACACTGTATGCTCACTGTATAAAGCTCATAAATTACAAAAGCATAGAAAATAAAAAGTGAAAGACCCTCTCTCCCCATTTCTCCAAGTCCCAACAGTTTGGTATATTTCCATGATATCTCTGTTTATA
Organism: Homo sapiens; assembly: GCF_000001405.40. Taxonomy (NCBI): domain Eukaryota; kingdom Metazoa; phylum Chordata; class Mammalia; order Primates; family Hominidae; genus Homo; species Homo sapiens. The sequence continues at coordinate 54,035,236 of NC_000018.10, read as the reverse complement.
CAGGTCTGTGGTATGTGTGCATGTGTGTAATTTCTCTTCAGTTGAATCAGACTATACTCCTTTGCAACTTAAAAAAACTGGCATTCTAAGGTTATCTTTTTATATCACTAAATATTGTGCTTTTTTTTGTATCTACATAATGTTCCACTGTATGCATATGCTTTGTTTAGCTAATCTTATTGATGAGGATGTTGTTTACTCATTTTTTACTTGCTTCTTACAGTTATAGGAATCATATGCATAGATCAAGGAACGTGCATAGTACAGACAGGTATAAAATATAAAGCAAAGCATTTCTTCTGAGCCATTCACACTTTTCATTTCTAAAATCGAATTTTCTAGAAGTGAACACTTTGAATAGGTTTTTGTTTTGTTCTTTGTTGGTTATTATTGTGATTTTAAATAGTATGCTTGTATTTCTATTGACTTTAGACAGGATCTGTTGACTGGCTGCTCTGAAAATAAACTGGAGGTCTGAAATTCTATGGCATGGATGAAAGGGCAATTGGAGAGAAGCAGAGAGAGAGAGAGTGTGTGTGTGTGTGTGTGTGTGTTAGCTTATTGATGTAATCCTTTGGAAATGGTAATTCAACTATAATTTGAAAACTTTCAGTGCTGGTAGAGTCAGGGTAGGGATAAGCTCTGGATGCTGTTTTATGAAACTGATTGCTGGAAGGGATTTGTGTAGCATCAGTTTTACATGAATGTTTACATCAACCCAGCATTGCCATTATAGTTAGTGGGGCTCTTACTGAAGAGAGGGGTCCAAGTTTCTATCAGTGTGCAGCTGAGAGGACACTGACAAGAGTGCTGGAAGCCTACTGACTCGATGTACAATCCAGCAGTGGGTGGCAAACTCAAGACAAATTCAGACAAATTTCAATGTCAAAAGGCTTAGAGGCTCAATCTGAGCAAAAAGTGGGTTATAGGGCCAAATGTATTGGGCTAAGAGGCTCTCAGTGTGAGATGATTAATCAGATAATTCTGGGTCAGGCACCATAGAGACACCTGAAACTGAATTCTATTCTAGTCTTGGGGATGTCAAATCCGGTTCCTCAGTACATCTAATGTTGTTGGTGGGAAGGTTTTGTAAAGCAGGCAATGACGGAAATTGGGAATTTCCAATAAGAAGATTTTCTACAGAAAATCTGCTTGTGCTAGGCAACTAAAATGCTGCTTGTACCTAAATTTTATTGTAGTCATGCAGAAGTTGGAATTGGCAAAATGTTGTAGTAAGCTGCTACTCTGATTTCTCATAAGTTAGGAAATGTATTTAAGGAGAAGTCAACGTTTTTATCAAAGCCATGGTAGATGGAAAAGCAATCTAGTATCTATTTTGGGGTCAGGGAATTTCTGTAAGGAATGTCTGTACCCAGATCATGAGGAGTCATGTCTATCCTATGTTGTATATGTGGGGGAAGTTAGTTTTCAAGATTATTCTTAAGATTATATCTCTAACCACATATCATTTAATAAAGTTTTATTAATCTGCATGTAAAATATGCTATTGTGATCTCGTTGTAAATAAAAACACCTAGAGCAACTTGGATAGGAATGCTAGAAAATCAGGTTCTGTTAATCTACTAGATGACTTCACTGCAGGTCCCCAGATATTGGAGACCCTCTAGGTTGGAATAAGGTACCAGAGACCTAGGCAGAAAGAAGGCAGAAAGGGTTTGCTCCCTTAGTCAGTTCCCAGGCATGTGAAGGCTGTTTACATTTGAGGGCACCTGCACAACAGGCATAGGACTTAGTGTGACCACTTCCAAATGGACCCATGGGCTCTGGCTTCCCCGGGATCAGGGCCCAGTTAAGGTGGAGTCTAAGGTTGTTGGCCTTTCATTAGCTAGTACTGTTGGAGACAACATGTTGTCAGTCAGCCATCAGAACAGAGTGACAGCTAGGCTTTGGAATGAGGCATGCATGGCTAGTTCTTGGATTAGGAAGAATGTTAGGAGTAAAGCTCTGAAAAGGAAGATTGTGGTCATAAGGTGGGGGCAGGTCAAGTATCGTAAATCAGTGGTTCGTCAAATGTGGCTACCAGACTGGTAGCATCAGGGTCTCCTGGGAACTTTTTTGAGATACAAATCCTCAGGCATACTCCAGACCTACTAAAACAGAAACTCTGGGGGTGAGGCCCAGCAATCTGTGTTTTAACAGTCTCTCCTGGTGATTCTGATGCAACCCAAGTTTAAGAACCACAGCTGTAGATTCACTAGCAACCTGTTAATTAACTTGAGATTGCTCTGGGATTTATATAGGCAAGAAAAATGAAATCTGAGTAAAAATACCTATATAAGTTACTTTTAAATTTCTCCCAAAACTTCTGTTATTGAAGAAAAGCTTATTTTTCTGTTACATTAAAAAATAACATTAACTGGAAAGTGCTAATATGCTTAGTATTTTAGCTACCTAATTTCCTTGAAATTTCCCATCTTCTATATTAATTGCTATTTTAATTTCCACTTTGTAGACAAAGAGACATAAGGATTAAGAATTTCATTAAAGGTTTTAGAACTAATAAGGGGCAGAGCTGAAATTTGAACTGAGTGGGTTTCACAAAATGAACTTGGCTTCCATAACCACTAAGCTGCAGTAGAGGGATTCTTAATTTCCCATTACACTCTCTTTGTGCAGAGGACTGCAGACTATGCACAGCTTGGTAATGTATACTGATTAGTGTTTGCCTGCTTTAGGTATGATGCAAAACTAGTATTTTTCCTGTTGTGGCTAACCCATTTTTGGATCTCTATAGTCAATTTCAACACCTTTGTAGTAGAGCTCAGGGTTTAATGCTAACCAGACTTCATAATACTGTTTTAACCTTTCGCTTGCTAAATTTATGCTTTGTCTATTACAACTGTAAATCTTTCCTTGTCATAATATGAATGACTTACCATTTTCCTCTTGAGGATTTTCTTATGTTGAATCGGCACCTCCTATTATATTTTGAGACAAGGGTGAAAATAATGAAACTCGATGACTTTTTTTTTTTTTCTTAAACCAGCCCAAAAGATTGTTTCAGGATAAGCATCCAATTATTCTTTTTTTTCTCATGGTGAGTTTTCTGTAATTGGAAAATTTGTGGTAATGCTATTTTTAAATTCTAAGTATGGAATATTTCTATAGCATAAAACTCCTCTCTTTTGTGTGTACGAGTGATTGGGTATGGGTCTAAAAGACTTGCAACATTAATTTTAATTCAGAAGTGGCTCCAGAGAGACAAGTTAATTTTATAAATCAGCCTGGTGAGAATTGGAGCTTGGAAAATGCATTCAAGGAAAAGTGTCTTATACTCTGCTAAAACAATTATGAGGTAATAATCTCAGGAGTAAACTGGCCACTAAGCTTTAGTAACTTTTCTAGAGTTGTGGCTTATTTTCCTGAAAATATTGAATATTGCTGATTGTAAGACAAATCATGTTTTCATATCTTAATATTTCTGAAGACAGAATATACCTGTGGTTGAATATATGGTAGGATGTTAACATGGAGGTTTTAGCTGTGACTATGATAGAAATGATATTTTCAAAGATGGTAGCAGGACTTTTAATTTCTTATTTTTAATTGTAAAATAACATAACAATTTACTATCTTAACAATTTTAAGCATACAATTCAGTAGTATTAAGTATAGTAGTATCAAGTACATTTGCATTATTGTGCAACCATCACCACAATCCATTGTCAGAACTTTTTCACCTTCCCAAACTGAGACTCTGTGCCCATTAAACACTAATTCCTCATTCCCCTCCTCCTGCCAGCTCCTGGCAACTGCCATTCTATTTTTGGCCTTTGGGAATTTGACTACTCTAAGTACCTCACATAAGTGGAATTGTACAGTATTTGCCCTTTGGTGTCTGGCTGATTTAGCAAAATATTTTCAAGGTCCATCCATGCTGTAGCATGTTCAGAACTTTTTTCCTTTTTAAGACTGAATAATCCATTGTGTACATATACCCCACATCTTGTTCATTCTTCTGTCAATGGATGCTTGGGTGGCTTCTACCTTCTGGTAGCTGTGAATAATGCTGCTATTAAACATGGAAGTGTAAATATCTGTTTGAGCTTGTGCTTTCACTTCTTTTGAGTATATATCTAGGAGTGGAATTGCTGGATCATCCATCTTTAATTTTTTGAGGAACCTCCATATTGTCTTCCAAAATGGCTACGTTACTTTACATCTGTACCCAAATGCACAAAGGGTTTCAATTTCTCTGTGCTCAGCAACACTTTTTGTTTTCTGTTTTGTTTTTTGTTTTTTTTTTTTTTGATGATAGCCAACCTAATGGGTGTGAGGCAAAGAAATCATGACTATCAACAACACTGCTCACAGAGGGTATAATAAAAGGGCAGGGATTAGATATTTGGGAATGACTTTCAAAGGATAATGTCAGAGAGCTGTTGATGTGACCTCATGGGGAGAATAAGTCAAAATAAAATCTATGTGGAGGTACAAGTTGTGCTTCCTCTGTTTTCTCAAGTCAAAGGAGACCATTCCACCCCATCCCCTCCCCCCAACCCTCAATTCTAAGGAAACCACTTGTAGATCTAACATGTGTCCTGCCAGCTGGCATTGAACAGTGCTGACACCAGCTCATGACAGCATCAGTCATGCCGGGACTTTCCCGCTCCCTTTCCTTCCCTCCTTCCCCTCTAACTCTGGGGGAATTAGAAACTACAAGTTGTAGTTGTGGAGCTGAGGGGTAGGACATGGAAACCTAGGCTGGGAAACCATACCCTTCTCCCACTCTGCTTTCCATTTGCAGCAGACATAAAGGGGGTAAGAAGTTTCAACTTGATATCAAGACCAAGTTTGGATTATAATATGGCACTGAAGACTTCCGTTACCAAATCAAAACTGTCTTTTATGACTTAAAATGACAGTTGGACTCTTTATGACAAGAATAACCAGAGACTTCACGGAGTCAACTTTTGTCTTTAGTGCAGGAGAATAAGTGGTCCCACTGGGTATGTTTTAAGGAACAGAGAAGGATAAAAAGTTGATTTATGATTACTTTCTGTGAAGTGGGCTTTTCAGTAAAATGGTTTGGGAATTTGAGCTTATTCAGTGAAGTGGTACATATTATGTGTGTGCTTTGAATGTGGTAGTATCTTTCTCAACTCTACCTCTGCCCAGTTGTAATTAAAATGGTGAATTGTCCTTGGGCAATTGAGGGGTATGGGAGGAGTGTTGATGGAAATGTCCTCCATTTGGAATTTGTTAGATATTTAAAAACATTCTAAAGTTATTTTAGCTGTGGTGTGTTTTGCTTTGGGAAGAAGTGAGCTCCTTTAATGGGAAGCACCTAGATAGAGAAAATGGAACAACCTGTTCTAGCTGAAGAAGGGATTGGACAGGGATTCCTCTTACACTTCCCCCCAAGACAGTGGGAGTCCTTGGTTCTGAGATGTTTAACATTGAGTTTGACCACTTGGGCACTACTGTTTCTTAGCCATATGTTGATAATCTTTTCTTCTTTCTCTTGCTTGGAGTCTTAGAAATGTCATCAGATGAAGGATTCTCAGTACTGAGGACCTAAGTATAAGAAAATGTAGGGATTACCTTTTATTCAAAACTTAAGAAGTATGTTACATATGGTCATCATATTAAAATAACTACTGACAAAAATAATGTTCTTGAAGCTATTTTTGTTATTTTGCCTAAGTCCATTTAAGTTGCTATACTAAATACCATAAGCTAGGTGGCTTAAACAGAAATTTATTTCTCACAGCTCTAGAGACTGAAGTCCAAGGTCAAAGTGCTGGCAGATTCCACGTCTGAGGGCCTGCTTTCTGGTTCATAGATGTTGTCTTCTAGCTGTCCTGCCATGGTGGACGGGGCAAGGCAGCTCTCAGGGGCCTCTTTAATAAAGGCACTAATCCTATTCATGAGGATTCATGAATCAAGAGTGACCTAATCACCTCCCAGAAGCCAAACTCTTAACAGTATCATACTGGTGATCAGGTTTCAAAATACAAGTTTTGGGGGAAACACATTCAGACCATAGCATATTATAAGAATGCTTGCAAATTGCTTTTGACTGAAATGACCCAAGCTAGACACTTGGTATCCACTAGATATTGGTAGCCATGTAATAATGGGAGATAAGTTTATTTTAGGAAAACAGTGTTGCTATTTAGTTACTATTATCTTTGAAAGTAATTTCTCATAATTCTAGTTGTCTTTAGCCCCACGAAAGCAGCATTTAACCTGGCTCCATATTCCACTAGGATATTAGTTGGATTTTTGCCAGTAGTTAGCAGTAATAAAATTGGCCTAAACAGTAACAGAATTTATTTTGTCTAATAATGAAAAAAAAAAACAAACCCAGAGGTAAAATGGGCTTCAGATGTACTTCTGAGCCTGCTCTGCTCCTCTGCCCTTCTCTTGGGGTGACTTTATCCTCAGACTTGTAACAAAATAGCAGCGGGAGTTCCAGCAATATATTTAGGTAATTGCTAGAAAAAGTACAGATTTTGTCTCTTTTCTCAATTAAAAGTTTTTCCTTGAAGTGCGCCCTTCCTTCCCCTACCACAGCCAACTTTCTCATACATCTCATTGGCTGGAATTTGTGACATGTCCAAAACAGAAAACTGGCAAGGGGTAAGGTACTTACTATGACTGACTTACAAAGTCAGGTCTAGTCCCTGGACTATTCCTGGGTTAGTTTCTCTCAAAGCATAGGGCCAAGGGAAGGAGGGGCTGACATGGGGCAGAACTTGGTTAGGAAGGAGATTGGATGGGATGAATACTATGTAAGCAGCCAATAATGTCTGTTATAAAAGTGGGCTTCCAGAAAAATTCCTATGACCCTTGGTGGTTAAACTACATTTTCTTAAAATGAAAACATTCTCTTTGTAGCATAGTCATTTCATCATATTGAAGCTAAGAGGAATTTTAGACATTGTCTAGTCCAAATTCTTTATTTGGGAACTGAGGCTGAAAGATGGAAGGTGACTTTGTAAAATCCCAGTTAGTAGAAACTAGAACAGCAAGCATATGGACAATTTTAGTACAATTATAAAGCAATGACTATTATTTTCATTACTCTAAAGTGATGCATCTCTTGATTTATGGCAGAGGATCAGACATTGTAAAATGAAGCTGAAGGATAGAACAAAAGGATTTCAGAAATAACCATTCCTCTGTTGTAGAGGCAATGGGAGGGAGATATGGACCTGGACTGCTACCAGTGAAGCCAACTTTTTTCTGTAAAAGATCAGTAGTTACCATCTTAGGAGTTGAGGGCCAGATGGTCTCTGCAACTACTCAACCCTGCCGTCAAAGTGCAAAAGTAGCTGTAGACAATATGTGATAAATGGATGTGACTGTTTCAATGAATAGGTATTTACAAAAACAATGCAGGGGGCAGGATTTAACCTGTAGTCTGTACTTTGCTAACCCCTGGTTACATGCATCCAAAAGAGCGATCTGGTTGTAATTGTAATGCAAGAATAGCTTTGAGAAAGACCAAATAGGTTTCAGACCAGGCTCAAGAATTTGTATTTTCTCCAAAACCAAAGTATAAGGTATGGCTTTCCACTTTGTTTACATGATATAGAAACTACTCTTTATCCAGTCAATTTATCATGACAACTGGTACATTCAGTATATTAAGTGGATTCACAGTTTATTGCACAGAACTGATTGGTCAAGCAGGCATAATAGTATGCTCTTGCCAAGGCATAACCTTGATGTAATTTACACAGATATTCCTCCAGGAACCAATCTACCTGAAAGTTAGTCTACTTGTAATATACATTTCTCACTAAGCCTGGTATAAGAGCATCTAATTAAATCATATTCTGAATGAGGGCACAGTTTGCCTTAGAATTAATTTAAACAAATAATTAGGAAACTTCTAAAGTTGTTGCAAAAATTGGTAACAGGAAGTCATTTGCAAATTGCCTAAGTATTCATATTTTATGAGACACAGGTCATCTATATTTTGGCTGGGAATGATGGGTGCATGTCCTGAAGCCTCAAGGAGGAGAACAGTAATTTATATGCAGGGAAACTGCTTTTTAAAACTCTCAGAAATAAGGGCAAAATATCTTCCTTTTTTTTGGAGCAATCACTGAGATTACACTGAGTGTAACCATTTTGATTGAGCAGTTTTGACTTGTCAGATATAAACATGCATGACGTTATTTTTCCATTACTGGATTGTATCAGAATTTCGTTCCTGCTGGGAAGCTGACTCCTTTAATGACATTTGGTGTTGATTTCTTAATTTTTCAGTCACTTTAGAAATATAGTCTTATTTTCAGTTCTTAACTTTTCATGTTGTCTTTATAACCTCAGCCATATTTCATTTCAGGGCTTCCTACTTTTTTCCTACTTCCCTACAAACCCAGCAAGGATTGCATTTCTGTTTGGAAACCAGGAGTGTGTCTGGGGTGTAGGTTACACTTTCACAATCTCCATTCCCTATGCTGTTGCCTCTTGTCAGGGTGTTGAGGTGCCAAAAGGAAGGAACAATCTTGTACAAGCTCAGGTGGAGAACTAGCTGTCCTCCATGTGGTGTCTGGAATGACTGTTTCATAATGTGATCAGTTTCAGATTGGAGGTAGCAAATTGACTTCTCCCACTTGTTGCCTGTGGCTTCATCTCTGCTAGTTGTCCATCTATCAATCCCCTTGGAAGGACAAGCAGCCACATAGTGGCATTCTCGGGGATATCCTTTGCTCCTTGAGGGCCCTCAAGGCATCTTCCTTGTATAAAGTTTCTCAGAAATTTCTGAGTGGAGCTTACTCCTTCCTCCCTGACTCCCAGTCCCCAGCATGGACAATCTACCTTGCGGCCTGTTGCTGCTGGGTTCCTCTTGCCCAGCAAGAAGTTCTGCTCCCTGGACATGTGACCAGGGTAGTTGTATAGAGCCTGTACTCAGGAGGGCTCCACATTTGGTATTTAATTCTTGGAAGGTGCCATGTTGAACTTCTTTGTTTTATCTTTGAATTTTTGTTGCGGAACTAAAGTCTGATGGGTAAATGGAACATGAACAAGGGGCTCAGAGCCTTGGCCCCTGAACAAACCCACATCCTGCTGCCCCTTTCCTCCCCCACACAGGTTCTTGGTTGCCTTTTCCCTCTCCTTCATGTCCTGGTCCCCCAGGCCTCCCCATCTCTGTCCTTGCCGTGAAACTGTTGTTGCTTTCTGCCTGGGGTGTGACTGGGGGTGGGGAGAGAGTAGTAGAAATGCTGTATGGAGACAGGAACATGGGTGTGGGGATGCTTGGGTTGGGGGCATGTCCAGTTGTGTCCTGAGGCAGAACAAGGAGGCACTTGTCACTGCCCTGGGCTGACAGGGCCACAGTCCTTTTGGTGGGTAACTCAGCAGAGGCCTCTTGCCCACCCCCAATCAAGGTGCCAAGTGCATCCTGGCAGGAAGTTTGCAGTGCTTTGGGACTTGCCTTTCCACTATAGGCTGGGGTGGTGAAACCATGGAAAGGGAAGACTGACTTCTCACCCTTGACCAGGACCCCTCATTTTCCTGTTTTGTACTGTGCCCCACAAATTACAGAGACAGTTGCCAGTAGGTGGTCCTCTTGGGGAGTGTTGGCCAAACAGCTTAAGCCACTTCGGTGGTGACCACTTCACCCACAGCAAGGCACGTGTGTTCCTAAAATGGTAGTGCTGGAGCTGTCCCCTCCTACTGCCTTTCCCCACCCTGCTCTCCATCTGTCTCCTGAGCTGCCCTCAGCACTCTAGCTGCTGAGTGTCTTGCCAACTTCCAACTGACCATCCCTAACTTAGTGCTTGGGTACTTGAAAGACCCACCCGTCTCAGAAAAGGGACAACCGGGAGGCATTCACAAGCCCATTCACCTTCTTAGGTGGGAGGCCCATTGCCCTGTACAATGCTGAGTTGTCCTCCGAGGCCATCTCCTTTCTCTCAGTCCTCTTTCACTTTTTAATGACCAAGGCTGGGAAAGTTTGCAGCCCTTTTGGACTCTGAGGGAACCACAGAAACTCACATTAAGCATGGGCCCTTCTTTTAACTCCACCCTAGAGAATTTTGAGATTTCTATTCTCAGCAGACATGGACTCTGCTTTCATCTCTGCTCTGTTCAGTCACCTCTTGGGCAAGGAAACATTTCCATCTGAGCCTCTCCCTGTTTTGTTAACAAGTGCTTACGCCGACCCTCAGTGTTAAACGAATTCATGGTAGGCTCCGGTTGACAGGTTATTTTGTTGAAATGATAGTCTCACTGAACAACTAAATTTCAATGCTGTATATATTCTTGTAGTCAATTTCACCCTTGGACAGCTGGAGAACTTCCTCCCCTTTGTAGTATCTGGCTTAAATTTTCTACACATTTTCTCTTAACAGTTTTTTTTTTCTAAACTGCAAACAGCTATAATGATTTTTCTAAGCATTTCATAAACTTAAACTAAGCCTTGGATTTCTTGAGGGCAAGATGGAAACAATACAAATCAGCCTATTTACAGAGGATTTGAGAATTCAATGGGATGATGATTGTAAAACTTCTGAAATTTTAAGAGTCCTCTAAGTTGGAGATATTTATTATCTGAATCAAAGTAAACACAAGCCTTAGACATCCATGACCTTCCTCTGGGCAGCAGTGATTTGATGACGGGAAAACAAAGCAAACACCCAAAACTACATCAGCTCAGGGTTATACAGTGAAGTTTAATCAAAATGGAGTTTTTCTTGGTAAAATGACAGTCATCCAGGAGGGAGGAGTTGGTGAATATGGTGCTTATGTGCTTCGTAGCTGTACATGAGGAAGGGATCATTTGTTGTGAAGGGATGAGATGTATTTAGGAATCTGAGGTAAACATGCTTGAGAAAATAGAATTGAGTGCTTTTATGTTCTAAAAAACTTTGGTGTGATTTAAACTTGGTACTTTTGAAGTTCCCCTGGTGTTTCTGTTGAATACTTTGCTGCTTTGATCCTCTTGTTGCTTCTCTAAGGAGTTCATTTGCAATTCCTTTTTCTCCAATTATTCTGTTATCTCTCCTACTTAAAAAAAAAAAATTCTCCTTCCACTGGGCTCTTCCCCCACCCCCCAACCCCGTCCCCACCTCCCCTGGCCAACATGTGCTTACATCTTTGGATTGAGGATGTCCTGCGATTGGATGGCTGCCGAGGCCTCAACTGTCTGCAGTCTGGGACGGCAGATGATGACAGCACTGGGCTCGGTTTTAGGGACCCTGCTTCTCTGCTGTTGTTTACTAGCTTCAGATTCCATCTGGCCTTGTTGACGGGAACCTTGATACCATCTGCAAAACTTGTAATAAAGCAATTTTGGTCTGAAGAAAAGGAAAACAGCACACTGAAGCCCATTTGGGAAATGTCACGTTTGGTGCTTCAAAAGGAAGGTATATTAACATGTGTCAATCTACATACCTTCATGCATTTGGTGGGCCTCATAAGAAGACACTTCTGTAGGGAGAATCTTTGAGTGTACTGACTCTATTCTCTTCAGTCTGTGCTTGCCTGGTTGAAGTTCAGGAAACCACAAAATGTACTTCTCCAGTGTGAGCTGCGATGATGAATTGACATTAGGGTTGTATTTCCGCCTGTTCAGTCCACCCCCTGCCACAGTACAATTTGAGTCAGTATGTTTTGCTTGTATACGTGACACGTAACAAGTATAGTCATGCCCTTTTCCTATTATTTGAAGAATTCACTTGTGTATGACTTAGCTCCACAAGCATTTATAATCTTACCCTAGGACAAAGGATAATACAATAATAAACTTTATACATTGCTAAGTGCTCTACCCTATACTATTATACAAATACTAACTTGTTACCTCTGACTACAACCCTGGAGGATAAATATTACTATTATATCGATTTTACGGGTGAGGAAAGTAGCCCCAGCATGAGGACACCCAGCTAGTAAGTACTAGGGCCAGGAGTTGAATTCAGGCTGTCTTGTTTTAAACGATAGGGCTATGATTAGCCAGTATACTGAAGGAAATTATACTTCGCTGATTATATTTTTGTTTAGTTCTAATTTAAGACTATGTGCTGGGCATTCTCCATTTCCCACACCAGTAGATTCTCCTTTCTCTATCTTAAACTGGCTCACAGAGGTTTACCATCTATGACTAAATCTCTGGGCTTTCTGGCCTCTGATTTCCAGTGGTGTTTGGCCAGTGGGAGGCATAAGGAAGAGATGAGAGGCGGGGTATTTATTGACTGTAGGCCACCTGCTGTCATCAGTGGCTACCATCTTGTTGGGTGGCCCCAGCTTTCTTCAGGTCTGGGAACATTACTCTCTATATCTTTGTTCAGGCTGAGTAGGAATAAAACCTCTCAACCCGCCCAAGTCCTGGTGCTTCACTGTCACTAGGGATTCCCTGAACCCTGCCTAAGCCTTGGTAAATAGCCCCTTCATCAAAATTTAACGCTTTGACTATGTCGTATTTTTGCAGGAATTCTGAAGATAGAGGTTTCTTGGGAGTTCATCTGTTGTCCTGTACTTCAGCCCTTAGTAGCCAAAAACATTTAATATTTTTAGAATGATTTAGTAAAACATAAATGGGGGGAAAAGTCAACTTGGGGTAGGGCCAGGTGGGACCCATCAACTTGGCTTAGAATAGACAATAACAACCCCATAATTGCATAAAGTCTTATTTTTCTGGTGCTTTTAGGTGTGTATGTTAATAACTATAGCTGACATAAGTACCGTGTTCCATGTCCCCTGCTAAGGACTTTATATAAACAGTTTCATTTAATCCTCAGAACAATCCTAGGAGGGAATAACCTTTATTTTCATGTTGCAGACGATACAATGGAGGTTTAGAGAAGTTAAACAACCTGTTCATGGACCATTAATAAGCTGCTCATGTGGTATACACACTCAAGCAGCTAACTCCAGAGTCCATGTTTTAAACAATATGCTTATGCCTCCTGCGTCTGATTGTGCTCTTAAATCAAATTGGCAAGTAGGGCAGAGGGGTATAATTTTCTTCTTTATTACAGTTGAGTACACTGAGGCACAGTGGGTTGAAGTGACTTCTCTAAGATCACAGAACGAATTAATCTATGCTTATAAATGGCAGAATTGGCAATTAATGGGCAGTTTTGTGAAAATCAAGTAGCCTGAGTGAGCTTTGGTCTGTGCAAACAACAATGAATATGGGTTTAAATCCCGAATGAAACTTCCTAGCTACCTGATCTTGAATAACTCAGCCTCTGGCCTTTGTTTCTTCACTTATAAAGTGGGATAAATAATTCTTCCTTCAATGTATGTAAGGATAGTATAAAATAATTACATAAATATTTTTATCACTGTTATGTTTTTAAAAAATGCCCACGCAAGCCATCAAAAGATAGAGCTATGAATTGAGGTATAGACACAGAAGCAAAAGATGTTTGGTATTTAAAAAAAAATTGTGGGTACATAGTAGATATGTTTTATAGGATACATGAGATATTTTGATACAGGCATGTAACATATAATCCCATCATGGTCAATAGGGCATCCATCACCTCAAGCATTTATCCTTTGTATTACAAACAGTCCAATTATACCCTCTTAGTTATTTTAAAATGTACAGTTATTGACTCTAGTCACTCTGTATTATCAAATACTAGATCTCATGCTAACTATTTTTTGTACCCACTACCCCTCCCAGCCTCTGAATAATCATCATTCTACTCTCTATCTCCATGGGTTCAATTGTTTTAATTTGATACTTCTGACAACCCTTATTTGGTGAGAGGAGGTGAGTCCCACAGATGCATAGGAACTTGCAGGGAGGTCTGCTGTGGGTAAGTAAAACTTCATTCATTCTTCAGCATCATGTACTAGATGCCTGCTCTGTGTTAATTAAGAACTTGGATTTTATATCAATGTGAGGGTCTTATTTTCATGTCCTTTATTATAGCAAAGCTAATTCTAACAGGTAGCCAAGGTGTACCTTGAGTTAGACTTTTTTTAGTAGAACATTTGATACATTTATGTGAAGGCAATGATTTTTACAAACAGAATATCTACCTGTTATAATGAGGCCTTGATATGCAGTATATTCCATTACAAGTAGTTTTAGGTCATATTCCCCAGTGACTCTCAAATGTGAGGCCTTTCTTAATCATCCCAGCAGGAAATAATTTCTCATCCTTCTGAACTGTGGGAGAACTTATATTCTGTAGCACTTCTCTGAATATTATATTTCTGGCTCAAATCATTGTGTATACTTTTTTCTTCTAAATCAAGAGCTTATATATTTTTAAAAAGCACTATACCCTTGACTACTATACATAAATATGTTATAACTGAATTAAATGAAGTTTTTTTCCTGATCTATGTTATGCCTTGGGGCTTCTGCCATTCTTTTAAAACATTGAACATCTATATGTGAGGTCCTCAACTGGGCAATAGGGGTACAGACATATGGTCCATGTACACTTGTATCTGATACACAGCTGCAAATATAACTATATTAACTCCCATAAGAGGCTATGTGCAAGGTATGTTCTTTGACAGTAACATTGGAAACAAATGTGTTTAGACAACATTAAGAAAAGACTTACACATTATTTTCCTTGCTAAGAACTAGAATAAATAAAGGTTCCCATAGCTGAATGCCTGAGGAATGAAATATTTTGGTTACTGGAATTTTGTGATCAATTGAGAGTTAACCCACATGACATTTGTGGTTGTGAAAACGCAACGTAAATATGATCATCACCAAAAATATTCTAAAGCTCCACAAGACGGGGCTATGTCTCTAGGGAAGCAGACTTTCAAATCAAACTTTAGTTCAATTTAAATTCACTACATTCTTTTAATGATGACATTTTCCTTTTAGGGAAGAAAATGTCTGGAACATATTAGCCACTCAATACATACTCATTGAATAAATGTCAATGGAAGAGTTGGTTTTACGGTTTCAGTTGAAAATACGAGTGAACCAGAAATTCACTCGGAATACATGAACTGAAACTTCCAAGATAGGATTTAGCATATTTTTACAATGTTTATCTTGTTTTCAGAAAAGCAAAAAATGAAAAACAAAATAACAGGAGGCTTAACAACCAAGCCAAGGGTTTCATCAAGTAGATTTTGTAAACATCAGATGAGGTGGTATGTCTTGCAATTGCCTTTGCTTGATTATACTGTTTATTTTTTCCTAAGTTAAAAATAATACATGCTTATTGCAAAAATGTAGACCACAAGTGTGTATACAAAATAAAACTGAGTCCTTTTTTATCTCCTACCCCACCCCGGTACAGCCCACCCAGTTAACAGTATCTTCTATTTCTTTTGCTATGCATTTAATAACTTTTTTTATAGTGAGAAACTGAATATACAATGGACAATGGCCAGACCATATATAAAAATAGAACACTGACCTATAATCTCCACCAACAAGCTCAGGAAACCAACCTGTTATTTACATTAACCAGCCAGGAAGCCAACCTGCTTTCTATGTCAGACTTACAGAAAGTCAGACGATAACTCTAGAAACTGGTCTGGAAAGCCAAACAAAGTTCTCTGTAACAATCAGCCCAGGACAGCTCGGATTTGATTGATAATTGACATCTTCCTTAATTTCTATTTCCCTGTTTCCAACTGAGGACTAAACCAGAGAAAGCCAATTGTGCAAAATTAAACAATTGCATGTGATTCTGTAAGTCTAGTTGGCCTGCGTACAGCTTCCCCATGCCAACAGCCTCCAATCAGGGCATAGCTGAACCCTTCCCTTCTTCAACTATAGAGCTTTCCTACTCCTCTGCTTTTACTTTTGAGTTTGTGCCAAACACAGACTAAGGCCTTTTCTATAGCAGCCTCAGAATCAATAGCTTTAGCCTCTCTCATTTGATGAGTCTTTATTTCCACAATCAATATAGACTCATTCAACAACAGGGATTTGAATGGCTATTGTTTGGAAGACTGGGGAAACAGTTACTGCCCACATGATGCTTATGTTTTAGTGGAAGGAAAAGTAAATATGTTTATAAAATGTTAGAGTGCCATAGATTCTGAAGAAAAGTAGGGCTGAGTCCAATAACAGCGATTAGAAGGTGCTACCTAAAAAGGGTAGACGGGAAAGTTCTCTTGGTGAGGTGACACATGAGCAGAGATCTAGATAAATGGCGGGAGGGAGCCACAGGGCTGCAGGGGAGGCCCTGTAGGTTGAGGGAGCAAAAAGACTCTGCATTGGGAGTGAGCAAACTTGTTTTGTTCTGGGAAAAGCAAGAAGGCTGGAGTTACTGAAGTAGATTAAGCCAAGCAGAGTTTGTCAAGCTGCTCTGATTGTGGCACACAGTACTATGTGCATTTTATTTCCTAACATACACAGCCCACCTGTGCCCAACCCAACTGTTACTGGTTGAACTGTGTCCCCCTCAAAAAAATAAATGTTGCAATCCTAACCCCAAGAACCTCAGAATGTGACTTTATTTGAGAATAGGATTGTTGTAGATACTGTCAGGTAAGGTGATGTCATACTGGAGTGCGGTGGCTCCTCAGTTTCCTTAGAGGACACAAGGAGAGAAGGCTGTGTTATGACAGGGGCAGAGATTGAGATGCTGCATCTGTAAGATAAGGGGTACCAGGGATTTCCAGTAACCACCCAGAGTTAGGAAGAGGTAAGGAAGAGTCTATCCAGGGTTTCAGAGGAAGCATGACTTTAATGACACCTTGATTTTTGATTTCTGGCTTTCAGAATTGTGAGACAATACATTTTTGTTTTAAGCCACACAACTGATGATACTTTGTTACAGCAACCCTAGGATGAAAACACAAAACACACTGAAAAACAAGTGACATTAAACCTACTTATCTTTACTACCTGTAGTTTACTGACAGTTCTATGCTATGGCATTGCATGTTGGCCAGCACCCCAGTAGTTTTCTGCCTGTTCTTCCCACCCCCCAATGCTCTGCATTCTGCAATTGAAAGACACCAAGCAAATGAAGAGTGATGGGGAAAGAGGCCAGGAAAACATCCAGGAGCTGGGTCACATAGGCCGTGGAAAGAACTTTGTAGTGTTTTCTCTAAGGATGCTGGGAAAGCCATTGGTAGAGATTTTTTTTTTCTTCCTTTTTTGAGTGTGTGAGACATAATCTGATTTATCTTAGCTGAATCAGCATGATCTTTTTCTATCTGGGAAATAAATTTGGGCGAGACAAGTAGAATCAGAATAGTCAGGAGCAGACTGCAGTAATCCAGCCACAAGATGGTGATGGCTTGGACTATGTTAAATAGATGCACACGAACATGGGAATGTATCACCTTGTGAGAAATCTGGGTGTTGCTTTTCGTTCAAAGTTGCCTTTCTTTACCTCTGAGGCAACTAGGAAGGTGGATTTTACTTATTTTACTGTCTATTCCATTGTCCATCAATAAGAGGCTCCAGGAATTCTACTTGAGGTGTTAATATTGCTTTTCTATCCCTTCCTCCACCTTCACTGAATCCCAGAGAAAAATGGTGTCACATATTGTATCTTTCTTGACTGCCTTGTCCTGTTGCTAGTCCTCACTATACCAACTCTGTGTGTCTCTGGACTGAAAAGCATGTAGCTACATTTTTTAACTCAAGAATTGGGCATTCTTGTAAGAATATTGTAGGTTGAGAGGCTGAAACACTAGCAAAGTCTAGATTTCCCTAGAGCCACACAAAGAGAATACTGCAGTTCTTTGACCTTCACTAGGAAAATGCCATTCATGCATGCTCATTCCAGTCCTAGTCTGCTCTCCCTCGTCAGGTTCATTCTGGACCCATATATAAAATGTTCTTTAAGCTCTTTTATCCAGCAAACCAAACCTTCTCTTTAGGAGTAACTCTCTTACATGGGAGTCAATGTTGATGCTTCATTACTTTTAGCTTCCAAACGATTCTGGTAGGCTTTATCTGTGAGTAGCAGCACTCCTGGGTCTGTGGAGGTGTAGACTCTAGTCCTGAAAGTGAATCCATTAATCCTCTAATTACATAGTTCAGTCTTTCCTTTAGCAAGAGTGGTGAGTCTATAGTTCTCTTACTAGTGAGAAACAGGAAAGTAGCCCAAGACATCTAGAACTAGCTTGAAACTTGCAGCTAGCTTTAATATTCTGCTTTTTAACATAAACAATTTCATGGAATATCAACATTGGACAAGGCCATTCTGACTATGATGGATCGAGACAAAAATGAAACCATTGAATGCAAACAAAACATATTCCCAATGCCACAAAAAGATCAGACACTCCCCTATCCTGGAAAATGAGTGACTACTGTTTGTTTCCTAATTATAGCTTTAGCTTTTCTCTACTCTGTCATCTTCCTAGATAGGATTTTTTACACTGGTCAAGCATGGAACTTACCTCTACTTCATGGTAGCATCCAGTCTGGGGTGGAGCCAGCTCCTTTGAATTTTCCACAAGCCCAAGTCCTAAAATCTTTTCTAACACCCTCTTATTGAGATGCCCTGTGGTTTCCCATCTATCTTCCTTGTTTCAACAAGAAATAACACAACCCGTTCAACTATAGGTGTGTTCCTGGTAGTCTTTCACTGGAGAACATTGATAATAGGCTGTGTTTAGAAATAAACTCACTTAGCAGATAAATCATTTCCTTACCATAAGTCATCTATGTCACTAATGAAAAATATCTATGTTGCCTTCAGTGTTGCTATAAAAAACATTGTTCTGTTCTTCTGTTCCTCATCAAGGAAAAGTAATGGGGGAATGTGTTCACCTACCCACCTGTAACAACTAAAAAGAACCCAGACAAAATATAGTAAATAATGGCATTCAAGACATTGGACTCCAGGCAACAAAGGACAGTGATCCCTGAGGGATGGGAAAAAAAGAGGTGAGCACTATGATTGCCAGAACCTTACAGTTTGAGAAAAACTTTCAGGTCTCAGTGCAGGAATGGGGAAGCCAGGGAAGGCTGGCTGTCTCCAAGATTATGTTCCCAAACCTGGAGAAACCAATGTGGCTGGAGTTCACAGGGCAGAATATAAGAGACAGGAGAGGAAAGCGTAGATGCCTGAGACGCTCAGAGGTTTCCATTGAGTAGGGATCAGTGCACACTTGGGAGGAGACCTACTGAGACAGGGAGAGAACCACTGAAAAGTAATTCGGGGAAATAGTGTCTAGGGTTTATATTGGATGGCAAAAGTGCCTGTTTCCAACAGGTAGAGTGGAAAATGATATTTAAGGAGGCATCAGATAGAAATCTAAGAAGAATCTTGTCTCAGTAGTGGGAAAATATTAACCCCAGATTAAATGCAGGTCTTGTCCTCACAAACAAGACTTACAAATAAGACCTAAAAGGATCAGACTCTTCCCACGTAATGCAACCATGTTAAGAGCAATTTTTAAGAATACTTATAGGATGAGAAAAATATCTAGTATCAATTAAGGTAGAATTCATGTCTGGCATCCAATCAAAAGATCCTAGGCAGGCAGAGAAAATACAACTCACCATTAAGAATAAAATCAGTCTAATGAAACTGAATTACAAATAACAAAAATGATAGAATTAGTAGGTAGAGACATTAAAAGAGGTATGACAGTGTTCCACATGTTCAAAAAGCAAAAGGAAATATTGAATGTTAAGTAGAGACATGGGAGATATAAAAGACCAAAATAAAACTCGTAGAGATGAAAACTACCATATTTGAGATAAAAAAATTTACTGCTATCCATGAAAACGTACAGCAATCATAATATTTAATGGTGAAGGACTAAATGCCTTCTCTCTAACATCAGGAATAAGACAAAGACGTTCACTCTCATCTTATTGTACTGGAGGTTCTAACTAGTGCAATAATACAAGGGAAATAAAAGGAATTCAGTTTGGAAATAGGTAAAGTTGTCTTTTTTTCCAGCTGACATGATTGTCTAAGCAGAAAGTCTTATGGAGTCAAAGCTTCTAGAACTAATCAGGGAGTTTAGCCATGTCTGTAGAACATAAGATGAGCTTAAAAAATTGTGTCTTTATATATTAGAAATAAAGAATAGAAAAACTGATTTTACAAAACAGTACTACTAACAGTTTCAAAACTGAAATTCTTGGGCATAAATTTGACACAATATCTGTAAGACTTGTACACTGTAAAGTATAAAACATAGCTCAGTGAAATTAAAGAAGGCCTAAAATGGAGAGAGATGTTCATGGGTTGAATAACTCAGTATTTTTAAGGTGTATATTTTTTCCAGTTGATCAACAGATTCAATGCTGTCCTAATAAAAATATCAGCAGGCACTCTAAAGAAGTTAATTTAAAAATTCAGATGGAATATAAAGAACCTAGAGTAGGCAAGATGATTTTGAAAAAGAACAAAGTTTGAAGACTTCTACCATCTAACTTCAGTGTGGTATTGATCTCAAGAATGAGAAATAGATCAATGGAACAGAAGAGAGTCCAGCCACAAACCCACACACTTGTGGTCAATTTTCAGCAATAATATTCATATGCAAAATATATATTCATATGCAAAAGTCTATAGCAAATACAAAAGTTAACTTTATATTATAGACTAGAGAAAACCTAAAACAGTAAAATATTTAGAAGAAATTATAAACGTCTTTGTGACCTCAAGGTTAGGGAAATATTTAGATATAACACCCAAAGCACGATCCATAAAAGAGAGCTTTGATAAATTAGATTTCATCAAAATTAAGAACAGCTGCTGTTTGAAAGAATGAAAAACCAATTTATAGATTGAAATAAAATAACAAATTACACATCTAATAAAGGAATATCCTGAATATATAAAAAACTCTCAAAACTTAAACAAACTACCCAATTAAAAATGGGTAAAAGATTCAAACAGGCATTTCAGCAAAAAATGCAAATGCATGAGAGTTAAGCACAGGAAAAGATGTTCAACATATATAACTAGGAAAATACAAAGTCAAACCATATTGAGTTGCCACCACGTACCTATTAGGATGTTATTAAAGAAAAAACCTCATAATACCAAGTATTTGTGAGAGATGTTAGAGTAACTGAAACTTTTCTGTATTACTGATATGAATATAAAAGGTACAGCTACTTTGGAAAAACCATCTTGGAATTTTTGAGCAAACATATGCCTACCTTATGACCCAACCATTCCATATCTGGATATTTCCCCAAGAGTAATGAAAGCATGAATCTATAAAAGGTTTTAGATATGTGTTCACAGCAGCTTAATTTGTAATAGCCAAAACTTGGAAGTGACTTAAGTGTCTATCAATAGGTGAGTAGATAAAGAAATTGTGGGGCTGGGTACAGTGGTTTACAACTATAATTCCCACACTTTGGGAGGCTGAGGAGGAGTTCAAGACCAGCCTAGGCAACATAGCAAGACCCTCATCTCTATAAAAGATTTAATAGCTGGGTGTGGTGGTATACACCAGTCCTTGTTAGGTATGTCTATATAAGAGACCACCTGAGCAGGCTTAGTATGAGCAACAAGGCTGTTTATTTACTTGGGGTACAAGTGGGCTGAGTCCGACAAAGGTGTCAGCGAAGGGTGGTGGGATTATCACTGGTACTTATAGGTTTGGGATAGATTGTGGAGTCAGGAGCAATTTTTTTTGCGGGCAGGGGATGGATGTTACAAAGTACATTCTCAACAGTGGGGAGGGTGTATTGTCACAAGGGTGGGGAGGATGTTACAAAGTACATTCACAAGGACAGGGAGGGTGCATTGTCACCAGGGCAGGGAGGAATGTTATAAAGTACATTCACAAGGACAGGGAATATCACAAATTACATTATCACAAGGGCGGGGGAATATGATGGTTTGACCATGGTGTGGCCAGCTCAGAGGATCTTACATTCCTGTCTTTTTATATTAATAATGAAGAAATAAAACGAGAAAGAGTAGTGAAAACTTGGGGTGAAAATTTTGGGGGTGGTATGGAGGGTTGATGGGTGACGTTTCTCAGGGCTGCTTCGAGCAGGATTAGGGCCGGCACAGGAACCTAAAGTGGGAGAGATTAGACTAAAGTAAGATTTTGGGGTAAGGGGTGATATTGTGGGGTTGTCAAAAGCAGCATTTATCCTATAGAGTGATTAGTGATAGCCTGGATGCAGTTTTGTAGGAACTGAGAGATTAACTGGAAGACTCAAGGCCTGAATAAGAGAAGGAGGAAGATAGATATTAGAGGACCAACGAATGGAAGAAGCCAGCATACCCAGTTAGAGAGTGGTCAGGTGGGTCCAGTGTAATTAGTTGCCTGACTAGTGAGTTTTTGAGCTGTCTTTGAGTTTTTTGTTATCAGTACTAGCTACTCAGGAGGCTGAAGTGGGAGGATCTCTTCAGCCCAGGAGGTCTGGGATGCAGTGAGCCATAGTTGTGGCACTGCTCTTGGGCCTGGGTGACAGAGCAACTCCCTGTCTCTTAAGAAATTGTGATACATGTGGATAATAGAATACTACTGTGTAAAAAGGAATGAAGCATTGATCTACACGACAACATGGATGAATCTCTAATTATGCTGAATGTTGTAAAATAGAGTATATATAACAGGATGCCGTTTATGTAAAACTCTGAAAATGCAAATTAATCTAAAGTGATAGAAAGTAGATTGGTTGGTTGGGGAGGAAGGAGTGTTAAGAGGAGGATTCTTTTGGAGGTGATGGATACATTCATTATCTTCATTGTAGTGATTATTTCAGGAGTGTAGACAGACCTATGTTAAAAGTTGCCAAGTTGTATACTTTAAACATACATTGCAGGTTGTATGCCAATTCTTTAATTAAACCTATTGAAATAATATTGTGACCAAAATATGTCTGTGGTTTGCTCTAAAATATTTCTTGATGTAGAGAGCAAATAGGTGGCACTAAACCAGAAACTGGCCATTAGTTGATAATAGCTGAGAGGTAAATACATGAGTGTTCGTTACCCTATTCTATCCATTTTTATATTTGAAAAATTTCAAAGGAAAATACTATAATTACTGATTTATATATATCTTTGTGCCTCTTTGCATATCTTTTATATAGAATAGGGCACTAAAAATGGAATATTAGATGCAAGCACTTACATACTTTTTATTTTGGTGGATATTAAGCTGTGGTTTTAAGTTTCTTTTGGGCCTTTTGAGAAATATTTTCTCTGGATTTGTGGTTTTCTAGTTCTTTAGTTGGTATAAAAATGAAATTCAAGGGAACTTGATGCTGGAAAGCCATGGCATTTCAAGCTAATGCCCTAAATATCTGCAAGTAACCAAAATAGTTAAAGAGCATTCTGAAGCTTTTTATTTTTGTTGTCTTTATGCAAGCAGCTTTGGAAGGCAAAATTTATATCTTTTGTTCACTCTTTCATTTCTTCTCTTAAAAATGGCACCTTTTTGAAAAATTTGATTATTCAAGTTTTGTTAATGTTCAATTGTGTGTTTAAGTGGCACTTAACACTTACTGACTGCCTATTGTT
Organism: Homo sapiens; assembly: GCF_000001405.40. Classification (NCBI taxonomy): domain Eukaryota; kingdom Metazoa; phylum Chordata; class Mammalia; order Primates; family Hominidae; genus Homo; species Homo sapiens. The sequence continues at coordinate 54,011,888 of NC_000018.10, read as the reverse complement.
CTAAGTTCCATAAGTGGATATATTTAATCTCTGAAAATTGGAGGGATTTCTTTTACCATTGATGAAACCGAAGCATCTAGAATTTAGCTTGCTCAAAGTTATACAGCTAGAAATTACAACTGGAATGCAAACTCAGGGGTTCTAGCCCTAGACTCCATTGGTCTTTAATCACTGTGTTTTACTTACTCAGTATTTAATTCTCAATAAGTAAAACCAAGGATATAAAACTCTTGAATTCCCTCTTCATGTTTTGTTACTGTGTGTAGACAGTGTATTTTCTGTAGCTAAACCATTTTTTTTTTTTTACCAAGTTTTACACACAACATTTTTAAGAAAAGAATGTTACTTTTCTGTGGTTTTATGGTGATGCTTACCAATAAAATGGAATGGTAACTTGCTGTGGATCCAGGTTATTCTTTAGATAGTAGAGTTTGTCAAGGCAATACTTTTTTTTTGAATTAGGAAAAGAGAACCTCTCTGGGTAGATGAATTAGAAAAAGGTAACTTCTGAAAGTGGATACAGCCTGATGGGCACATGGCTTGCTGTCTTTGTGGGTCTCTGTCCAAGAAAGCATGACAGACAAGGCCTTGTGCTAGAATACGACCCCTGGACAGGATAACACATTGATTGGAAAAGTGCTGGCTGGATTTCAGTCTCCTCTGCCCTTCCTGGCTCAGAGCTTTTGTGTAAGGTATGCATTGCATGACCATTAGACTCCTCTCAGGATCTTATCACAAGCTTTCTAGTTAAACTATTTTGTATAGAGATGGAGTTTCACTGTGTTGCCCAGGCTGGTCTCAAAGTAGCCTCAATCCATATTCCTGCCTTGGCCTCTGATATGGTTTGGCTCTGTGTCCCCACCTAAATCTCATGTCGAATTGTAATCCTCACATGTGGAGGGAGGTGATTGGCTCATGGGGGCAGATTTCCCCTCTACTGTTTTTCTGACAGTGTTCTTATGAGATCTAATGGTTTTCCCCCCTCACTCTCTCTCTCCTGACACCATGTAAGATGTGCCTTGCTTCCCCTTCTCTTTCTACCATGATTGTAAGTTTCCTGAGGCCTCCCCAGCCATGTGGAACTATGAGTAAATTAAACCTCCTTTCTTCATAAATTACTGGGTCTGAGGTAGTTCTTTATAGCAGCGTGAAAATGGACTAATACACTCTCTCAAAGTGCTGGGATTACAGTTGTGAGCCACTGTGCCTTGGCCTAAAACAATTTTAATTGTAACAGTGGCAGAAATGCTAGTTGTCTGTCAACAAACAATTGTCTTTGTGTTGACAGAGCCTCCAATTGTTGGTCAGACACACAGACACTCAGAATGAAGACTGAAGCATCCCTTATAGCTAGGTGTAGCCATGTATAGAATTGTTCTGTGACAGCTTTGAAGAAATTTCTTAGATGATAGCTGGTACATGTCTCTTACCCTTCTTCCTCCCTTTTCCTTGATTCTGCTGCTTGCAACATTGATGAGCCTGAATCACTAGCTTGTACTATGAAGATAAGAACTATACCATAGAGATAAGCAGCAGAAACCTGGATGTCTTCTGGTACCTGATGGCAAGCCACCATACAAGCCCTATGTTCCCTACATTTTATGCAGAAGAGACAAGATTCTTTGTTTAAATCACTTTTTTTGTATTAACATTTACATAACAATTTATATTTTTCAAAGTAAATTCATGTAGTTATTTTCTTTAACTTTTATTCTTGTGGGTACATAGGTGTATATATGGGGTACATGAGATATTTTGATACAGGCACACAATGTGTGATAATCACATCAGGGTAAATGGGGCATCTATCACCTCAAGAATTTACCATTTATTTGAGTTACAAACATTCCAATTATACTTTTAATTATTTAAAAATGTACAGTAAATTATTGTTAACCATAGCCTATTGTCATATCAAATATTAGATCTTATTCATTCTATCTACTTGCATTTTTGTACTCATTAACCATCCCCACTTCCCTTCCCTCTCCCACCCTCCACTACCTTTCTTAGCCTCTGGTAATGATCATTCTACTCTCTATCTCCATGAGTTGAATCGTTTTAATTTTTAGCTCTCACAAATGAATGAGAACATGTGAAATTTGTCCTTCTATGCCCGCCTTATTTCACTTAACATACTGTCCAGTTCCATCCATGTTGTTGCAAATGACAGAATCTTGGCCGGGTGTGGTGGCTCATGCCTGTAATCCCAGCACTTTGGGAGGCCGAGGCGGGTGGATCACGAGGTCAGGAGATCGAGACCATCCTGGCTAACACGGTGAAACCCCGGCTCTACTAAAAATATAAAAAATTAGCCGGGCGTGGTGGCGGGCACCTGTAGTCCCAGCTGCTCGGGAGGCTGAGGCAGGAGAATGGCGTGAACCCGGGAGGCGGAGCTTGCAGTGAGCCGAGATTGCGCCACTGCACTCCAGCCTGGGTGACAGAACAAGACTCCATCTCAAAAAAAAAAAAAAAAAAAAAAAAATTGACAGAATCTTATTCTTTTTTAATGGCTAAATAGTATTCAGTTTTGTATATGTACCACTTTTTCTTTATCCATTCATTTAATGATGGACACTTAGGTTGCTTCCAAATCTTGGTTATTGTGAATAGTGTTGCAGTAAACATGGGAGTGCAGATATCTCACTGATATACCAATTTTATTTCGAGTATGTACTAAGCAATGGGATCACATGGTAGTTCTAGTTTTAGTTCTTTGAGGAAGCTTCATAGTGGCTATAGTAGTTTGCATTCCCACCAACAGTATATGAGGATTCCCTTTTTTCCACTTTTTTGTCAGCTTTCATTATAGCCTGGCATTTGGATAAAAGCCATTTTAACTGGAGTGAGATGATATCTTACTGTAGTTTTGATTTGCATTTATCTGATCAACGATGTGGGGACACCTTTTCATATGCCTGTTTGCCCTTTGTATGTTTTCTTTTGAGAAATGTTTATTTGGGTCTTTTGCCTATTTAAAATTGGATTTAGATTTTTTTACTGTTGAATTTGAGCTGTCTATATATTGTGATTATTAATCCCTTATCTGATATAGTTTACAAATATTTACCCCTATTTTTAGTTGTCTCTTCACTTTGTTTCCTTTGCTCTGCAGAAGCTTTTTAACTTGATGTGATCCCATTTGTCCATTCTTGCTTTGGTTGCCTGTGCCCTTAGGGTATTAATCAAGAAATTTTTGCCCAGAACAATATCCTGGATTGTTTCCCCAATTTTTTTCTTTCAGCAATCTTATAGTTTGAGGTGTCCAATTTAAGTGTCCAATCCATTTAAGTGTCCAGTCCATTTTGGGTAGATTTTTGCATATGATGAGAGATTACAGTCTACTTTCATTCTTCTGCATATGGATATCCAGTTTTTCCAGTACAATTTATTGAAGATACTGCCTTTCCCTGATGTATGTTCTTGGCATCTTTGAAAAATGAGTTCACTGAAGATATATGGATTTATCTCTGCGTTCTTTCTTCTGTTCTATTGGTCTATGTGTTTGGTTTTTATTGCCAGTACTATGTTGTTTTGGTTACTATAGATAGCTCTAGTATAATTTAAAGTCAGGTAATGCGATTCTTTCAGTTTTGAAATCTCAGAATGGCTTTGGCTACTCTGGGTCTTTTGTGGTTCCACTTAGATTTTAGGATTATTTTTTCTATTTCAGCACAGAATGTCATTTGGTACCTTGATTGAAATTGCATTGAATCTACAGATTGCTTTGGGTAGTATGAACATTTTAAAAAATATTGTTTCTTGCAATCCCTGAACGTGGAATATTGTTCCTTTCTTGTGTCCTTTTCAATTTCTTGTATCAGTGTTTCATCATTTTCACTGTAGAAATCTTTCACTTTTTAGGTTAGGTTTATGCCTACATATCTTATTTTACTTGTAGCTGTTATAAATGGGATTATTTTCTTAATATCTTTTTCAGATTGTTCACCATTGGCATATAGAAATAATATTACCAATTTTTTTATGTTGTATGTTGATTTATGTATCCTGCAACTTTACTGAATTTATCAATTCTAATAGTTTTTTGGTGGAGTCATTACATTTTCCAAATATAAGATACTATCTCCAAACAAGGATAATTTACTTCTTCCTTTCCAGTTTGGATGCCCTTTATTTCTTTCTCTTGTCTGATTGCTCTAGCTAGGACTTCTAGTACTATGTTGAATAACAGTGGTGAAAGTAGGTATCCTTGTCTTGCTCTAGATTTTAGAGGAAAGACTTGCAGTTTTTCCCCAGTCAGTATGATACTAGATGTGGGTCTATTGTTTATGGCTTTTATTGTGCTGAGGTATGTTCCTCTTACCTTCAGTTTTTTGAGGGTTTTTATTTTGAAGGAAAGTTGAATTTTATCAAATGCTTTTTCAGCATCAGTTGAAATGATCATATGTTTTTTTCTTCATTCTATTGATATAATGTGTCACATTGATTTTTTTTTTTTTTTTTTTGCATAGGTTTGACCATCCTTGTATCCAAAGGATAAATCCCACTTGGTCATGATGAATGAACTTTTAAAAGTGTTGTTGAATTCAATTTGCTCGTATTTTGAAAAATTTTGCAACAATGTTCATTAGGGAAGCTGGCCTGTAGTTTTCTTTTTTTTGAAGTATTTTTTTTCTTTTTTTGGCTTTTGCATTAGGGTAAAAATGATCTTGTAGAATAAGTTTGGGAGTGTTCCCTCCTCCTCTATTGTATGGAATAGTTTGAGTAGGAATGGGTATTAGTTCTTTAAATGTTTGATAAAATCCAGCAGTGAAGCCATTAGGTTTTAGCCTTTTCTTTGCTGGGAGACTATTAAAGTTTAGATCTTATTACTTGTTACTAGACTATTCAGGTTTTGAATTTCTTCATGGCTCATCTTTTTATGTTGTATGTATCTAGGAATTTATACATTTCTTCTAGGTTTTCTAATTTATTGACATTTACTTGTTCATTTTTATGATCCTCTAAATTTTCTGCACCTGTCTTTCTTTCTCCACTTTCCCTTAAGGCCAGTAACTCTTAGATTTGCCCTTTTGAGGCTATTTTATAGATCTCGTAGGTGTGCCTCATTTTTTAAAATTCTTTTTTGTCTCTTCTAACTGTATTTTCAAATAGTCTGTCTTCAAGCTCACTAATTCTTCTGCTTGATCAATTCTGCTTTTGAGACTGATGCATTCTTCAATATGTCAACTGAATTTTTCAGCTCCAGAATTTCTGCTTGATTAAAAAATTTCAATCTGTTAAATTTATCTGATAAGATTTAGAATTCTTTCACTGTTATTTTGAATTCCTTTGAGTTCCCTTAATATAGCTATTTTGAATTCTCAGTCTGAAAGGTCACATATCTGTGTCACTCCAGGATTGGTCCTTGGTGTCTTATTTAGCTCATTTGGTAAGGTCACATTTTCCTGGATGGTCCATGATGCTTATGGATGTGCATCATTTATCTGGGCACTGAAGAGTCAGTTGTTTGTTGTAGTCTTCACAGCCTGGGCTTGTTTGTACCCATCCTTCTTGGGAAGCCTTTCTAAGTATTTAAAGGGAATTGAATATTTTGATCTAACTCTTTGGTCACTGCAGCTGTATCTGCATTAAGAGGCACCCTGAGCCCAGTAATGCTGTGACTCTTACAGACTTAGGGGGTACCAACTTTGTGTTCTTGGGTAAGATCTAGGAGAATTCCCTGGATTACCAGGCAGGGACTTGTGTTCTCTTCTCTTACTTTCCTCCAAACAACACATTCCCTCTCTCTGTGCTGAGCTGCCTTGTGCTGGGCAAATGGTGACACAAGCACCCTTGTGGCCACCACCACTGGGACTGTGCTGAGTCGGTCCCAAAGCCAGCACAGCACTGGGTTTTGCCCAAGGCCTGTGGTGACCACTGCCTGACTACTGCCAATGTTCATCCAAGGCCCAAGACTCTTTAGTTAGCAGATAGTGAATCCAGCCAGGCTTATGTCCTTCCATTCAGGGTGATGAGCTTCCTCTACCCCAACTCAAGGCAGGTCTAGAAATACCATCTCAGAGCCAGGGCCTGGAGTTGGGAACCTGAGGACTCTACTTGGTTCTCTATTCTACTGTGGCTGAGCTGGCACCCGTGAGCCTCTTTCCCATTCTTCCCTCTCCTTTCCTTACACATAAGAATTCTCTCCCTCTGGCCCCTACTTCCTCAGGCCCATGGCAGGCACTGCTTGACTACCACCAATGTTCATTCAAGCCCCAAGGGCTCTTTAGTCAGCTTGTGATGAATGCTACTAATGGTACTGGGTTTCTCCCTCCAGGGTAGATCCACAGATGCCACACAGAAGCCAAGGCCTAGAATTGGGGACCCCAGGAACCTGCTTGGTGTTCTACTTCACTGTAGCCATTCTGGTAGCCAAGCTGCAGGACAATGTTCGCTTTACTTCATCCTCTCCTTTCCTAAAGCAGAAGGAGTGTCTCACCACAGCTGGGAATGTGCTGGGTCACACCTGAAGCCAGCACAGCTAGCCCTAGTTCTCACCCAAAGCCCATTGAGTACTGCCCATATACCACTGATGTTTATTCAAGGCCCAAGGGCTCTTTGGACAGCAAGTGATGAATCCTGCCAGGACTGGTTTCTTCCCTTCAAGGTAGCAGGTTCCATTCTGGCCCGGAAGGTGCCTAGATAAGTCTTTTGGGAGCTAGGTCCTGAAATAGAGCACCCTTCCTGGCACCCTATTCTACTGTGGCTGGACTGGTAGCCAATTTGCAAGACAAAGTCCTCTTTATCCTCTCTCTCTTCTCCTCAAGCGTAAGGGAAGTGTCTCTCCATGAGCTGTGAGCTGCACTGCCTTGGGTTGGCAGAGGAGTGATGCAAGCACTCCCTTGGCCACTTGGCGGCTAATACCTCACTAGGTCATGTGCATCCGAAGTTCACTGGCTCCAAGCCCAGCACAGCAGCAGGACTTGCCCAGGAATTGTAGTCCTTGTGGCCTAGACCAACTTTCAAGTTTATTGAGGTCCCCAGAGCACGTTATCCTGTGGTGGTGAGCCTTGTCAGAACTCAGGCTCTGATGGCTGGGATGGGCAATTGCTTTCTGGCTAGGGCTGGTTTAAGTGCTCCCTCCATGGGTACACTTAAAGTAGAAGTAGAATTGGTGGGGAAAACCCACTGGGCAAGTTCAGTTTTCCAACTGGCCTGTGTTGCTTTCTGCTGTGACAAGGCAGCACTGAGTTCTGAAGAAAAGTCCCTTAATAGCTGTGCTCTGCCTCCCAGAAGCATACAGATTTTCTCTCCATGCCACATAGCTGCTTTTGGAATGGGGCAGAAGGTGTATCAGCAGTTCAAGGCTGTCTTTCCTACCTTCTTTAGGGCTTCTTTCCTTGATATGATGTTAAAACCAGATACTGTGATCTCTCACCTATTTTTGGTTGTTGTGTGGATAAGTTGTTCAATTTGGTGTTTCTGCAGGGGGAGCATTTGCTGGAGGGTTTTGTTTGGCCATCTTACTCTGCCTCCCCCATGTCAATTCTTTTCTTTCGTCAGAATTGCTTGTATTTTTCTTTCCCAAGTCTCACAAAGTTTGTGACTTTGTCAAGGCAATTGTATTTTAGCCTTTGGGACTGAGGTTCGTTGCTGCATACTCACTTATATTGCTGCCTGCTCTCATTTCTTAAGTCAACTCTATTGCAATCTGTGGCTACTGATTACTAGAACTGAGAAATTACAAAGTCAACTTTTTAGTGGTTGGTGGATGTTGTTATAGCCTCATTTGTTCATTTGCTCACTCATTCAACAAACTTTAATACAATTAAGCTTAATTCTAAAACCTAATTCATTGCCTATGATTCTGTATTAGTCTGTTCAAGTTACTATAAAAGATTACCTGAGGCTGGGTAACTTAAGAGACTTAATTGGCTCACAGTTCCGCAGGCTGTGCAGGAAGTATGGTACCAGTATCTGCCCCTACTGAAGTTGCAGAGAGCTTACAATCATGGCAGGAGGTGAAAGGTGAGCAGGCATATCACATGGCAAAAATGGGAGGAAGAGAGAGAAGAGAGGTGCCACACACCTTTAAACAACCAGATCTCGTGTGAACTCATCACCAAGGGAATGGCACTAAGCCATTCATGAGGGATCTGCCCCCATGATCCAAACACCTCCTACCAGTCCCATCTCCAACACTGAGGATTACATTTCAACATGAGAGTTTGGAGGGGACAAATATCCAAATTATATTATTGATACTGTGGTATTATCTAACTCTGCTTCTACTTTACACTAACCCTTTCCTTTCATCTCATATCTTTGTTCCAATTATCTTTTCACAGGTAGTTATGAAGTCAGTTCATAAACACCCACATTATAACTAGTGATTCATGCAAACAGTTGATGTTCTTGGCCTTGCCTAGCTTTACTTAGCTCTGAGGCTTACAACCTCTATCACATCTCTTATGGAAGCCATTGTGGATTTTGGGGAACAGATACATTCAGAGTAGAAGGGAAAATGCCACAGAAAGCAGAAGTAGAGTGTGTGTGGCGGGGAACCCACTGGGCAAGTTGTTTTCTAAAGGCCAACTGCTTCCCTCCCTCTTCAAAGCCATTATCATCCCTTACTCAATTTCATGATGTAGCCTCTTATCCATTTGCCTTTTCTTCCTCTCCAGGCCAGTTTATATTGAACAACTGCGGAATTCTTGTACCTTATACTGTATTTATTACTTGGATCTTTAAGAGTCTAATAAAAAAATTGGTTATAACCCAAACTGAAAATGCTAGACACTGTTTACAGTTGAACTCTTGGTACTGGGACTACTGTTGCTGACTATGGATTATTCTCATGTCTCGGTTCTAATTTCTCCCACGTGCATGGATGTGGTTTCTCTGTGCAGTTTGTGCCATGCATATGCAATGGCACCAGCGTTAAAGAGGAGCCATTGACATCTTAGCCATTGTTGATTTAAAAAAGTGACACTTTCCTAGCAGATGTTCTAACAAAACTATTTTACTATAACTTTCTATAGAGGGATATATGTCTTGAGTAAGGAGCTCATAGGGGCAAGTGGTGATGACCTTGAGTATTGCATTTTGAGGATGTGGGTAATAGCTGGTAAAAACATATCCACGTTTATAATAACCAGATTAAAAATCCCTAGAGATCTATATACAATTGATATTATCAGCACAACTCAATTTATGACTTTGATCTCACTGTATTAATTCTAACACTACTTAATATTTTTACAAAAGAAGAGTATTAATTTTAAATACACATACTCAAAACACATATACATCAGATCTCAATTATACCAGGAAGATGCACACTCAATGGAAGCTTTAACCTAAGCAACACTTCTTCCCTGTGGTGGTTCTATAGCATTTGTCACCACAGATGCTATAAAATGGTTGCTCTATAGCATTTATTCACCACAGGAAAGGGTGAATAAACTTGGAATAAGAAATTTCCAAAATCTTGTTATTGGGCAACAACCCCACGAATGGGGTTCTTATTTTTCTTAAAGCAGACCCTCTTTGAGTTCTTCCTTCTGGAGATAGCTCGGGAAGTACAGACTGACTTATTCATGTACACTCTGTTGGTAACCACATGCCTAGCAATCTGTCTCCTCTCCATCACTATTGGCTGAAAAATTTTAGAGATAACCTCTTCTGTTTACTGTTAGTTCCATTTTGAAAAATTGAGGGGGTAGTTTTATACTTCTTGCTCGTGAATAGGGAAAAGAGTAAAATTGATGAAATAAAACCTGAAATGCAAAACCATTATTTAAAATAAAATCAATTTTTAATAACCCGTTAATCCATCACCGTTGGTGTTGTACTCAATGGTTTTAGAATGCACTGAACAAATGTATGAACACAGTTGAAAGAAAAGACAAACCATCTATTTGGGTTATGCTAAAGAAATCATCTTCGAGTTAGCATAGGGTTAAGATTAGTTTGACAGTCCTAACAGTTTACATTTCTAATTGATTCAAAATACAAATTTGCAATTTACCTCTTATTCATTCCTTCTTATAGCCTGAATTTTCCACTCAGAAATTCAAATGTAAAGTAGTGTATTGTTTCTCCCAACTCTGATTTTTTTTTTTTTCCATGGTAATTCCTCTATGCTTCAAAGAGCTAGCTCCCAACTGACCTTTTAGGATCAGTGTGCCCTTGTAAAGTGGGATCTATCTGTGTGGCTAATTTCCCCTGCCATCTTGCAAAATCCAAGATTTATTTTGAGACAGAGTCTCGCTGTGTCGCCCAGGCTGGAGTGCAGTGGCGCGATCTCTGCTCACTGCAACTTCTGCCTTCTGGGCTCAAGCGATTCTCCTGCCTCAGCCTCCTGAGTAGCTGGGACTAAGGCACATGCGACCTTGCCCAGATAAATTTTTGTATTTTATTTTTTAGCAGAGACAGGGTTTCACTGTGTTAGCCAGGATGGTCTCGATCTCCTGACCTCATGATCCACCTGCCTCAGCCTCCCAAAGTGCTGGGATTACAGGTGTGGGCCACCGTGCCTGGCCATTTTATATTTAAAATCTCTGTAAGTCCTTATGGCACCTAGCCTAGTGACTTACACATAACATTCATATATGTATCAAATTACATTGAAACTCCTTTCTTCCTCAGAATGTGAAAAGTCATTAAGTGTGGCAGTGATTTATTTTTTTGTCCTTGTAGAAAAGTGACTTATTGAGTTAAAAGTTCTAATTCATTGTCTTTTTAGTCATATTCCCGTTTTTTCCCTCTTAAGTATTTATTTATAGGTACTGAGTTATCTTTATATTTTTCATCATGCATCTTCCTTTTCTATATGAATACATATATATTACTATCTATTCCAGAATTTCTATTTACAAGTTTTCACCTTTTGAAACTAATGTTAATATTGGAACTAGTCAGTCACTGATAATCCCATTTTCAGAATATCCCCTGCCCAGGGGAAGCCTATGGGGCCGGTGACAGTTCCCTACAGCGATTTCACTTTCTTGGATTCCCTGGGTGTAATACAGATTGACGTAGATGACATGGGGTGACTTAGGAAAAGTTGCCAAAGGTGAATAAAGTTATTCCTTTTTTTTTTATTATTTATTTTTATTTTTTGAGACGAAGTCTCACTGTTGCCCAGGCTGGAGTACGGTGGCGCGATCTCGGCTCACTGCCACCTCTCACTCCCAGGTTCAAGCGATTCTCCTGCCTCAGCCTCCCGAGTATCTGGAATTAGATGTGCCTGCCACCACGCCCGGCTAATTTTTGTATTTTTAGTAGAGATGGGGTTACACCATGTTGGCCAGGCTGGTCTCAAAGTCCTGACATCAAGTGATCTGCCCATCTCTGCCTCCCAAAGTGCTGGCCAAATAAAGTTATTCTTATGTCTACTCTTAGGAAACAGTTTTATCACCTCTTATGCCTACTCTTAGAAAAAGGTTTTATCATCTTGTTTTTATTCCTCTGACCACTGTGAGGTTTAGTTTAAACATTTAGCTACGTTGCACTAAACTACCCAAATGTGAGGTTTCTCAAATATCAAGTAGATAGCAGTTTTCAATACTTCCCAAGCTGTTTTCTGCTGCAGTGCCTCCTTCCCACCATTTTCCCTTGTGGCGAATTGCCACTATGGCCTTTGGTATAGTGCTTCTAGTTTTCGACACAGCTCCTTACTCAGTAGGATCACCTTTAGAGCAGTTTTTTTTTTTTTTTTACATGATTTTCCTCTTCCTTCTCCCCTCTATGCTTTCCCAAATGTATGAATGTAATGATTTGAAGACACACCTGCCCACTCCTTCCTGATGACTTTAGACCTTTGAGGAAATGTGTTTTATCTTTTTCCATTGAAAATTTAATATGACTGTGTGTGGTGGGCAGTAGCTAGAGACCAAAAAAAGGTTTATAGATAAACGACCAGAAGAGGAAAAGATTACACATGGAGGAAGTACATAGACAGAACTAACAGAATTGTTAATTCTCATCCTTATATATGTGTAATTTATACACAATTTCCTTTGAACTTTTTGCCTCTGATGCGTGTATAGCAAATACCTAATTTTCCTTGGAGAGTCAATCTGTAAAGTTTGCAGCTAGTGTTTCAGCAGGTCTTAAAATGTGGGTCTAGTCAATTTAACTTCTTGAATTGTACATTTAAGTGTACACTTAAAACATTTTGTTGGCTCATTAGGTGAGGTTAAAGGCAACTCCCCAAAGCTATTGCCATAGAGACTGTTTTCTGTTTTTATTCTAGAAGGATTTGCTGCATTCAGAATTTGCTACCTGAGCTTCTCATCCAATTTAAAGGTATGCATTGTGAATAGTTTTATTGCTGTGCCTGAAATTATAAATTAATGTCAGCTAATAGACTCTGTGATTTATTGGACATAGCTCAGCAACATCACTCCTTTTATTTTATTGAAGTCAATTTCGTTAAGCTCTACTAAGGCTCTTGGCATCACTCTGGGGGGTAGCATTAATCAAATCGTAAATTCAGAGTAAATCCATTGAGTCACAGTGTATTGGCTTATTATTGAGGTGTAGGAACAATGGTGAAAATGAGTATTTTGTCAACTTCTGACATCTAACAGGTTTTTACTGAGCTGAGTAGCAAAATACCATGTCTAAATCTTGGATAAGCCCTGTCTCCCCCATGAGGCTTTTATATATTCCTGCTCTGTTGGTTTCTCACATCAAGTTAAGTTAATGGGTATTTATTCATCACCCTCTTACATGTACAGCAGAGTTACACTAGGGATAGGTCCAAAGAACAGAGATGTTCTTGTCCTAATCCACTTGATGTCAACCAAGAATGTAAGCTCCACCAAATGGGGACTGTTGTCTTTTTTTGCTTATATTTCCAGTGTTCAGAGCATGCTAGATATTTAGTAACCCTCATTAATAGATAAGATTAAATAACTTAATCTTTGGTGAACCAAAATATTCTTTATTAAGAAGTGCTCCAAACATGAAAGTGTATTTTTTTTTTAACCACTGTTTTTTAGAATCTGACATTGGAGCATGTGGTAGGGTTGGAGTAGAAGTTGGGTAGAGGCTGCTTCTGCTAATCACTGGCACATGGGTTTGTGGACCCCAAGGGTTGTGAGTAGATTGAGAGTGGGGTTGAGAGTTTGGATGCCATTTAGTATGTGAGCTTCATCCATGGAGGCTCAAGGTGTGTTTCAGGACATAGCTGCATAGTGTCAGCACTGGCGAGAACTGCTTTAGGTTCCAAGTATCCTCTGTGAACATTATGATAGGAGGCTGTCTGGCTCTGCCTGGCACTTGGAACAGTGGGGAATTTACAACTTCATACAATTTCATGTTTGAACTGCTTTGACTATAGACAATTTTTAGACTGAGGTAAAATGTCTGCTTATTCATCCTAATTACACTCCCTAAAAAGTACTTATGACTATTCTTTTTCTCTTAGGGTATAATTTTAAACATCAATATTATACCTCATTCTATCTCCCCTTTCCTGGACTTCTTGCTAATAAAGTAAATGTTTGCAAATAGTATTTCTTAGATTGCATGTTTCACCTAGGTCATGATTTCTTGATACTTCACTGTCATAGTACCATAGTCTCTAGTTTCTGTACATTACTTTTTCTTTGACTTGAGGTATATCTTCCATATAATAGAATGCACAAATCTTAAGTGTATAGTTTGGTACATTTGACAATAGTATATACTTCTGTAACTACCATCTCAATCAAAATATAAAACATTTCATCATTCCAGAAAATTCCCTATGCTCCTTTCCAGGCAACCTTCCCAGAGGGAGCTACTGTTCTATCAGCATAGACGAGTTAGGCCTTTTCATGGACTTCATACTAGTGGAATTAAACAGCGCACACTCTTTTGCTCAACTTTTTTTTTTTTTTTAGATCACCTATGTTGTTTTATCAGTAGTTTGTTCCTTATTAGTGATGAGTAGTATTTCATTGTATAAATACCCTCGTATTTGTTTTTCTCTTTTCATCTTGATGAATGTGTATATGTGTTAATCTTTACATTAGATTTCCATAAACATCTGACTTAATGTAAACTAGAGAAAGACTACTATTTCTTTTTTTTGCCTTCTACTTCTGCTAATGTAACTGATAAGGTTTTGACTGTGTTCCCACCCAAATCTCAACTTGAATTGTATCTCCCAGAATTCCCACACGTTGTGGGAGAGACCCTGGGGGGATAATTGAATGGGGACATGTCTTTCCTGTGCTATTCTTGTGATAGTGAATAAGTCTCACAAGATCTCATGGGTTCAACAGGGGTTCCCGCTTTTGCTTCTTCCTCATTTTTCTCTTGATGCCGCCATGTAGGAAGTGCCTTTTGCCTCCTGCCATGATTCTGAGGCCTCCCCAGCCATGTGAAACTAAGTCCAATTAAGCCTCTTTTTGTTCCCAGTTTCGGGTGTGTCTTTATCAGCAGTGTGGAAATGAACTAATATAGTAACCCAGGATTACATTAGTTATTACAGTATCTTTATTACACTGTTTACATGATAATGGCTTGATAAAAGCAGGGCTTTACAGAAAGATTGCTCTAGGTTCAAATTCCAGATTCATCTTTTATAGTCTGTAGGACATAGGGGAAATTATTTTATGTCTGTTTCTCTATAAAATGGGAATAATATCAATGCTTGGATCTCTGATGCCTGTGGTTAGGAGCTTAAGTCATTCAGTAAATATTAGTTCCTACCGACACCTCACCTGCTTTTGTATTGGAATTGCAATCTATGAGGGTGTACTACAGTTGCTGTACCATTGCTCTTCTATACTGATACATTTTTATAAACTCATGTGCCAGATTTATACATTTATCCTATTCATTTTCATGTAATCCAATACATCATTCTATCCTATTGAGACCAACTGAATCTACTTGATCAACCTGCAGAGTTGCTGTCTGCATCACCTTTGTCATCTATGGGTTTGGTAAACAGATTATCCATGTCCTCATCCAAGTCACTCTTAATATTTGAACAGAACCAAGGGAAGATTTCTTTAGCATAAAATTAACAAACACCCATTAGTTTGAAATTGATCTAGTAATCAATACTGTTTGGGAACTGTTGTGCAGGCAGTTTCAAATCCGCTGAACCATATTATTTTTCAGTTATCTTTTTTCAAGATGTCAAAAGATACAATTCTACAAACCTACAGGATTCAAAGGCTTTGGAAATTCTACAAACATAGAAAGTAACTTATAACCACCTTATTTGAATATGTCTTTAGTTCATCTATTAAAATACTCTGAAATAATATTTTAATAATTGACTTCATAGTTTCAAATTTTTACAAGGTAATCCTTAATTTACTGTACAAAGATGTTATACAACTTGTCAAAAAATATTTCAGAAAAAACCCATGACAGAAATTTAATGATGTTTAATATTCTATAATTTAACCATATTTTTCACCTGTACTTTTTTTTTGACTTATGTGCAAAATCAGTAGCTTTCTTGATTTTTATGAATAAAATTACACTAGATTCTTTCCTTGCATTATTTCTAGAATAATTTCAAAATACTGTTCAGATCCAACCAAAATAAAGATTAAATCATAATCTAAATATGATATACTTTCTAAATATGCTATCCTATCTTGATTTTCAAAAGCATTATTTTGGTTGATCTGGACAACCCCCACAACTGGTGTGTATTTATCTAAAAAATATGTGGTTTGTTTTCAGTGGCTTTTCTCATTCTTGAGCATGAGAACAACACATGTGATTTATAAGGACCCTTGATATAGAAACTATTGTTCAAGATTTCTTTCTACTTTGGAAACTAAAGACCGTTTAGTTCACGTAACAGAAAAAGGTGGCTGGGTATGGTGGCTCACGCCTGTAATCCCAGCACTTAGGGAGGCCAAGGTGGGTGGAGCACCTGAGGTCAGGAGTCGAGACCAGCCTGGCCAACATGGTGAAACCTTGTCTCTACTAAAAATACAAAAAATTAGCCAGTCATGGTGGTGGGCACTTGTAATCCCAGCTACTTGGGAGGGTGAGGCAGGAGAATTGCTTGAACCTGAGAGGCAGAGGCTGCAGTGAGTTGTGAGTTGAGATTGCACCACTGCACTCCAGCCTGGGTGATAGAGTGAGACTCCGTCTCAAATTTAAAAAAAAAAAAAGAGAAAAAGGTAAGTTGACTTGGAAGTTCCTTGAGGGCAGGGGCCATCCCATATCTTTTACTCTCTTCCTTATTAGCATTATGCTTTGCACATCATTGGAACACAATAACATTTTACTAACTTGAATCAGAATTAAGTTCTGATTGGCTTTTCATACATATAATGCGCATTTCACATTAGAAATATATTCAGTAGTACATAGTCATACTTATTAAACATTTGCTTAAATATTTCAGTATTTTGAAAATGTCAAAGGAGAAAAGGGTTTCTTCTGTAATTTTCTAGTTGGCAATGCTATGCTATTTACGATCACTAAAAGGAACAACCAGGAGGATGACATCTGCAAAAAACTTCACATATAATTAGATTCTCTTAAAAGATACTCAAATGATTAAATTTTCTATATAAGTTCCCATCAGAACAATCTTATGTGGCAATTAGAAAGCAAATCGCAACATAAACTTATATGAAGATTTTTTAATATTTGCATTCCTTGGAAAGGTGATAACTTATAAGGAGGAATGTCCTTGGGCTGAGTCTTTAATCTGCATTAATTAGATGATCATTATTTATTGCCCTGTTTATTGGACTTCACCGTCACCTCGTGGTGACTGATTCATTCCTTCATTTAAAGAAGATTACTGTATTCACTTAGAAAGCCTACCAATACTTGTCTTTAAAAGGCCTTCAAAATTACACTTTTCTGGTCCCTTGTCTGTGTATGGGGGTGTGTGTGTGTAAGGAAAAGTGAACATAATGAGGAAAGAACTAAGTACAATTTGTTTATCATTATCCTTACACATTGACAATGTAACTGCAGTGAACTTCAAGGCTAGAGCTTTAGCATGAACTATTTTTGGTGGGGGGTTATTGAATTTGAAGAAGCTTTGAGAGAGATGTCTGTTTACATGTGAGTTAGGCTGGCAGATAAATCAGATTCTAACACCAAATTTAATACCAAGAAGTATAATAAGGATTTGTGATGTTTCCTCGAGGACCCAAGGTCTATAAACCAATGAATGCTTTACAATGAGACATAAATATAGCATATAAAACATGCAGTGATTTCCCAGAGGAAAATCTTGGTGTGTTTGAGGTTTGATGGTGGTAAAAGAAAAATACTTGTTCTTACCAAGTTTAGGTGAAGATGGCTTTATTTTTAAAATGTTAATAAGGGCCACCTTTACAGCCTTAATTGGGCTGCAGCTATTACTGGCCTAGAAAGCGGGTAGCAATTGAGGGCAGCAACTGAGGGCTAGAGTGACTTCTCTTAAGGGAGGGGAAGTCCTGTGGCTCCTTTCTTAAGATCTGGCTCCTTTACTGAGAATTGTCTGCATTTGTAAATGATGGGACCAGGGAGAAATTCACTTAAGACATGACCAGGAGAATGTTCTGAAATAAAATGAAAAAAAAAAAAAAAAAACCCCAAATGAATAATTTATGATTGAGTCTCCTCCTAAATTCTCATTTTTTAAAGGAACACATGAGTGATCTGTCAGGGATGAGCCACTCTTCTTGAGGTGCCAATCTCAGTTGTGTTGACATGACAAAAGCGTTTGCAAGCCCAGTGCATTTTTCAAGCTCAACATTATTCATTCATTTTCCTGCAGATCTGCATAGTAAGTCATGGCCAATTTGCTCAGCAATAGAAATGCTCTATGCATGTCCCTTTCTCCCAAGAGCCCTGACTTCAGCAAAGTTGCCTCAATAATGGCTTTGGAATCATAGTACGTGCCCAAAATCTCCACAGGCTGTGTTCTACTTCCTGCCAGCTCTCCCCTGAAATCACCAGTAGAGTCCATTGTAGGTGAAATGTCTGGGCATTCCCACTTCCTCACAAGGTTCTAAAGCTTCATCTGTTAATTGAGAGTGGATTGAGGGGAACAGAGTTCTTGCCATGCTTTTTGCTAGAACCAGGAAATTACTCTGTAGTTGAAAGAATAACTGGCTAGCATCTGTCAGCTTCAGTTTGGGCTTTGGCACTGGCATTTCTAGGTTGCCTTAAATGAATAAAGAAGTAATAAAAATGGACATTCATGGAAACCAATGGTTTGTATGGGACACATTCCATTAAAAACAGGAAAAAGGGGTGGGGCACGGTGGCTCACGCCTGTAATCCCAGCATTTTGGGAGGCTGAGGCGGGTGAATCCAGAGGTCAGGAGTTTGAGTCCAGCCTGGCCAACATGGTGAAACCCCGTCTCTACTAAAAATACAAAAAATTAGCTGGGTGTGGTGGCGTGCACCTGTAATCCCAGCTATTCAGGAGGCTGAGGCAGGAGAATCACTTGAATCCGGGAGGCAGGGGTTGCAGTGAGCCGAGATGGCGCCACAGCACTCCAGCCCAGGAAACAGTGCAAGACTCCATCTCAAGAAACAAAAACAAAATCCAGGAAAAAGGGATTTGTGAAGGGACTCTATTTCTGCGTGGATGAAAATAGTGTTCATGACTTATATTTTTCCTCATCTACCAGAATGCAACAAAGACCTCCATCTAAGGGTCTAATCAGATTCTTTGTGATTATCATTCTCTTTAAACAGGCTTTTGAAACATAATCAAATAGGTTTATGAAATTTATGTGCACTGTTAGCTGAGAAATATTTTGATACATTGGTGGGGGTGGGCATTGAAGAATAGGAAATACACATAATTCTTGAATGAGAAATTCTAATTTAAGAAATCTATGCTTTAAAATTGAAAACATATGTCCAGGGATGTTTATCACAGCATTTTTTTTGTGATGCCATATAACCTGAAATAACCTGATTGTTAACCAGCAGAAGAGTGATACATAAGATTGAATATTACATAGCAATTAATGAGTGAGAGTTATAATAAGTCCATCTGGAAGATGGATAAAAAAGTACATTGCAAAGTGCTATCATAATTTAATTAAAAATGAACCAGTAAAAATCATGTGTATGGAAAAAGTGTGAATAGATATACTCCACAATGCTGATATCAGTTACCCAAAGGGCAGGAAATGGTCAAGGTGAGAGAGAGTGTTGACTTTTTCTATATAAACATCTGCATGGTTTGCAGGTGTATTAGTTTGTTGGGGTGGCCATAACAAAGTACTGCAAATTGGACGACTTAAAACAATAGAAATTTTTTCTCACAGATCTGAAGGCTAGAAGTCTGAAATCAAAGTGTTGGCAGGGTTAGTTCCTTCCGGGGCTATGAGGGAGGCATCTGTTCCAAGCCTCTCCCTTCATCCCCTATCTTGTAGATGACTGTCTCCTCCCTATACTGTGTCTCTTTACATCTTCCCTCTATGCATGTCTATATCTGTGTCCAAATTCCCATTTTTGTAAGGACACTAGTTGGGCTGTATTAAAGTCCCTCCTAATGATCTAGCTTTAACTTCATTACCTCAGTATAGGTCTGAGGTAAAGAAGTTAAAGCTGGATCATTAGGAGGGACTTTTGTACGATACTTTGAAGAAGTATCGTACCTCTAATGAGTCTGTGTCTCTATATAACCTGACCCATTTTTCTGGATCAAGGGAATCCTCTTCCACTGTTGCTGGCAAACTAAGTGGTTTCTAAGCCAATGTATCCTCTCCTCATCATTGTATCCTGGGATTCAGGCAGCTCAGATCTTAGATTTTTTTTCTTTTCTTAATTATTTTAGAATTGACAATTTTATGTTATATACAACATGTTTTGTAATATGTATACACTGGAATGGCTGAATTGAGCTAATTACATCGGTACTACTTTACATATTTCTTTTTTTGTGTGATAAGAAAACTTAGTTTATACTCAGTGATTTTCAAGAATGCATAGCTGTGGTCAGGGATGGTGACTCATGCCTGTAATCCCAGCACTTTGGGAGGCCAAGATGGGCGGATCACCTGAGGTCAGGAGTTCGAGACCAGTCTGGCCAACATGGAAAAACCTCGTCTCTACTAGAAATATAAAAATTAGCTGGGCATGGTGGCATGTGCTTGTAATTCCAGCTAATGGGGAGGCTGAGGCAGGAAAATTGCTGGAACCCGGGAGGTGGAGGCTGCAGTGAGCCAAGATCACAGCACTGCACTCCAGCCTGGGCGACAGAGCAAGTCTCTATCTCAAAAACAAACAAAAAAACACATAGTTATTAGTAGCCACCACATTGTACAGTACATCTCTTGAACAAATTTCTCCTCTCTAATTGAAGTTTTTGTACACTTTGACCAGCACCTCCCCAGCCCTACTGGTAACCATCATTTTACTCTCTGCTTTGAATTTGGCCTTTTAAGATTTGACATATGAGATCAGGTGGTATTTGTCTTTCTGTGCCTGACTTATCTCACTAAATGTGATGTCCTCTAGGTTCATCCAAGTTGTCACAAATAGATCTTGCATTTTTTCACGGTGAGTCAAAACCAGTGGCCTCTATCTAGTGAAATAGCCCTGATATTCCCTAGGTGGTTTCATTGCAACCAGTTTGCGCAAATACTTTGCCATGAGTCATTCCATGAATTTGTTAGCCCTGCAATTTCCCCTAACTCCGTATAGTACCCTGCTTTTCATGTTCTCAGATCTTGGGAATATCTAGTTAGCACTGGGATTCCCTACCAAAGGATTGTTTTATTCCCAGTCCAGAACATCCTGGGCTAAATTCTGCCATGTGATCTTCCTTTTATGTGTAAGTAGCCAATTTAATAACATAACTTTCCTAGAAATCTGTGGTTCCTATCCAAGTGACCTTGGAGGAGAGTGAGTACCTTTTCCACAGAATAACCGACGGACCAAATTTATCTGAGAAGAGGAACAAAACCCACCCTGGCCCTCCTTTCTTGTAAAATCCTACATGTTACATTTCACTGTACTCTCTTGGTTGCCATCAAATAACATAGCTCGAGGTCATTTAAACTGATGGGCCAAATTCTCCTTTTTAGGCTGCAAAAGTCCTTCCTGCTGATGCCTGGCAGTAGCAGTCTGAGAGAGGACAGAGATGTTTGCTTTACCCAACAACTCAAGCCCTTTCAGGTCTTGGGATGAAGGATGTAATTTCAAATAAGACAAAGGAGCAGAGTTTTCAGATGAAGCACAGGCTGCCTCTATGTGTTCATTCTAATGGTGCTGACCACAGCAGTTCTGGCATTAAGGTGATCCAAGATCTAATTTACTGCAGAGACAGAGAGTTACGAATAGTTTTAATGGACTGTTATCAAAGCAGTGCTAAATATGTTTGAGTGGCTTTACTTGATATACTATTCTTAAATCAGGGACACTGAGCTGGATGATGTAGTTTGAGAGATATGTTAAAATGCATGGATGAATGTTTTGTCAAAATGGGTATGACTATAATATATTTTGCACATGGATATTTTGCACATGGAATAGTATTATGTTTATGGTGTTTTTTTCCAGTACAACTTGTACTTGATTTCATTGTTTTTACTTCCAGGTATTCTTTCTTTTCTTTTTTTTTTTTTTTTGAGACGGAGTCTTGCTCTATAGTCCAGGCTGGAGTGCAGTGGCGCGATCTTGGTTCACTGTAAGCTGTGCCTCCCAGGTTCATGCCATTCTCCTGCCTCAGCCCTTGAGTAGCTGGGAGCATAGTCACCCGCCACCACTACCAGCTAGTTTTTTGTATTTTTTAGTACAGACGAGGTTTCACCATGTTAGCCAGGATGGTCTCGATCTCCTGACCTCATGACCTGCCCTCCTCAGTCTCCCAAAGTGCTAGGATTACAGGCGTGAGCCACTGTGCCCAGCCCAGGCATTTCTGAATTAACTGAATTGAGTGGGAATTCAAAATACCAAGTTAAATTTTCTCTTAATTCCTGGAGTTAGGGCGTTTATGAATTCCATTGATCTATCTGCAACTTTTGTTATGTGCATGATTAACTGTAAAGGGGGTAAAGTATTACTGCTAAAATGGACACCTGGGGTGGATCTGGATAACTGTTAAAGATCCTCACTGCAGGCCAGGCACGGTGGTTCATGCCTGTAATCCCAGCACTTTGGGAGGCCAAGGCGGGTGGATCACCTGAGGTCAGGAGTTTGAGACCAGCCTGGCCAACGTGGTGATACCTCATCTCTACTAAAAATATAAAAATTAGCTGGGTGTGGTGGCGTGCACCTGTAATCCCAGCTACTCCGGGAAGCTGAGACATGAGAAGAGAATCACTTGAACCCGGGAGGCAGTAGTTGCAGTGAGTTGAGATCACGCCAGCCTGGGTGACAAGAGCGAAACTTGGTCTTAAAAAGACAAAACAACAACAACAACAACAAAAACCTCACTGCAGGAGAGTCAAGATAAAGATTATGTACTTAGTTAGTATGATGGCTACTTTATCTAGTGGAAAAGCCAAACTGAGTTTAAGACCACTTGCTTCTTGGTTCATTACTGTATTTCTAGGAAGAGTTGGGCCCTGCCATTGAGTTTCGGTATTTGGTTATAGTGCTCTTGTGTCTCACATGAAAGAGTTCAGCTGGATAAACAATCTGTTTTTATGGCTGCAATGTGAAATAGAAAAGTTTAAGTATTTCTTCTGTTTATGCTGTCTGTATACAAAGTGGTAGAATCTGTGAAGCCTCCAGTTGGTACTTGAATGGTAATGAAGCATGCAATCATATTGTTCTTATCAAGGACATGCATAAAATGGCAAACCACATGTAAATACATGTCATAAAAAAGCTGCTGTTTTAGGGCTATTTGCAAAGCTCATTGTGCCTCCATATTTGTGTTTCTGACTTTCATATTTTTCGATCTTTATAGTCTCATGGGGTTTATGTCATGGATCATGGAACTATACTGGACACCACATATGGGAGGACAAGTCCATTTGGTTCCTTATGAACCATCTTTTCATGTTCTGTATCCATATATACCCTACTTCAGATTTGGCTAAGTTCTTTAAGACTAAGAGCTTATTGGTGTATCTATGATACAATATCTTTGCATTCTTCATAGTGCTTGTGGTAGGTGTTTGTGTATTTATGGAAAAAATGCAATCAAGTGTTTATTAAAAAAACTAATTACATTATTTTAGAAATTAAGTTTTTCCTCTGAAAGCCCTTTGTGTTTTAATGTAAACTTTATCCTTGTGACACTCAAAACGATGCCATAGATGGGTCACTGAAAAACCTGAAATCATCAATGCCAGTAAGAAGAGTCTCAGATTTACTTCTAGTTTCCCTCCATCACATTATATCCCATGTATAGATATAGATATTAACACACAGTGAGAACTGATCCTACTCGAAACATTTTCAGCTTAGAGAGCTTTTCCAGTAAAATCCTAAGTGACTCACATTCTTTCAGCTTCCTACCTTACTATATCTTCAGATATCCTTTTAGTTTCACTAAGGATTATTAATGCAAAGGAAGAAAGAAGTATTTCAACCTAACAAAGTAGTAGGTAGGAAACACAACCTTTCAGCGTGATTGGTTTATATCTTGGCAAAGGCCTGAGAGAAAGTTAATCTGATTACATAGTGAAAAAGAACTAGTTGACCAACATGAATGAAATACAGAGTACTTCTCTCATAAAGTAAGCACCAGAGAGCAAGTATTCAGTTTGTTTCATTCATTACTTTATTCCTATAACTTAGAGCAGGGTACATAGTTGGTTCTTAACAAATGTTTAATGATTGAATGAATACTAATGTGATAGAATTTTGGTATCTAGTCTATTAGATGAAGAAAAATTTTTTAGTCCAATCTCCAGAAAATGGAGATAACTACCTCTCCTATTTTGGTTTAGAAACAATAGTTTTATATTGAAATTGAATAATTTTATATTAAAATACAAAATAATAATGTTTAATCTGACAATTGGAAGATTCCTTAATGAATAATCTCATACCTGTTGATTAAATCCCTTTTAAGCTTTTAATTTTGAGATAACTGCAGATTCATGTAGAGTTGTAAGAAATAATACAGAGGTTCCATGTACCCTTTTCTCAAGTTTCCTCCAATGGTAACTTCTTCAAAAAACATAATACAGTATCACAGCCAAGATACTGACATTCATATAGGACATTTCCATCCTCACAAGGATCTCTCATTTGCTGTATAGCTTCTTCCTCCTTCCCCTTCCCTGCTTCCCAACCTCTGGGCCCTGGCTGATCTTTTCTACATTTCTGTAATATGTGTGTGTGTGTGTGTGTGTGTGTGTGTGTGTGTGTGTGTGTGTGTATGTATATATGTGTATATACATGTGTGTATATATGTGTGTGTGTGTGTACACACACAATTATATATATATAATTTATTCATTTGAGATGAAATCTTACTCTTGCCCAGGCTGGAGTGCAGTGGGGTGATCTCAGCTCACTACAGCCTCCACCTCCTGGGTTCAGGTGATTCTCCTGCCTCAGCCTCCTGAGTAGCTGGGATTACAGGCACCTGTCACCATGCCCGGCTAACTTTTTTGTATTTTTAGTAAAGATGGGGTTTCACCTCGTTGGCCAGGCTGGTCTCGAACTCCTGACCTCAAGTGATCTACAGATCACTTGGCCTCCCAAAGTGCAAGGATTATAGGCATGAACCACTGCGCCCAGCCTGCATTACTGTAATTTTGTCACTTTAAGACTATTGTATAAATGGAATCCCAGAGTTGCAACCTTTTAGGAGTGGCTTTTTTTTTTTTTTCCATTCCACATCAGTTCCTAAAGATTCATCACAGTTGTAGTAGCAGGTGGAGATGGAGGCTCAGCTTGCCGTTGGACTACATGGGCACTTCCTGGTGGGGAACTCAGGCCACCACCTATTTCTGCTGAACAGGGAAGGGTTATGGTCAGCTCCCTACTCAGCTCCATGGTCACAATGCTGGCAGGGGAATAAAAACACTACCTGCTTCCTGTTTGGGACATGCAAGATTAGCTCTCTGCCTGGCCATGTAGAGACCATCCAATGGGGGAATTTGATCACCCCTGTCTGTTTCTTCTGGGAGGAGGTGTGGGTGGGAAGGATGCATGCTAGATCCACTTCTGCTTGACCCTGCCACAACTGTAAGCTCCTATCTGGAACATACAGGAAGCAATACAGAAACCCAGAGAACTTGCTTCCATGAGTTCCACAACTCCTAAGGCTGTTAGATTGTCTGCCTCTGTTTTCACCTTTCAGAGTCTTCCTATGCTTGTGTTACGTCCAGGGTTTTTCAATTGCAAGAGGGAGGACCTGGGAGGAGTGGGCTACTCCATATTGGCAGAACCAGAATTCTCCGAATCTTCTTAAGAGAACTCTATACAATTTTTTTCAATACACCTTATGAAATGTTAACTTTGACACATTAGTTTTCGTACTGTCCTAGAGCGTATTATTTCTATTGCTATTCAGTGTATACTGTATCCAAGATAAGTATCTGCAAAAAATTCTTTAAAATAAGACTTTCATCAGGATTAGTATTTAAGGGTGAATTGATAGGTCATCTTATAGCAAAAAAAAGATAAGTATGTAGTTCTTTCTGAAATTATCTCATTATTTATACGTGTTACTTTATATATATACTTAAAGCATCACTCAGACAATTTGACTGATGGCAACTATATATCATCCTGGCATTCTGGAAGACTTGAAAGAGAATTACTTATGATCGTAGGGCAATTTTGTGATACTTCTAAGTGGGAGGGGTCAAGATATTTTATGATCTTCTGAAATATAATCCATCTAAAATGTTTTCAATATTCAGACTACATATTATTGATCATACGTTATTTTACTTGTTTTTAATATGTTCCTTTTAACTGACTTATTTCTTCTTGTAGCTTCTTTCTACTAAGGCACCATGACTCTCCTATTTCTTTGTGGATTTGGAGCAATTTTCTGTGTATTTTCCTGTTATTAACAGAGATTAGAGAAGGGCCAAAAATAATACTAAGGAAACTAATTAGCTCTAGCCATAAAACTTTTCAGCTGGAACTGTAGACCAACTGACCTCTCCCAAAACAAATCTTTCTAAAAATAACCTCTAAAAGGCCCAAATCCCTAGAGGCAACTAAACTGTGTGTCCTTCTTAATTCAAAACAGGAATTCTAAGTAAGCATCTCTCCAGGTAAAGGGACTGTAGAAATTAAATTGTCCAGTGGTTTTGATATAAGTCAATCTGATCCCAATTTACAGTTTTAGTCTGACATTCACAGGGCATCTGAGTAATTATTTGTACGTGTAAACATTCACATTTATTAGAAATATCAGAACCAGAAAGTTAAGGAATATATTCTAGACATTAAAAATAATGCCTTATTTACATTGTATATAGTAGTTGCTTGATAAATATTTGCTAGATGGAGCAGTGGTTTGGGCCATTCAACTTCCCTCTCATTAAAAACTTTTGGGCTGTTCGGCCACTGGTGCCTGAGTCATCTTCCTAAATACTTTTTTCATCACACTGCTCTGATCATATTCTCAGTCCAGGCATTAG
This sequence comes from Homo sapiens, assembly GCF_000001405.40. Classification (NCBI taxonomy): domain Eukaryota; kingdom Metazoa; phylum Chordata; class Mammalia; order Primates; family Hominidae; genus Homo; species Homo sapiens. The sequence goes on along the minus strand of NC_000018.10, from coordinate 53,985,441 downwards.
CAGCTCCCAAGGAACTGATCCCATCTTATCTATCCCATTTGCTTTTGCAATAGGAGTTTGCCCTCAAAATTCTCCCTTCAATTGTAGTTACGTTGGTTTCACCACGGTTTTACATCTTTGCTAATGGCATTCCTGTGTCTGTGTTTATGTGAGATCTTTGCTCTGCATAGCATCAGACCCCAGTGAGCAGTGGGGTATCCTGCTTTCTTTTGCTCTCTCATCCTCATCTGCAGCTAAAATTCCAGCTCATTTCTCACTCTTCCATAATGCCTTCTGTAAATTCTTTAATATATGCTGTTATATTCTTGCCATAATTGTTAACATATTGTTGTACCTCAAATTTACTTGATTGTATATGATCTCACTTTTTTCCCCTAATTTTATTTTTGCTTCCTTCCTACCAATGACTTTTGTTACACTGTCGTTTGCCCTGAAGGGGCCAAATCCTCCCATCATAGGCTCTCATGACACTGTAACTCCTTCCTAGCACTGGTCCGAGTTGTAATTGCTCAGAGCCTTGCAAGACAGTGCCTCCTGGTTCTGTAATTCTCATCACCTAACTCACTACTATTGATTATTTTCAGAATTTGGCTTAAAAGTCATTTCATTAGAGAAGACTATGCTAATCCACTGAATAGGTGAGGTCACCCTGCTAATACTGTGGAGTATTTCTCTTTCACAACACTTGTGAAATTTTATTTAATATGTATTAAATATATATATAAACTTACATATAATATATAATATATAGATATAGTCTCACTCTGCTCCCCAGGCTGGAATACAGTGGTAAGACCTTGGGTCACTGCAGCCTCAAACTCCTGAGCTTAAGCAATCTTCCCACCTCAGCCTCCCAAGTAGCTGGGATTATAGGCATGTACCACCATGCCTGGCTAATTTTTTAAAATTTTTTGTAGCACTGGGGTCTTACTATGTTGCCCATATTGGTCTCAAACTCTTGGCCTCAACTGACCCTCCTCCCTCAGCCTCCTAAACTGCTGGGATTTGAGCTGCAACACCTAGCCTGCTTTTTAAAATTATATATTACTTCATTCTGTTCATCTAATAAATATCTAAGATGTGCCAGGTAGTGTTTCAGGGGTTTAGAGAGAGACTAGTAACAAAAGAGATGCAACCCCTTGGCATTATGCCATGCATTCTTGTGGGATGAGAAGGACACTAAAGAAAAAATGAACAATAAAAATAAATACTATTAGATACACCCATCAACATAGGCTAAACTATGCTGCAGTATCAAGCAGCCCGTAATCTCACATAAAATTGATCACCCATGAAAAATGTGCTGTAGGTCCGGATGACTCTCCAGGGAAACTTTCATCTCTGTAGTGCTTTTACAATCTGGAATGCTTTAATCTTCAGCATCTCAATCTGCAAATGAAGTCGGCTTTGTGATTACTACAGTTGTGCAAGAAATCACTAGAAGGCCTTGTACTGACAGTTAAATATCTTGGTGTAGAAATGGCACATGTCAGTGCTGCTGATGACCCATTGGGCAGAACTAATCACATGTCTGCATTTCTATGGTGGTGGGTTCGGGGTGCAGGGAAGATTAATTCTTCTGTATGCTTGAAAGGAGAAGAGAATCAGATATGGGTGAGCATCCAAAGCCTTTACTACAAAAAGATAATGTTCTGGGGAAAAAATAGAGCAAGATAAGGGGAATTTGTTACGCATGGTGGGGAAGGGTATTACAATCTATGTTTCACATACAAGATGACATTTTAGCAAAGATTTGAAGGAAGTGGAGGAGTGAGCCATGTCAATATGTCAGAGAAGGGCACTCTGGAGAGTAACAGCCAGTGCAAAGGTCTTGAGGCTGAAGGATGAGTAATATGTCTGAGAAAGGGCAAAAAGACCTCTTTGGCTCCTGCTGAGTGACTGGGAAAGAGAATCTGGATATACTAGAGAACTACTGGGGGAGGCAGCGACCAGATGATGTAGGGCCTCAGAAGCTATTTTAAGGAATTTGTTCATCCAGGCACCCCCACACACAGACACACAACTCATTACTTTATTGAGGCATAGTTCACATGTTCATAAAATGAACACATTTTAGGTGTATATAATACAGTGGTTTTTAGTATATTCATAGTTGTGCAACCATTACCACAATCAATCTTGGGACATTGTCCTCATCCCAAAAAGAAACCTATATCCATTAGAAATCACTGCCCATCCCCCACCAGCCTTCCCAGCCCCAACTTTATAGATTTGTCTATTCTGGACATTTTCTATAAATGGTATAAATGGAATCATAGTATGTGGGCTTTTGTCATGGGCTTTTAAAACTTAGCATACAGTCTTTAAGGTTTGTTATAGTACATCATATCAGAACTTCATTTCTCTTCATGGTAGTCTTTGTATTTTGTATTCCATTTTATTTATCCATTTATCAGTTGATGTACCTTTGTGTTTGCACATTTTGACCATTATGAATAATTTTGCTATGAATATTCATGTGCAAGATTTTGTGTAGACATATATTTCCATTTCTTTTGAGTATATACCTAGGAGTAGAATTACTGGGTCATATTATGACTGTTTTTAACCTTTTGAGGAACTGATAGTTTTCCAAAGAAGCTTCACCATTTTTAGGCTACCACCAGCAGTGTACGAGTTCTCCAATTTTGCCACTTTTTATTTTTATTTATTTACTTATTTTTATTTTTTTGGAGACACAGTCTTGCTCTGTTGCCTAGGCTGCAGTACAATGGCACAATCTCGGCTCACTGCAACCTCCATCTCCCAGGTTCAAGTGATTCTCCTGCCTCAGCCTCCTGAGTAACTGGGATTACAGACATGCACCATCATGCCCAGCTAATTTTTGTATTTTTAGGGGCAGTGGGGTCTCACCGTGTTGGTCAGGCTGGTCTCAAACTCCTGACCTTGTGATCTGCCTGCCTCAGCCTCCCAAAGTGCTGGGATTACAGGCGTGAGCCGCCACGCCTGGCATTGCCACATTCTTGACAGTACTTTTTATTTGTCTTTTTTGATTCGAGCCATCCTAGTGTGTATAAAGTGGTATCATTGTGGTTTTGATAAGCATTTTCCTGACAGCTGATGATGATGAACATCTTTCCATGTACTTGTCAGCCATTTTATATCTTACTTGGAGATACAACTATTGAGATCATTCACCCATATTTTAATTGGATTGAGGACTTCTGCTTCTCTCCTGAGGGAAATTGGTAGCTACCAACATTGTGAGCAGATGAATGGATCTTATTTACAGTTTTAACAGGATCCTTCTAATTGTGGTGTTGAGAATAGACTGGGGGGAGGTAAATGTGAAGCCATTTAAGAGAATATTGTAGTAATCTGCTTGAGATTATTGTGACTTGGACTAGGGTAGTAGCAGCAGAATCAGAAATAAATGTTCGAATTATGAAAAAAAAAGTTTGGATTATAAATATATTTTGTAGGTAGAGCTAACAGTATTAGTTGACAAACTATAAGGCTAAGAAAAATGAATCAAAGATGCCTCCAAAGATGAACCTCTGGAAAGACAGAGTCACTAACAACTGAAAAATAGGGTATGTGAAGCAGGTCTAGAGAAAAATTTAGCTTTTTAAAAAATTATTATTTGCTAGCATTCTCCATGAGAGTTCAAGCTTCTTGAAGTCAGACCATCCTAGTCATGTTTATCACATCATCACCAGCTTGAAACATGTTCCTGGCATAAATAATAAATAAATGAGTAAACAAAGACAATGACCATGCCTCTTTTTAAAATTCAATTTAACAATTTTTTGGCAATAGATACACAAATGTAATATGTGAACACTTATTCAATTTTCTTCTAGCTAGTGTTTCAAAATGATTCCACTGACTATTGTATTATGCTCAAGAGCATGCATTTTGTAGCCAGACAGTCCTGGCTACATATTATCAGTGCAACAGTGAGCACATTGCCTAATTACACTGAGCCTCAGTTTTCTTTGTACCTTAGGGGTAATAATACTCAACACACAAGGGTTCTCTGAGCATGAAATTAAAATATTTGTAAAGCCCTTAGCACAAAACTTGTGACATGGAAGAAACTGTCCAAATGATTTTTCTGTTACATATGGGTGTATATATACTTAAATCCATGTGTAACATGCACACACAACATATCTGCATACATGCACATGAAATACAATACATATTTAACACTTTGAGTTAGTGTGTCAAAGCTATACATTTCACATAGGGTTGAACTATTCATTGCCCCAAACACTTTTATTTTATTCTTACATCAAATGCAGAGGGAAAATTATGGGATTTGGAGCTAGAAGCCTGCCTTTGAACTCCAGATCCATAGCTTATCACCTCTGAGGCTTAATCTGTCTGATATTCCGTCTTCTCATTTGTAAAATGGTGATGATGACAACTACAATTTTTTATATACCTAAAAATGTGAAGGGGAGGATAACAATGGAATGTATACAATACTGCGGTTTACATTATATAAGACTTTGTGTATTAATATTACATGTTAAAATATTTAAGTTATTTTTATTATCTTCAAACCTACTTTACTTTTGGGAGATGATATCATTGAAGATATTTACCAGTGAATCCTGAGAAAACAGGAAAAGCACAAAGAAAACTTTTAATGGAAACATAACGTCCAACAATTTGTTAAAGTGTCTATAGCAACAAAATAATGAAAATCTAAGACATGACTTTAATTGAGGCAATGGTGTGGAACCCACAGCATTTTGCCTGGGTTTTAGTCAGTGACATGTCAGACTCATTATGTTTGATTCATTGGACTTCAGTGTCTGAAGCTGAGAACTGCACTTTCTATAAGCAGCTGTGAAAGAACAAATGATGCTATAAATGGACAGCTCAGCATCTTCACTGTTTGAAGGAGGGTGAGAGGATGTTTGTGTTGGCAAGTGTTTGGCAGTGTTGGACATCTTGCTGTTTTGGCCTTGAAGCTCACTTATTTGTATCTCAGGTATGTAGCACATAGGGACTTAATAGGTATCTGTTGTAAACCTTTACTCATTACTTCCTGGATATTGATCTTGGGCCATCGTTATGTGTGAAGTGTGAGAATTGGGAAAGTAATCTGATATCACTAACTTTAAAATGCATCAAAATGTAGAAGGTGTAAGTGGATGGAGGGGAGAAGAGGGTTGATACATGGATAGATAAGTGATAAAGCAAATATTCTAAAATGTTAAATGTGGAATTTAGGTGGTGAGTATCTGTTAACTGTACAATTTTCTACACTTGTTTGAATTCTTTATAATAAACTGAAAGAACTATAATAAAATAAAAGTAAACTGAAATAAAAGTAATAAAGTAAACTGAAAATAGAACTGTAGGGAGAAAAACAAACTAGGTTCTTTGCTGTTTTAAGAATTGTATCAATTAGACTGACACAGGACAAATACTACATGGTCCCACTTATATAAGGAATATAAACTCACAGAAGCAGAGAGAAGTCAAACTCATAGAAGCAGAGAAAAGAATGGTGATAGCCAAAGATTTGGGTTAGAAGGGAGAAGGAAACAGGTATTAGTCAAAGGATAGACAGTTGTAGTTATGCAAGATGAATAAGTTTTAGAAATTTCTATACCGTGGGCAGTTCCAAGATGGCCAAATAGGAACAGCTCCAGTCTACAGCTCCCAGCGTGAGCGACGCAGAAGATGGGTGATTTCTGCACTTCCAACTAAGGTACTGGGTTCATCTCACTGGGGCTTGCTGGACAGTGGGTACAGGACAGTGGGTGCAGCATACTGAGTGTGAGCCGAAGCTGGGAGAGGCATCGCCTCACCCGGGAAGCGCAAGAGGTCAGGGAATTCCCTTTCATAGCCAAGCAAAGCTGTGACAGATGGCACCTGGAAAATCGGGTCACTCCTACCCCAATACTGCGCTTTTCCAATGGTCTTAGCAAACGGCACACCAGGAGATTATATCCCATGCCTGGCTTGGATGGTCCCACGCCCACAAAGCCTCACTCATTGCTAGCACAGTAGTCTGAGATCGAACTGCAAGGCGGCAGCGAGGCTGGGGGAGGGGTGCCTGCCATTGCTGAGGCTTGAGTAGGTAAACAAAGTGGCCAGGAATCTCAAACTAGGTGGAACCCACTGCAGTTCAAGGAGGCCTGCCTGCCTGCCTCTGTAGACTCCACTTCTGGGGGCAGGGCAGAGCCGAACAAAAGGCAGCAGAAACCTCTGCAGACTTAAATGTCCCTGTCTGACAGCTTTGAAGAGAGTAGTTGTTCTCCCAGCATGGAGTCTGAGATCTAAGGACGGACAGACTGCCTCCTCAAGTGGGCTCCTGACCTCCGAGTAGCCTAACTGGGAGGCACCCCTCAGTAGGGGCAGACTGACACCTCACACAGCCGGGTACCCCTCTGAGATGAAACCTCCAGAGGAACGATCAGGCAGCAACATTTGCTGTTCTGCAGCCTCCGCTGCTGATACCCAGGAAAACAGGGTCTGGAGTGGGCCTCCAGCAAACTCCAACAGACCTGCAGCTGAGGGTCCTGACTGTTAGAAGGAAAACTAACAAACAGGGCATCCACACCAAAACCCCATCTGTACATCACCATCATCAAAGACCAAAGGTAGATAAAACCACAAAGATGGGGAAAAAACAGAACAGAAAAACTGAATTCTAAAAATCAGAGCACCTCTCCTCCTCCAAAGGAATGCAGCTCCTTACCAGCAATGGAACAAAGCTGGATGGAGAATGATTTTGAGGAGTTGAGAGAAGGCTTCAGACGATCAAACTTCTCCGAGCTAAAGGAAGAAGTTCGAACCCATCGCAAAGAAGCTAAAAACCTTGAAAAAAGATTAGACGAACGGTTAACTAGAATAACCAATGCAGGGAAGTCCTTAAAGGACCTGATGGAGCTGGAAACCATGGCATGAGAACTATGTGATGAATGCACAAGCTTCAGTAGCCAATTCGATCAACTGGAAGAAAGGGTATCAGTGATTGAAGATCAAATGAATGAAATGAAGCGAAGTTCAGAGAAAAAAGAATAAAAAGAAATGAACAAAGCCTCCAAGAAGTATGGGACTATGTGAAACGACCAAATCTAAGTCTGACTGGTGTACCTGAAAGTGACAGAGAGAATGGAACCAAGTTGGAAAACAATCTGCAGGATATTATCCAGGAGAACTTCCCCAACCTAGCTAGGCAGGCCAACATTCAAATTCAGGAAATAAAGAGAACACCACAAAGATACTCCTTGAGAAGAGCAACTCCAAGACACATAATTGTCAGATTCACCAAAGTTGAAATGAAAGAAAAAATGTTAAGGGCAACCAGAGAGAATGGCAGAAACTCTACAAGCCAGAAGAGAGTGAAGACCAATATTCAACATTCCTAAAGAAAAGAATTTTCAACCCAGAATTTCATATCCAGCCAAACTAATCTTCATAAGTGAAGGAGAAATAAAATACTTTACAGACAAGCAAATGCTGAGAGATTTTGTCACCACCAGGCCTGCCCTAAAAGAGCTCCTGAAGAAAGCACTACAGATGGAAAGGAACAACTGGTACCAGCCACTGCAAAAACATGCCAAATTATAAAGACCATTGATGCTAGGAAGAAACTGCATCAACTAATGGGCAAAATAACCAGCTAACATCATAATGACAGGATCAAATTGACATATAACAATATTAACTTTAAATGTAAATGGGCTAAATGCTCCAATTAAAAGACACAGACTGGCAAATTGGATAAAGGGTCAAGACCCATCAGTGTGCTGTATTCAGGAAACCCATCTCACATGCAGAGACAAACATAGGCTCAAAATAAAGGGATGGAGGAAGATCTACCAAGGAAATGGAAAACAAAAAAAAGGCAGGGGTTGCAATCCTAGTCTCTGATAAAACAGACTTTAAACCAACAAAGCTCAAAAGAGACAAAGAAGGCCATTACATAATGGTAAAGGGATCAATTCAACAAGAAGAGCTAACTATCCTAAATATATATGCACCCAATACAGGAGTACCCAGATTCAGAAAGCAAGTCCTTAGAGACCTATAAAGAGACATAGACTCCCACACAATAATAATGGGAGACTTTAACCACCCCACTGTCAACATTAGACAGATCAATGAGACAGAAAGTTAACAAGGATATCCAGGACTTGAACTCAGCTCTGCACCAAGTGGACCTAATAGACATTTACAGAACTCTCCACCCCAAATCAACAGAATATACACTCGTCTCAGCACCACAATGCACCTATTCCAAAATTGACCACATAGTTGGAAATAAAGCACTCCTCAGCAAATGTAAAAGAACAGAAATTATAACAAACTGTCTCTTAGACCACAGTGCAATCGAACTAGAACTCAGGATTAAGAAACTCACTCAAAACCATTCAACTACATGCAAACTGAACAACCTGCTCCTGAATGACTACCGGGTACATAATGAAATGAAGGCAGAAATGAAGATGTTCTTTGAAACCAACGAGAACAAAGACACAACATACCAGAATCTCGGGGACACATTTAAAGCAGTGTGTAGAGGGAAATTTATAGCACTAAATGCCCACAACAGAAAGCAGGAAAGATCTAAAATTGACACCCTAACATCACAATGAAAAGAACTAGAAAAGCAAGAGCAAACACATTCAAAAGCTAGCAGAAGGCAAGAAATAACTAAGATCAGAGCAGAACTGAAGGAGGTAGACACAAAAAACCCTTCAAAAAATCAATGAATCCAGGAGCTGGTTTTTTGAAAGGATCAATTTTGTTGATCTTTTCTTGCTAGCTAGACTGCTAGCAAGACTAATGAAGGAAAGAGAAGAATCAAATAGATGTAATAAAAAATGATAAAGGGGATATCACCACCGATCCCACAGAAATACAAACTACCATCAGAGAATACTACAAATACCTCTATGCAAATAAACTAGAAAATCTAGAAGAAATGGATAAATTCCTCTGCACATACACCCTCCCAAGACTAAACCAGGAAGACGTTGAATCTCTGAATAGACCAATAACAGGCTCTGAAATTGAGGTGATAATTAATAGCTTACCAACCAAAAGTCCAGGACCAGACGGATTCACAGCCGAATTCTACAAAAGGTACAAGGAGGAGCTGGTACCATTCCTTCTGGAATTTCTATTGAAATTCCTTTTCAATAGAAAAAGAGGGAATCCTCCCTAACTCATTTTAAGAGGCCAGCATCATCCTGATACTGAAGCCTGGCAGAGACACAACAACAAAAAAAAGAATTTTAGACCAATATCCCTGATGAACATTGATGCAAAAATCCTCAATAAAATACTGGCAAACTGAATCTAGCAGCACATCAAAAAGCTTATCCACCATGATCAAGTGGGCTTCATCCCTGGGATGCAAGCCTGGTTCAACATATGCAAATCAATAAATGTAATCCAGCATATAAACAGAACCAAAGACAAAAACCACATGATTATCTCAATAGATGCAGAAAGGCCTTTGACAAAATTCAACAGCCCTTCATGCTAAAAACTCTCAATAAATTAGGTATTGATGGGACGTATCTCAAAATAAGAGCTATTTATGACAAACCCACAGCCAATATCATACTGAATGGACAAAAACTGGAAACATTCCCTTTGAAAACTGGCACAAGGCAGGGATGCCCTCTCTCACCACTCCTATTCAACACAGTGTTGGAAGTTCTGGCCAGGGCAATTAGGCAGGAGAAAGAAATAAAGGATATTCAATTAGGAAAAGAGGAAGTCAAATTGTCCCTGTTTGCAGATGACATGATTGTATATCTAGAAAATCCCATCGTCTCAGTCCAAAATCTCCTTAAGCTGATAAGCAACTTCAGCAAAGTCTCAGGATACAAAATCAATGTGCAAAAATCACAAGCATTCTTATATACCAGTAACAGACAAACAGAGAGCCAAATCATGAGTGAACTCCCATTCACAATTGCTTCAAAGAGAATAAAATACCTAGGAATCCAACTTACAAGGGATGTGAAGGACCTCTTCAAGGAGAACTACAAACCACTGCTCAATGAAATAAAACAGGATACAAACAAATGGAAGAACATTCCATGCTCATGGATAGGAATAATCAATATCGTGAAAATGGCCATACTGCCCAATGTAATTTATAGATTCAATGCCATCCCCATCAAGCTACCAATGACTTTCTTCATAGAATTGGGAAAAACTATTTAAAGTTCATATGGAACCAAAAAAGAGCACGCATTGCCAAGTCAATCCTAAGCCAAAAGAACAAAGCTGGAGGCATCATGCTACCTGACTTCAAACTATACTACAAGGCTACAGTAACCAAAACAGCACGGTTCTGGTACCAAAACAGAGACGTAGGCCAGTGGAACAGAACAGAGCCCTCAGAAATAATACCACACATCTACAACTATCTGATCTTTGACAAACCTGACAAAAACAAGAAATGGTGAAAGGATTTCCTATTTAACAAATGGTGCTGGGAAAACTGGCTAGCTATATGTAGAAAGCTGAAACTGGATCCCTTCCTTACACCTTATACAAAAATTAATTCAAGATGTATTAAAGACTTAAATGTTAGACCTAAAACCATAAAAACCCTAGAAGAAAACCTAGGCAATACCATTTAGGACATAGGCATGGGCAAGGACTTCATGTCTAAAACACCAAAAGCAATGGCAACAAAAGCCAAAATTAACAAATGGGATCTAATTAAACTAAAGAGCTTCTGCATAGCAATAGAAACTACCATCAGAGTGAACAGGCAACCTACAGAATGGGAGAAAATTTTTGCAATCTACTCATCTGACAAAGGGCTAATATCCAGAATCTACAAAGAACTCAAACAAATTTACCAGGAAAAAACAACCCCATCAACAAGTGGGCAAAGGATATGAACAGACACTTCTCAAAAGATGACATTTATGCAGCCAACAGACACATGAAAAAATGCTCACCATTACTGGCCATCAGAGAAATGCAAATAAGAACCAGAATGAGATATCATCTCACACCAGTTAGAATGGCGATCATTAAAATGTCAGGAAACAACAGGTGCTGGAGAGGATGTGGAGATATAGGAACAGTTTTACACTGTTGGTGGGACTGTAAACTAGTTCAACCATTGTGGATGACAGTGTGGTGATTCCTCAGGGATCTAGAACTAGAAATACCATTTGACCCAGCCATCCTATTACTAGGTATATACCCAAAGGATTATAAATCATGCTGCCATAAAGACACATGCACACGTATGTTTATTGCAGCGCTACTCACAATAGCAAAGACTTGGAACTAACCCAAATATCCAACAATGATAGACTGGATTAAGAAAATGTGTCACATATATACCATGGAATACTATGCAGCCATCCAAAAGGATGAGTTCATGTCCTTTGTAGGGACATGGATGAAGTTGGAAACCATCATTCTCAGCAAACTATCGCAAGGACAAAAAACCAAACACCGCATGTTCTCATAGGTGGGAATTGAACAATGAGAATACTTGGACACAGGAAGGGGAACATCACACAGTGGGGCCTGTTGTGCGGTGGGGGGAGGGGGGAGGGATAGCATTAGGAGATATACTTAATGTAAATGACGAGTTGCTGGGTGCAGCACACCAACATGGCACATGTATACCTATGTAACAAACCTGCATGTTGTGCACATGTACCCTAGAACTTAAAGTATAATAAAATATAAAAAATCACATCCATTGCAAATAATCAAATCCATTATTTGATTAGAAATAATTAAATCCATTGTAAAATGAAAAAAGAAAACCAAAAAGAAATTTCTATACTGCATAGTGACTATAGTTGACAATACTTGTACACTTAGTATCTACCCTCTTAGCAAATTTTTATGTTAAATGCTCTTATCACAAAGTCAGGAGGGTAAGATGAAACTTTTGGAGTTGATGTATATGTTTATGGCATTGATTATGGTGATGATTTTATGATTGCATTTGCAAACTAATGTTGTATACATTAAACATGTACAGCTTTTTGTCAATCATAACTGAAGTGGTTTTTTAAAAAAATTGTGGTACAAGAAGGCAGTGTTAATAAAATGATACAAGTATTTTGAACTGCTTTTTTCTTCCTATTTGCTTAGAGTACCAACCAGAAGAGATTATGTACTGTGCCATGACAAATTAATCCATAAATATTAGTCACTCCATACCACAGTAGTTTCTCTCTCATGTCCAATGCAAGTTGACTTGGGCTTTGCTCTAGGACCTAGACTGAAAGACTCCACTATTTGCAATGTCACCAATCCTCAAGAGAAACAGAAGAAAGCAAGGGGTCACAAAACAGTTTTCAAATACTGGGAAGTACTGTCTTTCCTGTGATTACAAGTATAGGAGAAGTTGGTATTGATGAATACTAGTATATCTTTTATGAGCAAATTGAACATGAAGCAGAGAGCCCAGTGTCTATAGTTTCTTTCATATTTTCTAGTAACAAATTGTCATGGCTGTAAATCTGAAATCTTTATAAAACTCTAAAACCCAGGACCCTGGAGAATAAATGATACACACTGACATATTGTAGGGGTTCAAATATTGTGTCCCTCATTAACATGGGTAGATTATGTGCTATCATTCCAATATTCTCAGAATCTATCAGTAGGCCAAAAAGATTCAGCACGCACTTTGTACCTGAAATCTCTATCAGCAAAGGAAAATAACAGACATGGATTTTGCCCTAACGGCACAATAATCCAGAAGGTAATGGGTATAGAATAGAGAATAACAATTATAGATGCAATTGAAAGCTTAATTGTCATAGACACTATAAAATGGGGTCAAAAATGACTGTCATGCAATAGCAATAGGAGTAATAGTAATATTAACAGTAGCTAAGGCTAACATTGTACCTACTATGTGTCAAGTAATGTTCTCCTTTATAAATATTACTTCACTGAAAGCCTTATCAACCTTGTGAGGTTATTGCCATAAATGATGGCTACATAATGGAGAAGCAATGACTTAATTTCTTTCTCTGAAACATGGTGACATTAAACAGGAAGGAGGGGATGGAAGGAGTTGATGGGGAAGGGAGTTGCATGCATTAAGTCACAGAGGCCTGAACAAAGAATGTGGTGAGGCAGGAAGGAGTCTGCTTAAAATCAAGGTCAAGGAGGCAAAGGAGTTGGGTAAAGATGGCATGATCAGACAATAGGGACCTTGGGAGCTGTAGAAGGACTCAGTTTTCAAACTTTTTTCTTTGCTTTTGTGTTTGTATAAATGACAGGGGCCCAGTTGACATGGAATATATAATTTTAATGATGTTGTAAAGCATGTCTGTGACAAAGGATGGAAGGGCAGATACATATTAATAAAACAGTGATATAAACAATCTCTAACCTTGCCTGACTTTCTATTAAAAATGGCTGGTAGAACACTAGCAAACTCAGACCGTGCCCTGTATGAGAAGTTTGGGCCAACTACAAAGCTTACAGGATGCCGCCCCCTGGACTGCCCTTACTTTAGACACCAAATGCAAGTTGGAGGGGTTCTCAGCAATCATTCTCCAATTTGATAATTCACTAGAAAAACTCACAGAAAGCTGTTATAGTCACGGTTATGGTTTACCACAGAAAAAAGGATACAGATTAAAATCAGCCCAGTGAAGAGATACATAGAGCAGAGTCTGTGAGAGTACCAAATGAGTTCCTGTTACCTTCTACTGATGGTACATCACCTCCCAGCATCTATGTGGGATAATACATATGGGGTATTGCCAACTAGGGAAGCTCACTGAACCTCAGTGTTCAGACTTTTTATTGGGACTCCATTGCATAGGCATGATTGATTGTCCATGTAGTTGACTTCAGCCTCCAGGTCACCTGATACAGTATATAGAAAGCAACCACCCTGTTACATTGTTGGTCTTTCTGGTGTGACCAGGCCCCGCTCTAAGACCTCATGGGTGTAGCCAGCCCTCACCCTAAGTCATACAGTTGGAGCATCTAGGATGACTCAGTGTTCCCAGGCAAACAAAGACACTCATATGAGGCATAACATTCCAAGGGCTCAGAAATTACCTCCCAGAAGTCCAGGACAAAGGCCCTATCTCTTCTTTGGTCAGGGTCATTCTTTACTACATACTCTGATACCAAAATATTTTTAGTTAATATCTACTGTCTCCCAAACAACTGTGCAGTGCAAAACAAAAACTAAAAACCCCGAAGCCAACTCTTTAGTTAATTTTTTGGGTAATTGGCAACAAGTTGCCTTCTTTATGTATATTTTACGGAAAAATGCCATGGAACAACTTGTAAGGAAATTTCTGCTCAAATTTATTTGGAATTTCTTTGTAGCAGCTCAGTGAAAAGCTCTGTATAGCTCTTTTTTTTTTATACTTTAAGTTTTAGGGTACATGTGCACATTGTGCAGGTTAGTTACATATGTATACATGTGCCATGCTGGTGCGCTGCACCCACTAACTCGTCATCTAGCATTAGGTATATCTCCCAATGCTATCCCTCCCCACTCCCCCCACCCAAAAGCTCTGTATAGTATTCTCTATGTTGTTTCACTCTGTAGATTTTGTGGCCAAAGTGGGAGACAGATAGGTCTATTTCCCTAGTTGACATTTTTGTGATTCTAGTGGGTCCAGGCAATGGGAGATGGAGAATAGCACTGGCTGAGCTTCTGAGGTATGAGTGTGGCCAGAGTGAGTTTCCAGGGCAGGACACGTTTAGGGGCAGGGCTGCAACTAAAACTTTGATTAGAGCCAGGAGTTACAGTGAGGCTGCTTAAAATATGGGTCTAAGTGGCAGTTGTATAGTGGGCTCATATCAGGAGCAGTTATAGACCAGGTTGGCACCTGGTAAGTCATCAATAGTCAGGGCCAGAGCAGTAGAGGCAGAATCTCATACTAAGCTGGAGAGAGCATTGGTGGTGGCTTCAATAGTGCACAGTGGAATATTGCTTAGCTATGATGCTCAAAACCTGGTTGGGTCTTTCTGTGAGTCTGTTCAGATAACCACTAAAAGTATAAATTCTGGTATCAGACTACCGGGATTCAAGTCATAGTGCTGCCCGTTGCTAATAATGCAATCTGGGCAATTTACTTCTCTCTACCTGAGTTTCCACATTTGTTAAAGATAATATCTGTTTTCTGTATTTTCTCCTATTTTTGTTTCATCTTTCTTCTTTGGGTTTAATTTGCTATTTTCTAGCTTTTTAAAATGAAAACTCAGATTTTGATTTTCAATCTTTTATGTGCATTTAAAGCTATAAATTTCCCCATGACCAGATCCTTAATTACATCCCACTTTGACATATCATATCTTTATTAGGTTCCATTCAACATATTTTTAAACTTCCATTATGATTTCTTATTCGAGGCATGGATTTTTTGGAAGCGTGTTTTATTTCTAGTTAGCTTTCTGTATGTTTTTCCTAGTTGCAGGCCACGATAGAGAACAGACCTTAGTATTATTTCAGTCCTTTGAAATTTGTTAAGACTTGCTCTATGGATTAGCATATGGATTATTTTGATAAATGTTCCGTAAGAACTCTAAGCCGTTTGATACAGTCTTTCATAGTTGTCGACTCGGTCAATTTGGTTTACATAGGTTGTTTAAATCTTCAGTATCCTTGCTTTTTTTTTGCTCTGTGTGTTCTTTCAGTTACTGAGCAAGGTGTGTTAAATTCTCCAACTATGATCAGTCCTTTGTCTATTTCTTCAAGTTCTTTAGAAGTTTAGAGTTTCTTTAAGACCTTTAGATACATTTTTGCTTTATATATTTTGTGGCTATTTTATTATACATTTAGGATGTTTATGTTTTCCTGATGAAATTACTCTTTATCTACATAGTAATATTTTAGCCTTGAAGTCTATTGTGTCTGATACTAATGTCACTATACTAGCTATCTGTTGTTTTTTGTCTGCCTGGTAAATCTTTCTCAGTCCTTTCTTAAAATTAAAATGTGTGTCTTTTGCTCAGTTACATATTTTTCAGTCTAGCCTGAAATTCATTGCCTTTTTTTTTATTTTTTTATTTTTTTTAATTTTTTTTAACAGAGTCTGCCTTTGTTGCCCAGGCTGGAGTGCAGTGGTGTGATCACAGCTCACTGCAGCCTGGACTTCCTGGGCTCAGTTGATCCTCCCACCTCAGCCTCCCGGGTAGCTGGGACTACAGGCCTGTGCCGCCAGACTGGTTTCTTTTCATTGAAGTATTTAGCCTACTATTGTTGGTTAGGCGTATGTCTACCATTTTACCAGTTGTTTTTGCTTTAATTCTATGTTTATGTATTGTTTCTTTCCTGCCTTTTCTTGTCCTAATCATGGCTTCTAATTGCATTTTACCTTCTCTGTTAACTTTTTGAGTCATGGACTTTGTTTTTTCCTTTAGAATAGGGGTCTGCAAACTTTTTCTGAAAATATTTTGTTGTTGGGAGCTGTGTGATCTCTGGGAAACTACTCAACCCTGCAGTTGTAATGTGAAAGCTAACATAGATAACAAGTAAACAAATAGCTGTGGTTGTGTGCCAATAAAACTTTATAAAACTAAGTTGCTAGCCAGATTTGTTCACAGGCTGTGATTTGCAGACAACTGCTTTAGAGATTAAAGTAAGTTTGATTAATTAGAGTCTACCTTATTTGTATTTTTACCATTTCCTCTCCAAAAGGCAAGAACCTTGAGCAGTTTAAATATGGTTACCCCTTTCTATCCTTTGCATATTATTGTCATGTATTTTACTTCTACCTATGTTAAAACTCCACAAGACACTCTAAATATTGCTGATTTAAAGGGGAATATTTTATATTTACCCTAATATTTCTTTTCTAGTGTTCTTAATAATGCTTTTATCTCGGTTCATTTTACCTCTGGGGAATTTGCTGGTATATTATAGTGTTAGTCTGCTGAATATGACTTCTTTACTTTTTTTTGGGGGGGTGGTGGGCTCTGTCTGAAAATAGATTTACATTTGAGGAATATTTTCACTGGAGTTAGAATTGTAAGGTGGTAGATTTTTTGCCCCTAGAACCTTAAAGGTATCATTTTATTGTCTTGTTTCCTTGATTTTGTTTAAAAAAATTGCAAAATTGTTTTTATATTTGAGCTTGTTGCATCTAGTTTTCTTATTGTCTGCAATTACATGAGGATGTGCCTAGATGTGATTCCTTTATTATTTATACTACTTGGGGTTACCAATACATCTGAAATCTGTTAATTTGACATTTATTTTTATCAGTTTTGGGAAATTTTTAGCCATCATCTCTACAAATATTATTTCAGCTTCATTTTCTTTTTTCTTTCCTGGAACTTCAATTACATGAATGTCTGACCATTTGACTATGTCTTACCTGTCTCTTATTCTCTGTTCTATTGTGTATTTTTGGTCTGTGTTTCAATTATATATATTTTTATTGACCTATCTTTGAGTTTGTTTTCTGCTTTGCCAAACCTGCTAATGTGTCTAATAAATTTTTAATTTTATTTATTGTATTTCTCAGTTCTGGAATGTTATTTGTATTTTTTATTGATTCCAATTATTTGTTGAAATTGTCTTTTCCTTCATTTTTATCTCTTGTTTTAACATTCATATTAAAGTCTTAACTCTGTGTATCACCTGTGGATCTGCTTATAGTGTGTTTTTTCTCTTGACTATTTGTCACATTTCTTACCTTTTCACATGTCTAATATATATGTATTTACTATGCACAGGATTAGTGTATAAAATAATAAATGTTGAAGTTGATTTTATTTTTCTCCAGAGAATAATGGGTAAATAAGTTTAATTAGGTCTGTTAAGGCTGTCTTGAGCTTATACTTCATTTTCTTTTGGTTCCAAATGTCTCGAAGATGAAACTTGTTGAATGTTTGTTGTAGGTTCCTCCCCAAAGCCAGACTTTGTTTCTTAAGCATCAGAAATTGTGGGTGACTTTATGTTGCCTTTTCTTCTTAGCATCTAGCCTCTCATCCTACTCCTGGACTCAGTAAATGTCTCATTCAGAAAACTGGGATATGACCTTGGTGATCGTCTAGATTCCAATTCACATTCTAGCCCCTATGGAGTTATCAAAAACTCCACTAGTTTCTCTTTTCCCAAAAGACATTTTCTCCTATAGCAAGTTCAATTTTAAATCAATACTCAGCAGATGCCTCCAAGGTAGAAAAGAAGCATTCATATCAGCTCACCTAAGACTTTATCCTCTGTTGTATTAAATTAACTTAGTCATCTTTACTTCAATAGATATTCAATGCCATTAACAATATGACTTTTATGGTGGTGTTGATTACTTACTTTGATTTATTTTATTCCATAATTGTTGTGTGAGCTTATTTCTACCTACTATATCCTACCCAGATCCAGAAGTTGGAAAAATAAAGCAGGATACTTAAAGAGTAATTTTTTATCTTGATAGATTGCTTTGGATTATATTCTCAGACTCTGAGGATTCATCTACCTCTGACTTTAGTGATTTTTGTCATAAAATTTTGATAATAATTGCCTCATTTAATTATTCAGCTGCAGTTTTTTATATGCAGTTTGGGTATAATAGGCCTGTCTTGGTGTATTGTGTTGTAGGCATTTCAAAACCAGGAAACAGAAACATAAGAAAAGGTGAGGAATTATAATAGGTTAGTGAAAGCCCTTTGTAAATTATAAAGCATCATAAAAATGTTAAGTGGTATAATTATCTTTGAAGCTATAAATAGTATCCTACAATTTCTTTTCTTTTTAAACTATTACTACAAATGTAATTTACTGGGTGAAGACTGAGATCAGATATATTTGGACTAAAGATTATAGAAGCTTAGGAAAATCTTTAGAGTCCCAAATATATATCAAATATATCTTACAGCCTTCCTAAAACCTATATATTTTATAAATAAAGTGAAATGTATTTTAACATTACATCTTAGGCAACAACATAACTTTGCATTACTAAGAGCGATAAAACTCTAGCTCTGCTAGAACACTGACTGCTTGGGGAGAGCAAATCAAATCTGACAAAATTTTGATTGCAATACAAATACACAACATTTGTTGAGAACCTGTTATGATTTCATCACGGTTCTGGGCCTCTTAGGTGCCCAGACACTGTAAGTCAACCCTGAACCATCATTTTAGCCTCTTTCTGCTTTGCCAACTGTTACCCTTCCAATTATTTTTTAAAATGTCTCTTAGACTATATCTTTGCCTGCATCAAGTTTGGCTGCTCCATGTAGTCAAACGATTTTTGTGTTTCAGATCAACTTGAGTGAGTTGAACAATAACTTTTCTACAATGTCCATTTATAGGGTTCTTGATGTCATCTCCTAATTTTTGATTCCATTCAGTCATTTCTGTGTATTTCCTACTTTGTGTTCTTCTTCTACACACTGTTTGTGTGCATCCATGTGTGTACATATGTATGTGTTCCTGTGTGTGTTGAGTAGAAGGGCTAATAAAATCCCAATAGCACAGCTGAATAATAACATCCTTTATCCTTCGAGTTGAGTGTTAGAGTCCTCAGCTGTTTCACATTATCTCCTCACTCTATCCTCACAACAGTTCCTTGTACAAAATTGGTTAGGAATAGACACACTTTTAGATAGCAATTATTTGCTTATTGAAGATTAAAATAAAGAAAAATCTCAGTGTTTTTTTTTTCATATTCATTGTCCAAGCTAACAGGGTTTAGACCCTAAGAATATTGTCTTCTATAGATTCTAAAAGGTGAGAACCTATGACAGACTATTTGACTTTTTGTGCTCAATTCAATGAATGATGGTAGCTGGTAAAAATGATAATGTCAATTACTCAATTTTTTTTCCATGAATGCAAATGGAGGTAGAGAAAACATCATTTGTAAGATAACTATGGTTTAGCACACCATCTCATACTAAGATATTTCCATCAATAGTGCCCGTTGCCCTACCATTCCCGAGACATTTACATTCTAAGTTACACAGTGTGGTACTATGCAAACATCAGCATTAAAATAAATGCTCTAGTGCACTATTTCAACTAGTTGTGGTCCCTAAGCTACTGCTGTTTAGATATTCTTGATTCTTTATTGCATTGATAACTAATGTCTGGATGGTGCTTATTTTTATTTTGTGTTTCAGTTCATACAGGAACACAGGGTGAGGCAGGCCATAAGCACCAGCGTAATTGGCAGCACTTGGCTGGGATGACAGGAACCCTGAGGGAATGGAATGGGGATGCCTCAGACAAAGCTGGCCATCCTTGAATTTCATGATTTTCTTGGGTAGTCTGTCTCTTTTTCTGACTCTCCTGTCCATGATCAGACACCTGTTCCTCAGAGGTGGCTGTTGGCTGCAGGATGTGAACTCATCACTGCTCTTCACTCAAGGTAGGAGGAAGTCCTATAGTGCTAGAAATGTTCATTTCTGAGCTCTACTGGGTCTAGAGCTTCTCCTTGACCTGACTTCCCTTCCATGCATGCAGCACGTACCCATGCCTCAGTTACTTCTCTAGGATTAGACCAGCAAGTGTCATGCTTTCTTGTGTTTTAATGTCTCGACTGTGAGTGAAGATGGCTCCATTTTTAGGTAGTGTTGGAATCTGTGGAAGGATGACTCTG
The DNA here is from genome assembly GCF_000001405.40 of Homo sapiens. Lineage (NCBI taxonomy): Eukaryota > Metazoa > Chordata > Mammalia > Primates > Hominidae > Homo > Homo sapiens. The sequence continues at coordinate 53,964,916 of NC_000018.10, read as the reverse complement.
ACTTGAATTTTAACAAATCTTTCCAGTTCTTTTTTTTCCTTCTAAGAGGAAGCCACTAAATACATACTTTACCCTCTTTCTTAATTTACCTTTTGGAGAACTCTTTCTCTTTGATGAAAACTGTCATCTTGCTCATAAGGCTTTCTGCTAATTAGAGTCCTGATATCTAAAGGTTCAGGCCCAAAATATCCAGGAAAAGAAAATAGTCCAACTGGAGAGGGAGACAGTGCCTTAGGAGACCAGGGGATGGAGAGCATTGAGCAGAAGATGTGAGGTGAGGGCATCCCACCCTAGAGGAAAGTGCCAACCTGCCATGGATAGAGAATTAACAGAAACCCTTGTGAACGAGATGGTCCATTTATTCTTTTAGTTCTGAGACCTTTTTTACTTTACATATTTTGGGGGCTATGTTATTAGATGTAAGTTTTGAATTGTTATGCTTCCCTGTTGAAATGACTTTCTCAAGTAATACTCTTGTCTTGAAGTCTGTGATATCCGATACTGTATCTGATTCTGAATCTATGTAATTAGATTACCTTAAACCTTGGCTCTCCATAGGCTATTGGTGTGGCCTGGACCTCCTCTGTGAAGCAGAAAAAATTGACTTTGATAATTTATGGGTGAGCCATTTGCAGAAACTTATAAATTCCAGGTCAAATTTAATTTGACTTCTAGCACACCACTAGCTGGCTTTCAACACGAGCTAATTGAGAAGAATAGAAACTCATTCTGAAAAGCCAAATTATAATTAGAAAGTTAATTTGCTTACCCTCAAAATCACATAATGAATACTAAAGCCAAATATAAATTACTTTTGTATTATCCTTAATTTTGAACTCTTATCCCCTTGATTCTTTTATTAATGTGGATAATTAAGAGTTGAGTATATAAGAATGCCAAAGTAATCTTAATCTTCACCTTGTCTAAATAGAGCCATTTATTAGAACCCATCTTTGAGGCAGCATTCACATATTTGGAGCCAGACATCTCTGTGGTGAATACAGTAAGGAATGTAGTAAAGTAGGTGGGATTGGACCACCTTTGAGGATCAAAATCATTTGTGAAGATGGGAGAAGTGGCTTGCAATGAGTACTATCTGGTTGCTAAGAGTTTACACTCTATCTCCATTGCTCCTAATTCTCATTACACAGGTTTTCTGGGCTGGGTGTTCCCAACCTGCCTAAGGGTCAAGCTACTACACAAACAGTTAACAAAGAAACTTAGCTTATGGAATCTCCAAATAGCAGGTCAGTGGGCATTAAAATTTTATTTGGCATAATTTCAAGCCAATTGCACTAGTCAATCCATCAGTGACCAGAGAGGATGACAGAAAAATTGATGGTATCTTTCCTTGCCCTGATGTGTTCAAATACTAAAGCCTTAAATTTATCTTTACTCAGATTTCATTTTCTGTGTTTTTTTCTCCAGACATAAATCAAGAAGTCCTCTACCTTTCAAATCTTAAGACCATAGGGAAAATTAAAAATAGCTCCTATTAACATAAATGTTAGGGAACTCCAGCCTAGATGATGATGGGGGAAATGCTACTATAAGAGAGATCACCTCTCAGTTGATATTGGGCGAAATTCACCCCCGATATTTCATGTAGGTTCTTTTCTATTTTCCCTAAGTATTGGCCGGTCTGAGAAATAAAGGGACAGAGTACAAAAGGAGAAATTTTAAAGCTAGGTGTCCAGGGGAGACATCACATGTTGGCAGGTTCCGTGATGCCCCCTAAGCTGCAAAACCAGCAAGTTTTTATTAGTGATTTTCAAAAGGGGAGGGAGTGTACAAATAGGATGTGGGTCACAGGGATGACATGTTTCACAAGGTAATAAGATATCACAAGGTAAATGAAGGCAGGGCAAGATCACAGGACCACAGGGCTGGGGCGAAATTAAAATTGCTAATGAAGCTTTGGGCATGCATTGTCATTGATAACTTCTTATCAGGAGACAGGGATTGAGAGCGGACAACCAGTCTGACCAAAATTTATTAGGTGGGAATTTCCTCTTCCTAATAAGCACAGGAGCACTACAGGAGGCTGGGGCTTATTTCATCCCTACAGCTACAACCATAAAAGACGGCTGCCCCCAAAGCGGCCATTTCAGAGGTCTACCCTCAAGGCCGCATTCTCTTTCTCAAGGATGTTCCTTGCTGAGAAAAAGAATTCAGTGATATTTCTCCCATTTCCTTTTGAAAGAAGAGAAATATGGCTCTTTTCCACCCGGCTCACCAGCAGTCAAAGTTTAAGGTTATCTCTCTTGTTCCCTGAACATTGCTGTTATCCTTTTCTTTTTTCAAGGTGCCCAGATTTCATATTGTCAAACACACATGCTCTACAAATAATTTGAGCAGTTAACACAATCATCACAGGGTCCTGAGGTGACATACATCCTCCTCAGTTTACGAAGATGATGGGATTAAGAGATTAAAGTAAAGACAGGCATAGGAAATCACAAGGGTATTGATTGGGGAAGTGATACGTGTCCATGAAATCTTCACAATTTATGTTCAGAGATTGCGGTAAAGACAGGTGTAAGAAATTATAAAAGTATTAATTTGGGGAACTAATAAATGTCCATGAAATCTTCACAATTTATGTTTTTCTGCCATGGCTTCAGCCGGTCCCTCCGGGGTCCCTGACTTCCTGCAACAAGTTAAAAGATTCATTGAATGCTGTGTCCTTGATTCCACTATTTTTGTTTTCACTTCTGAAAAATTCAGAGACTTTTGAGTACCCTTAGCCTTATTGATGAGCCTGTCTTTAAACTGATAATCCTATTAATGGCAGCTTTGGATGGAAAGCACTATTGGGAGAATGAAGCCTCCATGTAATGCATACACTTTCTTAAAAATATGGTTTCAAAATATACAGCAAGTGTGGTCATTGAATTAACTTTCCATTTAAGAGCAAATCAAAGGTAATAAAGATCAAGATTTTTTCAATGCATAAAGAATCTAGAAGTAAGACTGAATCTCCCTTATGTATGCATTAATTTGCATTCTTATTAATGGAACAGAATCTTACGAACATTTTAGTACATGATTAGGTTGGAAAACATACAGCTTGTCCTGTTTCCATCATACATATGCTGTTGTGCATGCAGTGATATCAAGGTGAATTATTTGAGTGTACAAGGGGCCAATTTCCACAGAGATTTATTAAAAATCTGAGGTTGGACTCCAGTGGTCATGGCTGTGACAGAGACAAGAAACTGCAGAGTCCTGTTCCCACACCAGTGGTTAGTTTTCTAAAATTTCCACACAGCAACCTGCTTTTATGGACTTTAAAACAAAGGCACTTTCTAAGCTGTATGATTATGGGACTGCTGAGAGGTGCACAAGCCTGGTTATGAAAGTTATGTTTGTATTCCACCACATCTTCCTCCAAAATCATTGTTTTGTCATGTTCCATGGAAATTACACAATCACAGAATGTTAACTTTAAACAAAAGTGAAAAGTGCTCTCCTTGTTCTATCAGGCTTTCTGTTCCTTGTAATTCACTACCTTGTTTTCACTTTATAGAAATTGTGGAAGTCAAACCAGACCCTTAAGCACCCTTTCCCCCAGTTCAGGGTCAAACCAACTCAAATTCTCCTCTCACACATTACTGTTTTTATTAACCTGTTTCTACCTCTGCAGCTTTTGTACGTCACATTCTTTCAGCAATTTTACTTATATAAAATTCTTTGACAATTTATGTTTAGCCATTATTTGTCACATGGTTCATTATTCACTCAACAAATGTTTGTTGAGCACCGACTGTGTGGCAGGCATTGTTCTATGTATCGGCAGATGGTGAAAAACCCAATCTTTTACAGCATCCTGTTGATTATCCCAACTGAATATTACTTGAATCCAACAATGTTCATCTCTTTTGTCACCACCACCCTCTTCTAGTTATTTATCTTACTAAACTATGGCAATGACCTCTAAGCTGGTCTCCGTCATCCATTATGGTCCTCTGCAAATCTATTTTTCATGTTGCATGCATGATGAACTTGTCAGAATTCAAATCTGATTATGTTGCACACCTCCCAGATTAAAATTGTTTGCTGACTTCCCATTGCTCCAAAGTAAAAGAAAAAAATATTTTACAACATAGCTGTAAGACCTGCCTGAGTTTTCCTTGCCTATCCCTCCAGCCTCAGCTTGCTTCCTCATTCTCACTGTCTGTGCTTGGGCACTCTTTCGTATATACCATGTTCCCTCTCCCTCAAAGACTTTGAACTTGATGTCCTTATTCCCTCAAGTGTTCTTTCCATCTCTCTACCTGCTAACTCACCTCAGCTCTGTTGTCACAACCTCAGAGAAGTCTTCAAAAACCTTCCTGATCAGGCCAGATGCGCATTTGTTGGCTCTCTTAGCACTCTGTCCTCCTTTTTGTACTTCTTAAACGATTCATATTCTCCATTTGTTGGTATGATTAATTTAATATCTGTTTCTTCCACGAGATAATGAGGCCCATGAGGACAGAGACCAGGTCTAACCGTTCTCTATTGTACTCCCAGGGTCTAGCGCAATCTTTGGCACATAGTAGACACTTCATACATACTTACCAATTAATGAGTATTTATACCTTAAGAGTTAGAATCTGACCCATAAGGTCAGATTCCATATAATAATAAAAAGACATAATGTTGAGTGTGGGGATTCAAGGAGGGCAGGTTGTTGTGGTCATCAGTAGGTATACAAGTCTTCTGAATGTGTATGTAACCTTTTTTGTAATTATATATTTTGAAGGGAGGAGTGCATAGCTTTCATCAGATTCTAAAATGAGAAAGTGATTTTAAATGTTAATAAGTACTTGAGGGAGAATTTGAGTTTTTTTGTTTGTTTGTTTTATCATCCTTCAAGATTGAGCTACTCCAAAACCTTTATTTTGTCAGTAACATAGCATGATATTTATGGAGGCCCAGAAGGACTGTGATTAGTGTGATACATTAAGCAAATTCAGAAACACTAGAAGTTGCTATGAATTTGAATGAGAATTCAACTCAAGTTATTTGCCTTGATTTTTTTCTTTAAAGAGCAGAGACCTGGCTACAAACAAGTGAAGATTAAATTTTAGAGACAGGATGATGGATATAGCCTTATTGCTTAGGTTCAGTGGTCCAGTGGGAATTTGTGGCTGTTGGAAGTTAATGCAGAGTGCCAGATTGATGCTTCAAGTGGATTTTTTTTTCTTTCTCACACAAACAAGTCTCTAATTAAAGCATTTTATGTTTATATAGTTGTTACATCACATAATTTAAAATTATCCTAATTTAAAACAGCATTTAAGAAACTCTAATGAGACTGTTAATATTATGAATCTTCAAGTACTTATGTTCTCTTTCTCTGATTAAAGTACGAAGAAAAAAATTTCTCCACATCACCCTGCTGGTGCCTGATCCTAGAGGTGAGAGTTAACTTGAGGTGAGCAAATGGTATAGACATTCTGTAGATGGCGGAAAACTCTACATTCCTTAATTTCTCTTTCAAGTCAGGGAGCAATTTATTTCCTCAAGTAGTGGTTTTGCTTGTATTATAATATATGAGAAGGGTTCATTTGAAGAGATTGACAAATGTTGGTAGTGTCCCAAGAGTTACTCATTTTAAAATCTGTCCCCTTAGAAAAGCAGGGGGAAACCATAAGTACAACATTAAATATATCAGAATAAATTTGTCAATATTGTGCTTAAAATGAAAATTGGAATAGATTTCATTTCTGTGTGGATTGAGAAGAAGGTCGCATCTTTTTTCTTGATTGCAGCATAGAAAAGAAATGCAGATAGTTAGCAGTCAGTTTAATTTCTATCACTTTGCCTGCAAAAGTTGTGCCAATTAAAGATGTCTGGAGCTCTCCAAGCTCAGAGTGATTCCACTAGTACTTTTTCTTCAATTATTCGGAAGCACTAAATGTGAAAACAAATGTCTTAGATTACCCCAGGGCTGGAAAAATTAGCGCTGGTAGAAAGAGCAGCAACAAACCATGATAGACAAAGCATAGGACGGTCACCTTTGTGGGATAGACATAAGGCTTGTGTTTCTGCAGGAAAGGTTTTACAGATGGAAAGTGAATGGGAGGCATCACTGTCTTGTATCTCCTGTCACCCAGAGGTTTCATCCTGCAACACATACAAGAGAAACTCATGCTTGCACAACTGGAGACATATACAAGATGGTTTATAACAGTTCTGATCAGTACAACTCTAGAAACAATGCAAATGCCCATTCAGAGACTGGATGAATAAGTGGAAAAAAATCATACAATGACATATTCAGTAGGCAGAACAAATGAACTACACGGTGACCCAAAAATATGGATGAATCTTGGTGATGTGCTGCTATGTGAAAAAAATAAGGCCCAACATATTATGGCATATCTTTTGTATTAAGTTGAAAACAAGCAAAATGAATGCAAGTGAACAGTCTAAAAAGGAAAGCAAGGAAATAATGGATATGGAATTTAGGAAGATGGTTACTTTGAGCAGGTAGAGGAGGAGGCAGGAATTTGATATAAGGAGAGATGCGTGACTATTTGTAGATTATTTGCAAGGTCTTGGCTATTGTTTTGGTTTATGAGTTTGCAGGTGCTGAGTTATAAAAATAACTAAGGAATGTGGGCCATGCATAAGCCAATGATGAGTGTGTGTCTTGAAGTAAGAGAACCAGTTCAGGAGGGAAAACCCCAAATAGGATACTTTATGGGCATCCTGCTGCCGAAGCCGTGGATGAGTTGGGAAAAGGACTGGAAAGATCCTGTCAAGTTGCTATTGATTTTCCTTCATGAGAAAACAGATTGGTTCACTGAAATAAAGAAAACAAAACTTTCCCAAATTCAGCGACTTAAGAAAAGAACGAGACAAGTTAAAAACATAAGATTATGTTTTTTCCCTAGTAGAATAATAGACAATGGAAACCGGAGGATGTTTATCTAATTCTTTGGGGCTCGGTGTCACTTTCATGCAGTCTGACCAGCTTTTAACTCTTAATTATGAAGAATTTTAAACATACACAAAAGTAGAACAGTATAATAAACCCCTGTGTGTATATATCTCTGGGATTCAACAGTTATCAACTTTTGAGCGTATTATAACTTTCCCATTACTCTATGCCCCTTCCCCTGATTTTTGAAGCAAATTCCAGATATCATTATTTTTACATGCAAATATTTTAGGATGTATCTCTAAAAGATAAGGACTCTTCTTAAATGTAACCACAATGTCAGCATTACACAATTCCAAAAAACCCCACAATTTCTTAATAGCATTGAATAACTAGTCAATACTTACTCTTTGAGGTTTTTTTGAATCAGGATCCAAATAAGGTCTTTTAAGTCTTTTTTAAAAATCTGTTTTTTTTTCTCTTTTTTCTTTTTATTGATATTTTGTTGAAGAAGCTAAGTCCTTTGTTTTGTAGAGTTTTCCAACAACGTGTCTATTGTGTCTATGTTGTGTAGTGTAACAGGTTCCTTTGTCCTCTGTACTTCCTGTAAATTGGTAGTTCAACCTAGTGGGCTAATCAGATTCAAGTTTGATTTCTTTTGGCAAGACTGCTTCATAAATGGTACCTTCTATCAGGAGGAACATAATGTTTAGTTTTATCTCCTTTTGTAATATTAGCAACCATTGATGATCACTAGTTTATTAAGTAATGTAAAATCTAATTTGGTCATCTTTTGCTTTTTAATTAGAATGATTCTATAATGAGAAAATTTTCCTCATCAATTATGGTTACCTTGAGGTACATTTTGTATAACAAAATGGGGTACCTGCTTAATTTTCCCCACTCTGCTTTTATTACCTGTTATCAATATTTTGGACTGGTTCCTGAACATTCACTAAATACAATTAATGAGGTATTTAGTAGTAGCATGAATTCATAGATTTAAACATAACTGATGTGTTTCAATCCATCAGAATTACTACTCGTATTGTCACTTAAATTGTCCCATCTTTGGCCGGTAGGAGCTGTAAGAATAAGTAATTCAAAATCAAACCTGTTGCAACTTTAAATTATTTTGGGACTTAAAGGTGATTATGGGATCCCAGTCACATGACAGGCAGCTGTAACCTTTGTTTCTCTGATTATAGATTAGCCTCTTCCTTACCTATACTGTTTTGTGAAATGTTGTAAAAGACTAAAAGGCACCAGAGAAGAACCCCTCCCTTCTTCACTGTTGATCTCCATTATAGATGACATTTCCTCTTCTTTTACACAAAGACCTCATGACTATCACATTATCTGGGATGGAAACTGATGATTCCTAAAGATTAGCCATAATTAAACATTCTACTTTAAATTTTTAAATTTTTTGCTAATATAAACAATGCTGCCATGTGCATATTTGTACATATATAATTGCACAGGTGTCAAGTATTTCTGTCAGATTCCTAATAGAATTGTTGTCAGAAATATGCACTTTTAACATTTTGATAAACATTAAAATTTTTTCTAGCGTATGAATTTAAGTCTATAAATTTACCTTTGAGTATTGTATTGGCCACATCCCATTGGTTGTGAAAAGCAGTGATTTTACTGTTCATTTTAAGCAAAGTGAAACTTCATTAAAATTAAGTCCCATGAAGGCAGACATTTTTTGACCATTGTTCATGGAGAATTCCCAGCATCTAGAAGGGACACTAGCACTTAATGGGGGTTCAGTAAATATTTGTAGAGTGAATTTCAGTTCACAGTTTATTTCCTTTTTAATCCAGAAGTTATTTACAAGAGAATGTTTACATTTATAGGACAATAGGTTTTTTTTAAAAAAAAGTCTTAATTTTTAAAACATACTTCAATAGTTTTTAGGGTACAGGTGGTTTTTAGTTACATGCTTAAGTTCTTTAATGGTGGCTTCTGAGATTTTAGTGTACCTGTCACCTGAGCGCAGTATACACTGTACCCAGTATGTAGTCCTTTATCTCTTACTCCCCTAGCAACCTTGCCCCTCAAGTCCATTATCTTTCTTATGACTGCATCCCTATAGGTTAGCTCCCACTTATAAGTGAGAACATATGATATTTAATTTTCCATTCCTGAGTTACTTAGAATAATGATCTCCAGCTCCATCTAACTGGCTGCAAAAGACATTATTTTATTCCTTTTTATGGCTGAGTAAAATCACATGCTCTCTATATACCCCATTTTCTTTATCCACTTGTTGGCTAATGGGCCCTTCGGTTGGTTCTGTATCTTTACAATTACAAATTTTGCTGCTATAAACATGCATGTGCATGTGATTTTTTCATATAATGTCTTCTTTTCCTCGGGATAGATACCCAGTAGTGGGACTGTCGGATTGAATTGTAGTTCTACTTCTAGTTCTTTAAGGAACCTCCATACTCTTTTCCATAGTGATTGTACTAATTTACATTCCCACCAGCAGTGTTAAGTGTTCTCCTTTCACCGAATCCATACCAACATCTATTGTTTTTTGACTTCTTACTTATGGCCATTTTTGTAGGAGTGAGGTGGTATCTCATTGTGGTTTTAATTTGCATTTCCCTGATTGGTGACGTTGAACATTTTTTCATGTTTGTTGGCTATCTGTATTTTTTTTTTTTTTTTTTTGAGAAATGTCTATTCCTGTCCTTTGCCCACTTCTTCATGGAATTTTTTTTTCTTGCTTTTTTTTTTTTTTTCCCGAGACGGAGTCTAGCTCTGTCGCCCAGGCTGGAGTGCAGTGGCACGGTCACGGCTCACTGCAAGCTCTGTACCCTGGGTTCACACCATCCTCCTGCCTCAGCCTTCCGAGTAGCTGGGATTATAGGCGCCCACCACCACGCCTGGCTAATTTTTATTTTTATTGTTTTTGTATTTTTAGTAGAGATGGGGTTTCACCGTGTTAGCCAGGATGGTCTCTATCTCCTGACGTTGTGATCCGCCCACCTCGGCCTCCCAAAGTACTGGGATTACAGGCTTGAGCTACTGCGCCTGGCCTTTTCTTGCCTTTTTTCTAGCTGATTTGAGTTCTTGTAGAACTCAAGCAAATTCCTTTCTGGATATGAATCCTTTGTTGGATGCATAGTTCGCAAATATTTTCTCCCACTCTGTGGGTTGTCTGTTTACTCCGCTGATTAATTCTTTTGCTGTCCGTAAGCTTTTTAGTTAAGTCCCATTTATTTATGTTTGTTATATTTGCTTTTAGTGTCTTAGTTATGAATTCTTTCCTTAAGCTAACGTCCAGAAGAGTTTTTCCAAAGCTATCTTCTAGAATTTTTATAGTTTCAGGTCTTAGATTTAAGTCTTTAATCCATCTTGAGTTGACCTTTATATAAGGCAAGAGATGGAGATCCAGTTTCATTCTTCTACATATGGCTTGCCAGTCTTCTCAGCACCGTTTATTGAATAGGGTGTCCTTTCCACAATTTGTTATTTTTTTTAATGTTTTGTTGAAGATCAGTTGGCTGTAAGTATTTGGCTTTATTCCTGCGTTCTCTATTCTGTTCCATTGGCTTACATGCCTGTTTTTATACAAGTATCATGCTGTTTTAATAATGCTAACCTTGTAGTATAACTTAAAGCCAGGTAATGTGATTCCTCTGTTTGTTCTTTTTACTTAGTATTGCTTTGGCTATGTGGGCTCTTTTTGGCTCTATGTGAATTTAGGATTTTTTTTTTCTAGTTCTGTGAATGATGATGGTATTTTGATGGGAATTGCATTGAATCTGTAGGTTACTTTGGGCAGTATGCTCATTTTCACAATATTGATTCTACCCATCCATGAGCATGGGCAGTGTTTCCATTTGTTTGTGTCATTTATGATTTCTGTCAGCAGCGTGTTACAGTTTTCCTCATAAGGATCTTTCACCTCCTTGGTTAAGTATATTCCTATTTTTTTTTTTTTTTTTTGCAATTGTTACAAAAAGGATTGAGCTCTTGATTTGATTCTCAGTGTGGTTGCTGTTGGTGTATAGCAGTGCTTCTGATTTGTGTACTTTGATTTTGTATCCTGAGATTTTACTGAATTTATCAGATCTAGGAGCTTTTTGGAGGGGTGTTTAGGGTTTTCTAGGTATATGATATCATTGGCAAACAGTTTGACTTCCTCTTTTCCAATCTGGATGTTCTTTATTTCTTTCTCATCTGATTGCTAGGGATAGGACGTCCAGTACTACGCTGAAGTGATGAAAGTAGGCATCTTTGTCTTGTTCCAGTTCTCAGGGGCGAATGCTTTCAACTTTTTGCCATTCAGTATGATGTCAGCTGTGGGTTTGTCACAGATGGCTTTTATTACTTTGAGGTAAGTCCCTTCTATGCCTATTTTGTTGAGAGTTTTTATCATAAAGGGATGCTGGATGTTATCAAATGCTTTTTCTGCATCCATTGAGATGTTCATGTGGTTTTCTGTTTTTAATTCTGTTTATGTAGTGTATCACATTTATTGACTTCTGTATGTTAAACCATCCCTGTACCCCTGGGATGAAACCTACTTGATCATGGTGTACATGATCTTTTTGGTATGCTATTGGATTTAGTTAGCTAGTATTTTGTTGAGGATTTTTGCACCTATGTTCATCAGGGATATTGGTCTGTAATTTTCTTTTTTTGTTATGTCATTTCCTGGTTTTGGTATTAGGGTGATACTGGCTTCATAGAATGATATAGGGAGGATTCTTTCTTTATCTTTTGGGATAGTTTCAGTAGGATTGGTACTAATTCTTCTTTGAATATCTGGTAGAATTCAGCCGTGACTCCACCTGGTCCTGGACTTTTTTTTTGTTGGCTATTTTTTTTTTTTAAATTACTGATTCAATCTCAGTGCTTGTTATTGGTCTGTTAAGGATTTCTATTTCTTCCTGATTTAATCTAGGAAGGTTTGATATTTCTAGGAATTTATCCATTTCCTCTTGATTTTTAGCTTGTGTGCATAAAGGTGTTTATAGTAGCCTTGAATAATCTTTTGTGTTTCTGTGGTATTGGTTGTAATATCTCCAGTTTCACTTCTAATTGAGTTCATTTGAAGCCTCTCTCTTTTCTTGGTTAATCTCACTAATGGTCTATCGATTTAGTTTCTTTTCAAAGAACCAGCTTTTTGTTTCATTTATTTCTTGTATTTTTTTCTTTCTCTCAGTTTCATCTAGTTCTGCTCTGCTTTTTGTTACTTCTTTTCTTCTGCTGGGTTTGGGTTAGTCTATTCTTGTTTCTCTAGTTCCTTGAGACGTGACTTTACATTGTCTGTGCTCTTTCGGACTTTTTGATGTAGGCATAACAGTAGTCTTCTGTTGTTACTTTTTTTTCTTTCTTGTTCTCCCCTGCCCCCAATTTGGTTGGAGAATGTTGCTATATATGTTTTTTTCATTTTGGACTAATCTATGGACTACTTTTTATTTATTATCACCAACTATGTATGTATGGCCTTCCATCTATGGCTTCAGTAATTATAAAGGAAGAGTTCAGTGACCAAAGAAGCAAAGTCTCATTCCAAGTGGCATTTACTTAGGGAGCCACATTCCTCAGACTATGGTAGTATCCTTTCTTACCTAGTCATTACCCCGCTACCTACAGGATTTTGTTTCCCTCCACAACTTGCTATCCTCCATTCTGTCCTCAGTAACTATTAATCTGTAGTCTTCAAAATTCTTATAACGAAGTGTCAAATATGTCTATCTGTGTACCTATTAATTGTCTCCCACTGAAATGTAAGCATAATGAGACAGGGAATTTCGCCTATCTTGTACTCCATTGTATTCTCTATGCCCAGATCAATGCTTGGCAATTAGAGCCCTTGACAAATGAATATAGGGCTAGTGGGAGGATCTGCAGGCCCAGCACCAGCTGTTCCCTGAGAGACCCTCATATAAAATATGCATAGGTGGTGGTGGCATGGATTTGGGAGGTATCTGTTACCTGTCAGTGTTCTTGTGGGTGAATGGAAGCTTTCCTAAGGCACTTACTTTAAGGAGGAAGAATGACACCTGCGGTCAGCCATGAACCCTTGAAAAGTGTCCTGTCTGCTATCATGATCTGTCTTTTCATTCACTGTGCTATGCTTTCTGTGTATTAAAGTGGGGCTTACTACTGCAGGAATGGGTGTTATATATATCAGTGGCATGGTGATGACAGGGAACATTCCATACTTGTCTTTGATTACTTGGGTTAGCTTAACCTCAATTAAGGAAATGGAGCATTCACCTGATGAATTCAAGGTGGGCAGATGGAGCTCACACAGCTGTCTGGGATGCCAGGTGGAGGGAGGAAATTTAGACCCAAGTGAGAGCAACATCATTTTGGTTAGCAAATGTGCCATCTGCTGCTCTATGACTGTTTAAAGGAGGCATCTTAACCCTTTCAGGGAATGGCTTTCCAGGACAGCCATACATATTCGAGGAATGTGTGAAAGAGTGTGAATAGATTTACAGGGAGCAGTTTACTCCCTACCCACAGACAAGAGCAGGAAAAGAACATAGAGTGGCACATGCATATGGGACATGGCAAGGCTAACTTGACACCTGTGATGAGGCCAGCAGGAGTTGTCCCATTTTCAGATGGGAAGCTCCAGCAGCTTCAGTGGTTTCAGTTAACTCTGGAGACTCTTAATACACAAATAAATGGTAGTCCAATTTTCATTTTTTTCTGTTGCTATGTGTTGCTGCTCAGCCATTTGCAGTGGAATTTCCTACCTGAGCCAATAGATTAGCACATTTATTCAGTTAATCTATTTTGCTTTGTTGTATCATCTGCTATTCTATTCAGCATACTGTTTGAGTATCTGAACAAAACCTTGTGCTAGGTACTATTAAGAACACAAAGACAAATAAGATAAAGTTTCTGTTTATCACATGTTTAGTGAAGGAATAAGACACATGCATAAATAATTCTAAAACACAGTCGAATTGTGTTAAATCCTGAGAGGCCCTTCTCTCTGCATGCTTTGGGATTGTCTGAATTTAAGGTAAAGAGTGAGGTGCAAACTCCATCTTTTGGTGATTTGACTTTATTCCTGGCACCCCATATTAAATTCTTTACCAAACTTCAACTTCTCAAAGTCTTAATTTCCCTGATTTTAGATGAGGAACCTAAACAATGAATTTATCAGCTCTCCACTGTTGTAGGTTAGGGTGTGAGAGCTGATCTTTGTGATTCATGTCTAAAGTTCTAAAAGCAAATTAGTCCCTTTCAGTGTATAGTCTCAGGCCTGCTCTGATGCCTATTACAGGTAAGAACTGAGCAACCTGGTTCACTAGAGGGAGCTGCTTGGATATTGGTGTCTAAGGGACTTTAAAAATACAGTCTCTTTGACCTCCTGATCAGAATAGATATAATTCTGCTTTGACGTCTGTTTTAAAAATGTGAATTTGTTCCAATGAAATTGGAACATAATTGGAGCATAATGTAAATTTCATGTTTGCATGGACTATTTTTGTACATGGGAAGTACAAGGAAAATGTAGGAATCTATACCTAGCCAACTAAGCCTTGTAGGTAGACGACAACGCACACACACACACACACACACACACACACACACACACACAGCCCTCAGTCAGGTACCAGCTACCTCCATTCACTGAATGTGTTATGAGCTGCACTCATTCCTGCTTGGTCTTGTAACATTTTGTGCAATGCCAGATAACCCTCCTTCTACCACTTCACTGTAATTCACAAGCTGCAACCCTTTGGATGAAAACAAAGTTCAGGTCTTCTTCAAGGTCAATTGCTATATTTATTATAGTATTTATGTGTTTCTTGACCATATAACAAGTAAAAAGCTGCACTACTGGCTTTTATTAAGGTCTTATTTTATTTTTTTTGTGTTACCTTAGTTATCTGCCCTTCACCTTGTTTCCCCATAAGCCTCATAGTTTCTGATGCATAAGTTAGCACAGCATGGTGAATTTAGGAATGTGTATGTCACATTATAGCAGAACTGACTATATCTTGTGATGAATTCTGGGAAGCTCCCCAGCTGATGCCAGTATATTGGGTCAAAGTGTTTAGGAACCACTGAAGCCCACACTACTTCCCTAGTCACTTTCTCTCTTTTTGCTAGAAACTCTAGATTTATACTTCTTGCTCCTTCTACACCAAGACACATCAGTTTAACCATCTGGTCATTCTGGAATTTTCTGTTACAGCAATTAGATGTATTGTTGGCTACTCAGTCCCACAGGTATACTGCCCTCATGATCTTGCCTTGAAGATGACTTTTCTGCTTCATGCATACCGAAAGTTCATCTTCTTACTCATATAGAATATATTAGCCCCTCGTGTTTGCTCACCTAGAATGTGTGGTTTGTTAAGAAACACATCTTTCAGCCAAATGACTTCAGTAAAATGACTGAGGGCATTTAAGCATGTGGAAGCTCAAGGAGAGGGTTGGGCAGGAATCGTCAGTGGTAACAGGTGTGGAGGGTGCATAAAAGCATCTCCTGCTGGCACTAGAGACAGTGAGCACTATCTATCCTTCCAAATGACCATTGGTACCTATTGGAAGCAGGCTATTTTCCTATGGGTTTTGCTCTCATGATTGACCATAGCATTTTGTCAGTTGCCTTCTGAGGTCCAGGCAGACTCATGCACTCTCCCATGGTGCTAATGCTCCTGGAAGGCATTTATCCACCACATCAGTCTCCAGTAGTCCCAGTCTCAATGTACCTAAATGCTTCCTTCATTTCCTTGCCATCTGTTTTTATTTTAAAAAGCTGTAATTTAGACTATAAAATTCACCAAAGTATATACTTCAATAGAATTTATTGTATTTACAGAGCTCAGCAATGATCACAGAATCTAATTTTAGAACATTTCATCATCCCCCAAAGAAGCCTCATCCATTAGCATTCACTCCCCATTTCCCCACTCTTCCAACCCTAGGCAACCACAGACTTGCTTTCTGACTATAGAGTTGCTTATTGTGGACAACAATTTATATAAATCAAATTAGGTTAATATGTAGTATTTTGTGATTGGCATAATATCTTTCAGATTCAAGTATAATCCATGTCACATCAATTTTCCCTCGCTACATGTTTCATATAATAGAGGACTTTTAACAAATTAGTAGACCAAGAAATCTAAGCATATATAATAAGCTCATGATTTTACCAAGAGCTTTTCCCACCAGAAAACAAATTTGGTTTTGTCTTTGATGAACACATAGAAAGAAACTTAGTTACTCAGTTGTAACTAAGACCTGAAGTTCCACATGTAATATGAAGTCTACCCAGACAGAAAGGTAATGATTAGTTGGGAAGAACACTTACTAAGTCTGTCTACTCTAAAATCCAGATTCATGACTGCAATTATCAGTGGTGTAGTTACTACCTGCTTAGATACAAGTCTTTAATAGCCCTTGAAGATAATATTTTTTACTTTAATTTTATGAAGGAACTAACAAATACTTAATGGAAAAATACTGAATCCTCAGTATTGGAAGAACTTTGTGTGGAGATTGTGATAAAATTAGTTACAAGCTTACAAACAATAAATTAGTAACTGATGGTTGTAGAAATAATGTCCAGTTCCTCTTCAACAACAAACTGGTGAAAAGCAATAAGAAGTATAATTAAAGAAAAGCTATATTCTTTTCTCTTTTACAGTATTCAGGCTCTGATTTTTTTTCCTGTTTATACCATTCTGGGTCTGAACTGGAATATCTTTTCTATGGATTAGATTTATTATTACTTTTTTTTTTCAATATGGAGTTTCACTGTTGTCACCCATGCTGGAGTGCTATGGTATGATGGCTCACTGCAACCTCTGCCTCCCAGGTTCAAGCAATTCTCCTGCCTCAGCCTCCCAAGTAGCTGGGATTACAGGTGCCTACCATAACACCCAGCTAATTTTTGTATTTTTGGTAGAGACGGGGTTTTGCCACATTAGCCAGGCTGGTCTTGAACTCCTGACCTCAAGTGATCCACCTCAGCCTCCAAAAGTGCTGGGATTATAGGCATGAGCCACTGCGCCCAGCCTATTATTCCTTTTTTGGAAAATTAATTGTAAGCATCTCATCCTTGTTTATGGTACTACTTACAATTTGTTATGCAACACATGGCCTTATAAAGATTCTGTTAATGCTCCCTGACATAAGAGCAGGAAGCTCAATTTCCCTCTGTTTTTAACCCGTGAGCTTGTTAGAGATTGTAGCTACAATACAAATCTTCCAGCCACTCTAATGGCTAAAATAGAAAATAGGTAAGCTCTGAGGGAAAGGAATACATGTGGCTTTATTGGTGGGAAAAGGAGGACAACCTTGGGAAGAGGAATATGGAGAACTACTCATATAGAAAGACTGGTTAATACACAGTAAGAAAAGAGGACTTATAGCTATGTAGTCCCCATGCTGATTCTGGGAAACAAAGAGGGTCACACTGTGAGAGAGACATACAGGGTTATGGAATCACAGGGAGGAGGAGTGGGATACTGATCAGCTCTCTGACTTGGGACTGGGACCTGGCTAATGAATAGCTCTGTCTACTGGCAAAGTAGACAAAGTAGTGCGGCGCTGACCTATGTATGCATTCCAGCCTGATGAGTTTTGTTTAGAAATTTTGGAATGCTTTGGCAAGCTGATAAAAGACATGGGTGAGGTGGGTCCTGTTCCCTGGGGACCAGTACCTGTGGAAAGTCCAGGAACACAGTATACCATGAAGATCTCCGCTGCCAGCCTTCATCCCCGGGAATAATTTTCTGTTCTGTTTGCACAGGCTTTGTGTTCTCTTTGTTTACCTTTCTGTTTCAATGGCAGTTATTACCTGTTCTTTGGTCATGGAGGTAGTTCTTAAAAACTTCTTACTGTTGTCAGACTGAGGTCTGAGATAAAAATGAATCTCTTTTTAGACAGAAATATGGATGCCATGTTTTCTTTTTATGTAACGCTTTTAAATCATCCTCCTGTCCACAACAGATCCAGAGTTCATTATTTGTCCTATTTTCTTCCCACTTACATCTGAGCTACATTTTAAAAGTCAAAATTTTTATAGATACGGGAGAAAGGCTTAGACTCACTTTTCCCAACTGTTATTCCTATGCCTTGTATTCAGTGTTCTGATATGGAAATCTCTAGAGAGCAATGACAACATAGACACATGTGTCTGGTTAAGCTGTAACATACTAGAGTGTATGAGCATCTCAGGACTACATTTCTTGAAACATAACACCTTGTCACCAGGATGTGGCTGATTGATTGCTCTGAACTGCACGTCTAACCAAAGCTGAGGAAATAGGATTCTTTCTCTTAGAAACCAGAGTTCATAAACTAAGAGAGAATGATTATTAACAGATGAGTAATTCTTAAAGTTCTTGGGAAAAGTGAGGAAATCCTGCTCCTGAGGTTGCATAGTAGAAAGCTGAGTTGAGGAGATAGATGATGGGGAATGGAGAAGAAGACAAGAGAAGAGGGAGCAGTGGAAAGAGAAAAGGCAAAGGGGAAAGACATTTGAGCTTCTGTTCTATTTTTTCCCTCTTTTTTCTCATCCTTCTTGCCCTTTTTATGCAGTCTCCTTTCCCCTCCCACCTCTTCCCTTCTAGATGACTTCATCCTCTTGCACTGTATACAGTCATGAACTGCATAATGCCATTTTGGTCAATGGTGGACCACATGTATGACGGTGGCCCCATAAGATTATGTTGGAACTGATAAATTCCTAATTGCCTAGTGATGTCATAGCTGTAATAACACCATAGCACAACACAATAGTTACATGATTGTGGTGATACTGGTATAAACAAACTTACTGTGTTGACAGTTGTATAAAAGTATAGCACAATTATATACAGTACATAGTACTTGATAAATTACTATGTTACTTGTTTATGTATTTACCATACTTTTAAATTATTATTTTAGTGTATAATCCTTCTACTTATATAACAAGTTAACTGTAAGCAGCCTCAGGCAGGTCCTTCAGGAGGGATTCCAGAAGAAGGCATTATTACCATAGGAGATGACAGCTCCATATCTGTTGCTGCCCCTGAAGAGTTTTCAGTGGGAGAAAAAGTAGAGGTGGAAGAAGACAGTGAGTGATATTAATGATCCTGACCCTGTTTAGGCCTAGGATAATGTGTGTGTTTGTGTCTTAGGTTTTAGCAAAATATAAAGTAAAAAATTTAAAAAATGAATAGAAAAAAACTTACAGAATAAGAATATTAAAAAGTATTTTTGTACAGCTATACAATGTGTTTTAAGCTGTTATTACAAGAGTCAAAAAGTCTAAAAATTTGTAAAGTAAAAACGTTTCAATAAGCTAAGTTTAATTTATTATTGAAGAAAGAAAAATATATTTTTAAATTTTAGTGTAACCTAAGTATACAGTGTTTGTAAAGTCTACAGTAGTAGACTTCATATTCACTTGCTATTCACTCACTGAAACAGTCAGAACAACTTCCAATCCTGCAAGCTCCATTCATGGTAAGACCCCCAGACAAGTGAGCATTTAAAAAATCTTTTATATGGTATTTTTATTATTGATTTTCTATGTTTGGATATACAAATACCATTGTTACAATTGCCTACAGTATTCAGTACAGTAACATGGTATACAGGTTAGTAGCCTAGGAGCAGCAGTCTATATTACATAGCCTAAGTGTGCAGTAAGCTATTCCATCAAAGCTTGCGTAAGACACTCTGATGTTCACATAGAGATAAAATCATTTCAATAATGCATTTCTTAAAGTATCCCCTTCCTCAAGCAAAATATGACTGTACACAAATCTGGTCTCCCTTCGCTTCTCCAGTTCTCCACTTCTACCCATTATCACCAGTCAGTCCAATTGATGTGGATTGTTATCTCAGCGGGCATTCCTAGTCTTCTTTGTCTGATTATTTTGTGGAGGGTTGGGGGCTGCTAGTGTTGGGGAGCTATCAATTATTGAAACTTACCTATCCAATCAGAGCAATCCATTCTTCTGGCCAGAGTGATTGGCTTTAGGGATGGATGTGTGACCATTTGGTTCAAGTAGAGTGTAAGGGAGATGGAGATGGCTGCGCTTTAGTCAGGAGTAGGCCAAGGTGGCTTTCCACTGCAGTGTGACTCAGCGGGTTTGGAGCGCAGGTGCACAACTCCACACATTATGTAACCATGCCACATGAGGCACATTATGTAATCACGCCCTGTGAGGTGCATTAGGTGATCACCCATGTGAGTTTGTGCTTGGCTTGGAGCCACTACTGTTCATAAAGGGTATAACTACCCTGCTGATGCTGTACATGGGGCTTGTGCCAGTTCAGCTTGCACCTAGGCTCAGGCCCATGGCTTGTGCCCATGGCTCATGCCTGGAGAGAAAGTAAAAGCCATGTCAAAACTGTTTAGGATTCCTCAAGTATTTTTCTAGCTACCCGCCACTGGTCCACCCACTACCCTTGGTCCTCAGCTTGGGCTGGAACCTGACACTTGGCATAACAATTGGCATCACGAACAGGATCCCAAGCTGTGCTACTCAGATGGGCTCCGGTGGAGACCTGGGTGGTGGTAGATGGGTCCTCCACGAGCATGGAGAAGGTGTTGAAGCAGCTGGGAGTGCAGAGCACTGAGGAGTGAGCTTTTGCCGGCAGAGTTAAATGGGCATTTTTGACTGTGCTATGAGAAGTACACACCCAGTCCCTGAGGGATGCAGCACAGGTAAGAGCCCTCCAGATGCAGGTAGGATGCCTGGAGGCCTGGCTACACAGCTCAGCAAAAGAATTAGAGACTTCCATGAATGGGGACCTCCAGGTGCAGGTGGGGCATCCAGAACTTGCAAAAAGAATTAGAGGCTGCTGTGAATGCAGGCCTGATTCCATTGTCTCGGCTGGAGACCCCCACTTGGTCTCATACCAAGGAGGCCATTGGCAGGACCTGGGTGTCCACAAAGTAAAGAAGGAGAAGATGATACCCCACCCACAGGAGCCCCTGCCATGGGAGAAAAGGGGGCCCCAATGAGTGACACACTCACAGAGGTGCATAGATTTGATTTTGGCCAGGGTTGACCAGGAAAGAATTGATAAGCAGCCCAATGAAGTATTCTTAACTTTGTGGAGACAGTTGTCTCCAGAGAAGCAATTCCAGAAAATGCCCAAGGGGGAGGAGGACATTGCTGAGTGACCTGGTCCCCCCCTGGGCATTTCAGTTCAAAGACTGGGTGCTGCAGCCAGGCAGGGGTGTAAAGCCTTTCCTGTTTTATGAGGGAACTGGCCAAGGTTCCCAACTTGGGAGGACACAGGATGACTGGAGGCCACATGTGGACTTGGCAATCCACTGGTCCCTGCACCCAGATAAGTTTCCAGGCAAGGCTGCATAGATGGTTATGAAGACCAGTCAGTGAAAGTGAAACCTGTATCTCTGTACCTCAGCGTCAGCTGCTTGGCTCCCCACTCATGCACTGTGTATGTCTCTCCCATACATGAATACATTCTGGGGTAGATGTTTTATACCACTTGGCAGCTATCCCATCTATCACAGATTTGATGGACTGCTTGATGACAGAATTGGACAGTACCACTACATGGTGAACTTGGCTAATGCATTCTTTTCCAGAGAGTCAGGAACAGTTTGCCTTCCTGGGAGGGCTACAATGGACTTTCACAGGGTTTCTGAAGGGCTATGTGTATAGCCTCACCATATGTCATGGTCTTGTTAATGATATTATGTTAACCTCTGATTCTCTTGCAGATTTGGAAGTGGCAATGCTCCCCTTGCCTAGAATTAAGATGATGAGGCTGAGACAGACTTTCTAGCAGCCAAGTGGGCTGTTCAGAAGGCACAAGCCCTATGGGTAATTAACCAGGGGCACCATTTAGACTTGTTGTGCATGTGACCACAGATAGTTTTGGACCAGCACATGGACTACTTGAGAATGCCAGTAGGCTTCTGGTCCCAACTATGGAGCTGAGCTCCAGTATTCATTGATAGGGAAGCAATTAGTAACTGCGTATGCTGCCCTTTAGGCTTATGAAAGTGTGGCAGAATGGGCTACAGTCGTCATATGGATAACGTACCTTATAGTGGGATGGGTGTGTTCATGGGTAATGGGCCCCCACACTGGGACAGCTCAGACGTCCACTTTGGCAAAGTGGGGAACCTATTTGGAGCAGTGGAGAATGCTGAGTACAAGTCTCTTAGCAGCAGAGTTGCGGGAGGTCTTGGGACCCTAATGCAGGATAAGGCCATGGGGCCTGAGTCATTCCTAGACCCTGAGCCTTCACCATTTAAGGAAGGGCATACCCCCATTCCTGAAAGGGCATGGTACACAGACGGGTCTAGCCAAGGTGCTACTGTTGCTTGACCACTGTTGCAGTCCAATATAGTACTGACACCATATGTTTTGAAACTGGGTGTGGACAAAGTAGCCAATGGGCTGACCTCAGGGCAGTATGGATGGTGATCACCAAGGAGGTGACACCTATGATAATGTGTACCAATAGCTGGGAAGTCTATCAAGGCTTAAGCTTGTGGTTAACTACCTAGAAGTTACAGAAGTGACCATTTGGTCACTGGCCCATGTGGGGGCAAGCCATGTGGCAAAACCTATGGGAGGAAGGATGACCTCCTCTGACCAGGTGTGGGGATGAATGGTAACCTGTTGTTACTTGCCCCAATACCCCTGAAGGCAGGGGAGTGGAAAACCTGGCTTAATGTATAAAGCAACATTTGGATAACATCACCATGGGGTGGTTGCCTGCCATAACCTGGAGCTTTTGCTCTCTGTATTGTTGTGGGTTATTAATTCAGGGCTCTGCCTTGTGGGCATGTGTCCCTGCCTGGAGGATGCCCTCAGCCTAGGGGGTGGAGTGTAAGGGAGATGGCTTCACTTAGGAGTAGGCCAGTGTGGCTTTCTGGCACAGCATGACTCAGCAGGTTTGGAGTGAGGGCACACAACTCTGCATATTATGTAACCATGCCATATGGGGTACATTATGTAACCATGCCACATGAGGCACATTAGGTGATCATCCACATGAGCTCATGTTCACTCCCCTTGGTCCTCAGCTTGAGCTGGAATCTGACACTTGGCATAAAAGTCCCATTCCCAGAGCAATCAAATTCCTCTCTGGGAGTGATTTTAAAGAGAGAAGATTTTTTTCTTTTTCTTTTGAGGTTGCCAAATTCAGATAGGTGAGAGCCTGCAGTTGCCATCTTGTCTGCCACATAATGAATTGCTCTGGAATGTAAAACCAAGAATGAAAAACAGAGCTATGAGATGCAAAAAGGAAACACAGCCCCAACACCCTGATACCATCTCCTGAATTCCTGGATCTCTAGTCATGTCTAAAGCCTGCTCTACACCTGAATTTCTTACATATAGGAGTCAAGAAATTGCCTTTTTGTTTAAAGTAATCTGAGTTGGTTTTCTGTTATGAACTGATTAACACAAGAAAAACCAAATGTCCAATAGTAAAGAGAAATTTCTCTAGACATTCCCTCTGGTTAACCAGAGTTGATTTTTGTCAGTTGCCACCAATACTTTGGGAAAGCAATCAATATATTTGAAGGCAACCACCTCAACTGCCATAGCCAGGCTTCACTTGGGCATGTGTCCAAGATGCCAACACAGCCCCAAGAGTAGTTTTACAAAGAAGGTTTAACTAGCTTCATGTCCACTGTTGTCTTTTTCATTTATACATCTCATTCTGAGTCAGATTTTTGTCTGTTAATAAACACTGTTCCTACTCTTCTTTTTTTCCATTGTACGTTGGGGGCTAGAAACACGGAAATTAAACCTTTCAAATTCCTAATCAGCCAGGTTTCAGTTACTTTATGCAAATGAGAGTCACTTTGGTAAAGTCTGGAAGGTGTATGGGAGGGACAAGCCATTCTTCTCCAGCACCAGCTGAGGAAAGGTATGTGGGCATTGATAGATGGCAGATGTAGAGTTTTGTGAGTGGTTTCTGGGGTCTTCCTGTACTGTGGGCAACTGATATCATCATGGCAACTTCTATGCATCTGAGGATCCACAACTGGGGCAGCAGGGAGCTGAAATTATTAGTGAGACTACCCTCTGACTCCCGATTTCCTGAAATCCAGCAGCCCTCCTGACCATGGCTCCTGCAGCCCTCCCATGGTTTGTGTAAGCCTCCAATTTCCTGTTGCAATCTCCTAATCAGGATACCTAGAGTGGCTTTTCTGAATACCCTGACTGAATCATACTATCTAGTATTATGGTATGGAGATTCAGTTACTTACAAAAAGACTACGGAAGATCATGCAGGAATGGCCAAAATTATCATCCTTCATTCAACTCTTGATTGTGAAGCCACTGCTGTTATTTTGCTGCCAGAGTGAAAATATTTATCAAATCCAATTCACTCAGAGGGCTTGAGGACAAATGACCTGTTCCATCATGCACTTAGAAGACTAAGTCTTTTTAGGAGGGAATACTCTGAGTGTTACTTCTCTGAACTGGAAGAACCCACTGTACATGTCTATTGAATTTCAATTGTAAGTGAAGGGGCAAAAAGAGTCCATTGGCCAAACTTGCAAATTAAAAAGACAATTCTCTGGCTCTGAGAATTTGATTGATTCAACTGCTTAGAACAGTAGGATAGGATCTTGTGGCTTCTCCTTGGCTTTGATGAATTTTTCCCTTGAATGTCACAAACATGCTGTGACATCACTTGGTTATTTCTGTGTTTTAGTAAGAGTAGGTTAGGCTATGTTGTGGTAACAACTCCAAAATCTCAGAAACTTAACACAAGGTTTGTTTTTTACACCTGTTCCTGGTCTACTCCTGCGTGGGTGGCTCTGCTGGGTTGTGTTCCTTCAGGCAGTGGTACAAGGATCTAGGCTCCTTCTATGGTGTGATAATCCCACTCTCAAACCTGGAGTTTCCACTGTCATGAAGGACGGGAAGAGAGGGTCACAAAATCACATGGAGATGTGCTTTTTAGGCCTAGGTGGGACAAATATCACAGGCAAGTGACATTATATTGGCTAGAACCCAGTCATCAGCTCTCCTCTAACCACAGGGGAGGCTCGGAAGTGTGGTCTCCTGTGTTATGAGCATGCATCTAGCTAGTGTCAGCTGGATTTTGCCAGAGAATCTTTTTATGTTCTATTTTGCTCTCCACCTCAAAACCTGACCATACTTTAGCATTTTCTGCTGCCCAAAAAGTTCTTTCACCCATGTTATTTTACCTAGAGCAATTGCACCCTCGTTTTTCTTATGTAAATGATGTCAGCATGAGTACAGACCAAGTTTGTTTAATCTTTCTGATTATAACAATCAGTGCTTTAGGTCCTTTCATCATCTTAATTGCATTGTGGGAGCAAGTAGCCTGACTCTGAACAAGCAGCTTCATCAAGTACCTCCTTAATGAAGCATTTTCTGGTCATTCTGGCCTCAGTAATTTCCTTTGCTGTTCCAGAACAACTAGCTTCTATAGTCTATGCCAGTGGTTACCAAACTGTAGTGCACATCAGATTCACCTGAAGGATTTATTAAAACAGTGATGTTTGGTTCCACCCTAGAGTTTCGGATTCAATTTGGTCCGAGGTAGAGGGAGGGGTTTCATCAGGCGATGCTGATGCTGTTGGTCTGATTACCCTGTGATAATTGCCAGTGTCTACCAAATAGTTTAGCATGAAATTTGGTATAATCTTGAATTATTTGTCACATGCAAATCAGTATATTTTGAGTACCTACTACGTGTAAGGCCTGTGCTACCTGACATTAGAGATCATTAGCTGTATTTTAAGGACATACTGCTTATTTTTTATATCCTTTATCATGTTAGTAGATAATTGGTTCATACTTATTAATTGGTGTTAATCAATACAACTGACTTCTGTTTTGTCTTTCCTTAAAACAATGAAGGATTGTTAGAATTAACATAGATCATATGCAAACATGAGGATTTAGGTGGATTGTGAAAATCTGTGATGGAGTCTTTTGACCTCTCTGATTGTCTTGTGGGAATAGACAATCTTATTCTGAAGCGATTTAATAAACATGGCATGTGAATTGTTCAATTTCATGTCCTTGGATATCCTCTGTCAAAGATATTGCAAAAGCATTAGAGGTGATTAGACTTGGCTCTTAATTAAAAGACTTTTTGACTTTCCATATATATTAATGGAAATGAACTAAAAATCCTCTAGACTACATTTAAATAACTAGATAAAGAGGCTCTGAGATTTTAATTTGCTCTGATGCTTTTTGGCCAAAGGTGAATTCTATGCAAGAGTATTGATCATATATTATTTTATTGTTCAGTATGTTTGCTATGTACTATTTTGGCTCCACAAAGGGCCAGTGAGTTGGAAGTCATGTAATGTTCTGTAACAACATTAGCTACCTAGAAGTGATTTTTATTAACATTTATGGTTTAGATTTAGCTTCATGAAATATTTTATAACTAATTTTCTCTTATCTGAAATTTGGACTAATTTCGGTATTACAAATCAAATTTTATTTGCACTGCAAATAGAAATTGTACATACTCTGAATTTTGTTGGTCTAAAAATTTAAGTTTCTTTGAAAACATTTTTAAAGATGAAGCACAAAACTTCATATTTACAAAATATTCTACTCCTACTTTTTTCCCCCACCAAACTTTTTTCATATTTAACATGTTTAAACACATTTCTGGCCCAAATTCCAAAAGACTATCCAAAGTTGTTGGAAATACCCCATGAAAAAAAGTTTTCTATTTAATTTTATTCCATTTTAGTTCAAGCTCTGTGGAGGAACAGCCTCTGGCTCTTTCTGTAGCACTGTAATTTTTCCTCTCAAATTGGGACAGCTTTTTGATCTTCTAGAGTTGTACAAGGGAATAAATATGCATGTAGATAAAAGGGAACATAAGAATAAAATAGACTTTCTAAAACCTTTGACAATATTTGCATAAAAAGTATTAAAAGTCACTGTAGCATTGCCTGTATTATTTTATCAAAGGTGGCAACCAGTTTAAAGCATAGAAAAAGTAACAGAGGGATATTTTTCTGAGAGAAAAAATAATTCATAGGAATTCTAGGATGAATTAGAGGTAATCTCTAAAGTCACTGGATAAGCTTTGAAGATAATACCTTGCTCTTCCAAATTCCAAGTTGGTTTGGGTATTTTGAGGCTACATGAATGCTCAGAAAATTGGCAGAATATGTGTGCATACTTACATGGGAATATATTTTGGAATGAATTTCCATATCTGATTTTGAGGAAATCCTTGGTTGAACAAAATTAAACTGGGGTATACATTGTGGACCATTGTGAATATGTGAGAAAAAGATAGAGTATATAGTGTTTCTCAAATTTATTTGATCATGGAACCCTCTTGCCTCGGAGTACTTTCAACAGTTCAAGAAACACTAGCATTTTTTGGAGTCACAGTTTTAAAATGCTGATCTAAGTTATTAGAGGGGCTATCATAATTTTTAAGAGTGATTACAGTATGCTAACTAAAATTATAGTCCTGAACATTGTATGATAAACTAGTGTTGAGAAATATCAGAAAAATTTAAAAGCAAAAAATTGTTATCCATTGTTTACCACTAAAAAATCATGGTCTTTCCCTCTCTATAATATAAAGTGAGAGTTCTAATAGCAATTCTCTCTAGATTTAATCTGTTTTTCCCCCAGGAACTTTGGTCTTTCAGTTTTTTCTTTCCTTCATTATCTTGTGCTCACAGAAAGATCATTTTTATCATCATGTACTTTGAACATACTGAAAAAGTCCTTCCTTGACATTGGAGCCTCTTCTAGCTCTCTCTCTTCTGCTTCCTTTCATAGTTAAGACTTGTCTGCATGAGCTGATGCAGCTTTCTTGCTTCCTGTTTACATCCCACTCTGACTTCCACCACAACCACTCTGTTGAAACTACTCTTTTCAAAGTCACGAGTGACCAAGGGGATCATGTGGTTTATTGTCAATGAACTGTTGAGAATGAAAATAATCACTACTAATGATCCTACATGGAAGGCAGACGTTATCTGCACTACTCCAAGCATAACCAGGTTAAGTATGGTACGCTACCAATGAGTTCCATGGTTCTAGAGCCCATAGACAATTTTCAGCCCTCATTTAACTTTATCATGCATCAGCATGAAATGTGGTTGACATTTATTTTATTGGCGTGACTTTCTACACTTAATTCTGTGACAAGATGCTCTTCTTGGTTTCCTCCTATCTCTGGCCACTCTTGCTTATCTGCTGTGCCTACTTCTCCTCCTCCATCTGATCTAAATGCTGGTGTACCTCGGGTCTTTATCCTACATTCTCTTTTCTTTCTTCTCTTCCTTTCTTTGGAAGAGTTCATTGAATCCCATGGTCACACATTTTCTAGATGATTAAACTCCAGTTACATCTCAAGTCCAACCATTACCTTTGAGACCCAGGCTTGTATATCCAGCAGCCTTTTTGACATCTCCATTTAGCCTTTTCACAGGTATCTTGTACTAGGTATGCCCTGAACTCTGAATTTTTATGCCAAAAACATTCATCACTAAGTTTTCACCTCTTAAAAGAGATTATATTTTCTATTTCTTGAGCTAGAAATCAGTCTTGATTTTTCCCTCTCCTTAAATCCCCTGCCCTCATATCCTATAATTTCTTATGCATTTGGATGTTCTAACATAGAAACAAACCTGTAACTCCAAATATATATTGCTAGAATTCATCCACTTCTCTTCATCTCTATTATCACCTTCACCCAAGTCCCTACTCTGGAGTCCTCTCCTGATTTGGCTTCTGATTCTGTTTTGTCACTCTCCTTTCTATTGTCCATATGGTAGTCAGAGTGACTATTATAAAATGAATTTAACTATGTTCTCTCTTGCCTCGCTCAGGGATGTCCCACTCCACTTTAACTAAATCCTTTAGCATGGATATGAGGCTCAGAATAATCTGAATTTTGCCAACATCTTCAGTTTCGTGTTTAGCCATTTTTTTCTTTGGCTAACAAAATTCTTCTTTCTGGAAAAAACAGAAAAAGCCTGAAGGAATGAGTCACCATATATGGCTAGAGTGAAACTCTAAGAATGACAATGTTGGATGAAGCAGACTCATCAGAAAGACTTCAAAGACTGGGAAATCACCCTTATTTGAGGTTGGGTTTTGCAAAGTAGATTCTACAGACGAGATTGTCAGTGCTAGTAGATTACTTGTAAAATGACACCAAGAAGCATTAGAAAAGGAGTAGAGAAGGAAGAAGAGACACAGAAGGAAGGAAGGTAGACAATGAGTACATTATCAACCAGTGTTGCTGTGGAAAACTGGGCCTATATCCCAAAAACAGCCTTTGAGAGCCAGTGTAGAATACATCATCATCCCAACTAAGGGGCAAGGGAGATGACTTTACCCACCCATGCCCATCAATCATTGGTTGAGGGCTACATTCAGGGCTGCTTATTCCCATAAACATCTGGTCTGCCTTGCAAAAAGCCCACGTGCCCGTGGAAGCCTACATTAGGTATACACAGAGCAGTGAGGGCAGAGGGAGAATGAATAGGCAACAACATCTGCTATAGCCAGTCATCAGGGTAATCAGCCAGGCATCTGGATAATTTTCTGGTATGAATGATTTTGAATGTCTTGTTTTAGTCAACTGGTCTGCTCAGAAATCAAGCTATTAATACATCTATGTCTGAACATGATCTTATCAAGGAGGCTCAGTGAATACATCTAAAAAAGGATTTGAAAAATCCTAAAATTCTTAAACTTGCGTGGAGGTCATCGAATAAGGTACCTGACCACAGCGTGGTAAACCCTGACAGTGAGAGAAGTTTATGTGGGGTTCGAGATACAATGATGACAACAGTACTGGAATCTGACTGGTT